>NC_000003.12:49706969-50010000 GCF_000001405.40 Homo sapiens | reverse complement strand
AGGAGAATCACTGGAACCCGGGAGGCAGAGGTTGCAGTGAGCCAAGACTGTGCCATCGCACTCCAGCCTGGGTAACAAGAGCAAAACTCTGTCTCAAAAAATAAATAAATAAAAATAAAAATAAATAATAATTATTCTAGGCTGGGTACAGTGGCTCACATCTGTAATTCCAGAACTTTGTGAGTCTGAGGCAGGACTGCTTGAGTCCAGGAGCAAAAGGCCAGCCTGGACAACACAGTGAGATCTCATCTGTACCTCCCCTCTACCCCCTCAAAATTAGCCAGGTGTGGTGGCGCACACCTGTAGTCCCAACTATTCAGAAGGCTGAGGTAGGGAGGATGGCTTGAACCCAGGAGGTTGAGGCTGCAGTGAGCCATGATCATGCCGCTGCACTCCAGCTTGGGTGATAGAGCAAGACCCTGTCTCAATAAAATAAAATATAAAATAAACATTATTCTAGATAAACTATCAGTTCATCAATATCCTTAACAAGAAATGTGCACACATAATCTATGCACTAGAGGATGAATGACAACACTTAAACACCTGTGGAGAGGGGGACATAAAGATATACTGTAACCTCCAAGTTCAACTTGAATGAAGAAGATACCTAATAACACTCAATGTCACCTGCAGCCTACAAGAATTTTCTGATAAAAGAACTACCTGCAATGCTACCTGCAGAAACAACAGGCTGTTTACTGTAGGAAGGCAGGTATGGTCATGGTCTTCTGCCCTCACATGCCTGAATGCTTGTGCACTCATTCCTTAGACACTTCATGACAGGTGTTAGCCCAACTCTCTTGCTGTCTGTCTAGAAATCCCGAGAGGTCCTGAACAAAAGCACTATGTGAACTGGCTGTCTAAAATCAAGCTGCCACCCAAAGCAGCACTGCCTGCCACTTTCAGCCAACTCTGAATCCCAAGAGGTGGATAAGGAGCCAGGGAAAATGAGAAGTTGGTACAACCAAGCAGAGTCCAGTGTTATGAATCACCCTTTACTACAGAGCACTTACCACATGCCAGTTATCATGCTGATCACTTTACATATACTACATACTCTAACCTCACAACTGCACTATGGGTGGTATTATGATCATCCTCTCATTTTACAGATGAGAAAACTGAGGTTCAGAAGTTACAAAAGAGAGGCCAGGCACGGTGGCTCACGCCTATAATCCCAACACTTTGAAAGGCCAAGGTGGGTGGATCACCTGAGGTCAGGAGTTCAAGTCCAGCCTGGCCAACATGGTGAAACCCCATCTCTACTAAAATAAACATTAGCTGGGCGTGGTGGTGTATGCCCGTAATCCCAGCTACTCGGGAGGCCAAGGCAGGAGAATCGCTTTAACCCGGGAGGTGGAGGTTGCATTGAGCCCAGATCACACCACTGCACTCCAGCTTGGACAACAGAGCAAGATCCGTCTCAAAAAAAAAAAAAAAAAAAAAAAAAAGTTACAAAAGAGCCAGGAGGTAATGAAGCTGGAATTCTAAATCTTTCTGTGCTACGAACCCTATACCATCTGAACATACATAAGGTCATAAACCAAAGTTATAATCAAGATGGCTAACTGAACTATGCCTTTGTACGACCCCTGAACTAATGAGATGTGACAACACTGAAGCACGAGGTTAAAACATATAGGTATATTTCCAATTTAGAACAAATTAAGAACTAAACTACTTTAATCCATAGAAATAAACCATGATTTGTGACAAAAATAATTATAAACCCATTGTAGGACACATATCAGAAGGTTCCCTTAAAACTGCCAAATGATAAATGTTTATTTTTCAAATTCGAGAGAATTAAAATGAGTCGTTTAGAGCACCTCTCATAATTAAAGAGCCTGAGATGTGGCAAATAATGGGCTGGTTATCAGAGCTTAGGGTGTTTTGCTTTGAGAGACAGCATCTCATTCTGTTGCCCAGGCTGGAGTGCGGTGACACCATCACAGCTCACTGCAACCTTGAACTCCTGGGCACAAGTGATCCTCCTACCTCAGCCTCCAGAGTAGCTAGGACTACAGGTGTGCACCACCATACCCAGCTAATTTAGAACTTACGGTTTTAAAGCCACAGGCTAGATTTCCTACATGGCCTAAACATACTCCATGTGGTACTGTCTGTCTCCTGCTCTTTCTCTTTAGAAAATTTAAGATTCTTATGGCCGGGAGAGGTGGCTCACGCCTGTAATCCCAGCACTTTGGGAGGCCGAGGCGGGTGGATCACGAGGTCAGGAGATCGAGACCATCCTGGCTAACATGGTGAAACCCCGTCTCTACTAAAAATACAAAAAAATTAGCCGGGTGTGGTGGCAGGCGCCTGTAGTCCCAGCTACTCAGGAGGCTGAGGCGAGAGAATGGTGTGAACCCGGGAGGCGGAGCATGCAGTGAGCCGAGATCACGCCACCGCACTCCAACCTGGGCGACAGAGCCAGACTCTGTCTCAAAAAAAAAAAAGAAAATTTAAGATTCTCTCTTGAAGGCTAAGGCAGCAGAAACTCCTACTAAGGGCCGGACATGGTAGCTCACTCCTGTAATCCAGCACTTTGGGAGGCTGAGGTAGGCAGATCGCTTTGACCTCAGGAGTTCGAGATCAGCCTGGGCAATATGGCAAAACCCCGTCTCTACAAAAATACAAAATTAGCCAGGCACGTGTCTGTAGCCACAGCTACTTGGGAGGCTGAGGCATGAGAGTGGCTTGAGCCCCAAAAACGGAGGTTGCAGTGAGCCGAGATCGCACCACTGCACTCCAGCCTAGGAGACAGAATGAGACCCTGTCTCAAAAAAGGAAAAAAAAAAAAAAAAACTCCAACTAGGGAAGCTGGAAGGAGTCCCCTGATAATCCGTATCAATCAACAGGCTAAATGAGAAGTATTGTTGATGGGAAAAAAAAAAATCCTCCTAGGCACTGCCACCAAATCCTCTTTTTGCCATATACTCCATTAAGCCAAGACCAGAGCTGCTGTAACTTAAGACTTTGTTTCAGATGAGAAGTTGTGTGAAAACAACAAAGATGCACTCAACATTCACTTTGTGCCAGCCCCAGTTCTTTTTTTTTTTTTTTGAGATGGAGTCTCACTCTGTCGCCCAGGCTGGAGTGCAGTGGTGCGATCTCGGCTCACTGCAAGCTCCGCCTCCCAGTTCACGCCATTCTCCTGCCTCAGCCTCCCAAGTAGCTGGGACTACAGGCGCCCGCCACCACGCCCAGCTAATTTTTTTGTATTTTTAGTAGAGACGGGGTTTCACCATGTTAGCCAGGATGGTCTCCATCTCCTGACCTCGTGATCCGCCCGTCTTGGCCTCCCAACTTGCTAGGATTACAGGCATGAGCCACCGCACCCGGCCACCAGCCCCAGTTCTAATCACCTTACATGCATTAACTTATTTAATCCCTAGATGTGTGTGAGAGTACGTTAAAACACAGAGAGGTTAAGCCACTTGTTCAAGTACACCTTAGAAAGTGATGGAGCCGAAATGCAACCCCCGGTAGTCTGCTTCCAGAATACTATGTTATACTGCTACATTATACTGCTTCATGTCCAGTCGAGTCTCAATCACTGGGCTGGGCACAGTGGCTCACATGTGTAATCCCAGCACTCTGGGAGGCCGAGGCGGGCGGATCACCTGAGGTGAGGAGTTCAAGACCAGCCTGGCCAACATGGTGAAACCCCATTTCTACTGAAAATACAAAAATTAGCCAGGCGTGGTGGCACATGCTTGTAATCCCAGTTACTCGGGAGGCTAAGGCAGGAGAATCACTTGAACCCAGGAGGCGGAGGTTGCAGTGAGCACCTCTGTGCTACAGCCTGGGCGACACAGCGAGACTCCATCTGAAAAAAAAAAAAAAAAAAGTCTCAATCAGTGGATAAATCGCACCCCTGCGCTACAGCCTGGGCGAACCAGTGAGACTCCATCTCAAAAAAAAAAGTCTCAATCAGTGGATAAATAGCCAAAATGTGTAATCAAGTCATCGATCCTTAAACTCACTTTCAATTTTCTTGAATACCCCAACTCTCTTGAGAGCGAGACTCTTCAATAACCCTTGGTTTGTACTCATTAATTGTTTTAATTTTTTTTTCTAGCTAGGTTATGAACCTATACACTCATTTTAGAATGCAGTTCCCCATGTTTCTACTACTACCCTTCTGAGGGTGATAAGGAAAAAGTACTGAAATTGAAGTTTCCAGCAAGAATGGCATGATTCCAGCCATAAGTTATACAGTTGAGCTCTGGCTAGGATGCTGGATACTCCTCAATGAAGTGTTTTTGGGGTGATAGTTGTTTAGGTAACACTACAACCTTCAACCTACAGATTATTGGTTTTGTTGCTTGGAATGCACACAATTTAAGTACTAAAGTGTTTCAGATAGTATTATGTCTTTACTACCAATTTAAGTTTCCAACAAACTAGGTTCTTCAATTTTTTCCATCATGGCCTCACAAATAGCATTCTCATCACTAAAAACATAAGCTTTCTCTGTTGCTTTTTTTTTTTTTTTTGAGGCAGGATCTCTCTGTCGCCCAGGTTGCAGTGCAGTGGCACAATCACGGCTCACTGTAGCTTTGACCTCCCAGGCTCAAGCAATCCTCCCACTTTAGCCTTCCAAATAGCTGGGACAATAGGCATGTGCCACTACACCCAGCTAATTTTTAACAATGTTTTGTAGAGATGAGGTCTTGCTATGTTACCCAGGCTGGACTCAACTCCTGGGCTCAAGTGATCCTCCTGTCACAGCCTGCAAAAGTGCTGGAATTACAGGTGTGAGCCATCACACCTGGCTTCCCTATTGCTCTAATTTTAATCACAAGGACAGACCACATTTGAGATTTGGTTTCCTATATATACCTTCAAAAACACTCTTGTATCTTCAATAACCCAAACTCTCTTAATTTTGTTGACACACACACAAAAAAACACTATTTCATAAAACTTCACGTATTCCACAGCTTTCATTCCTCACACCAGAAAAAGTCAATGTTTAAAGGAATTTTCACATCAGATGATAACAGAACCCTTTTTCTTTGCACTTTAGAAAGACTGATAGTGTCATACAAAAAGGTGAGTAAGGCTGGGCGCAGTGGCTCATGCTTATAATCCCAGCAATTTGGCAGGTCCAGGTGGGAGGCTCACTTGAGGCAAGGAGTTCAAGAGCAGCCTGAGCAACACAGCAAGACCCCATCTTTACGAACAGAGTTTGTTATTTTTTTAATTAGCCGAACATGGTGGCAGGTGCCTGTAGTCCAGCTACTCAGAAGGCTGAGGTGAGAGGATTGCTTAAGCCCAGGAGTTCAAAGCTGCAATGAGCTCTCATCGTACCACTGTACTCCAGCCTGAGCAACAGAACAGAACCCTAAGTCTCAAAAAAATAAAAATTTAAAAATAGGCCAGGCATAGTGGCTCACACCTGGAATCCCAGTGCTTTGGGAGGCCGAGATAGGTAAATTGCTTGAGTCCAGGAGTTCAAGACCAGCCTGGGGAATGTTGCAAAACCCTGCCTCTACAAAAAAAAAAAAAAAAAAATAGCCAGCTGTGGTGGTGGTAGTTCCAGCTACTAAAGAGAACTGAGTTGGGAGGATCACTTCGGCACAAGAGATCGAGGCCGCAGTGAGCCATGATTGTACCACTACACTCCAGCGTAGGTGACAGAGGGAGACCTTGTCTCCAATAAGAGGAGAGGGGAGGGGGGGGAGGGGAGAAAAAGGAAAGAAAAAAAGAAAAAGAAAAAGGAAAGGAAAGGAAAGGGGAAAGGAGAATAAAAATTTCAGAGAAATAAATACCTCTCCCAGAGTTATCTTCTATAAGGGCACTTTAGTGACTAATTTGGCCAAATAATAGACAATAAGCATCACACCAGCATACTTGAGAACATAAAATGCTAATCCCTGCATACCAAATGCCAACAGTCTGAGAGGGCTAGTACTCACAACTGGGCAACCAATGAAAGGGATTAACATTTTAACACAATACTTCTTACTCCCCTCCCCAAGTCCCAGTGCAAGGGCACACAAAGCAGAAGGAAATAATATGTACCCTCAATCTCCCAGAGACTTGACAACAAAGAAAGCCAAGGGCATATGACAGGGCTAGAAATACACTTTGCAGGAAGGGTGGAACGAAAGGCTCTGCCTGACAGTGCTTGCTGGCTGCCCCCTTCTCCTAGACAGAAATGGTGATGGTACAGACTAACAGATTCATACCTTCATACCTGTTGGAAATTATTTCTCCAGATAGACAGCTGCTGCCTAAGTGATACCCTGATCGGTCACCACAGCCACAAAGCTCAGTACTGCTGCAGAGCATCCTACTGTTTAACAGCTTGATCTAGGCACCAGGAAAAGGCTAGAGGGACCTTGGTTATCATCTTGAGCAACTTCACGAAGGCACACATACCCAACAATATTTGACAAAGCAAGCTAGCAGAAAATTCCTTTATTTCCATCCCCTAGGCCTACAAGTACCAGCCAATGATAAATAAAAGACATTTCACATCAAGAGTCGGAATAGCAAAGAGTTACAAAAAAACTCAAAGTACTTCGGAGTAACCTTCTCAGAGGCACACACACACTCAGGCTCTACTAAGAGTTGCCAAGCAGATCGTGGTGACTCAGAATCCATACCAATTTGGTCTGTAAGTAAAACTGGGGGAAAGGATAGACAAAGACTTTTTTTTTTTTTTTTTTTTTTTTAAATTTAGACAGGGTCTCACTATTTACCCCATGCTCATTTCAAACTCCTGGGCTCAAGTGATCCTCCAGCCTTGGTCTCCCAAAGTGGTGGGATTATAAGCTTGAGCCATAGTGCCCGGCCTACAAACACATTTTATCTTCCACAAATATTTATTTTATTTATTTATTTATTTATTCAATTTTATTGTTTTCTTGAGACAGAGTCTTGCTCTGTCAGCAGGCTGGAGTGCAGTGGTGCAATCTTGGCTCACTGCAACCTCCACCTCCTGGGTTCAAGCAATTATCCTGCCCCAGCCTCCCAAGTAGCTGGGACTACAGGCGTGCGCCACCACACCTGGCTAATTTTTTTGTATTTTAGTAGAGACGGGGTTTCACCTTGTTGGTCAGGATGGTCTTGCTCTCCTGACCTCATGATCCGCTCGCCTCAGCCTCCCAAAATATTTACTTTATTCACCCTGAGGAGACAGGACTTCTTCCCTCACATTCTTATGTCTCTCATAAGATTGTTTACTATGTCATAAGGAGTTTAATCCACATCCATTTCCTTAAAGAATTAGTTTTATTAAACTTCAGATATAAAAATAAATTTATTTTCTTATAATTATAATTGAAGGCCAGGCACGGTGACTCGTGCGTGTCATCCCAGCACTTTGGGAGGCCAAGGTGGGCAGATCACCTAAGGTCTGCAGTTCAAGACCAGCCTGGCCAACATAGTGAAACCCCATCTCTACTAATAATACAAAAATTGGCAGGACATGGTGGCTCACGCCTGCAGTCCCAGCACTTTGGGAGGCCAAGGCAGTCGGATCACCTGAGGTCAGGAGTTCCAGACCAGCCTGGCAAACATGGTGAAACCCCATCTCTACTAAAAATACAAAAATTAGCCAGGTGTGGTGGCGGGCACCTGTAATCCCAGCTATTTGGGAGGCTGAGGCAGGAGAATCACTTGAACCCAGGAGGTAGAGGTTGCAATGAGCTGAGATCGTGCCACCGCACTCCAGCCTGGGCAACAGAGCGAGACTCCATCTCAAAAAAAAAAAAAAAGAAAAAAAATTTACCCAAGCATGGTGGCGCATATCTGTAGTCCCAGCTACCTGGGAGGCTGAGACAGGAGGATCTCTGGAACCCGGGTGGCGGAGGTTGCAGTGAGCCAAGATTACGCCACTGCACTCCAGCCTGGCTGGACTCCGTCTCACACACACACACAAAATTTATAATTGGAAATTACTTGACATGTGGAGGAGGGTAAGAGAGAGAAAGAAGGACACTGAATTTCAAATTAATTCAAATGCTACCAAGTGCTAGGTACTATAGTAAGTGTTCTGGATACATTATTCGCCAAGAGTCACAACTTAAATGTATGTCACTCCTCAAGAAGTTTCCCTGACCACCCCTCTAAAATTGCCACCATGATGCATTCTCCCAATACCCTGCTTCATTTTCTTTATAGCACTCAGCTATCAGCTATTACATTGAGTATTTAGCACAGAGGCGAACGACTTAATCACATTCACTGCTTATGAATTAATGAGTGTTCTCAAAATTGGACAGACTGTCAGAATAGGATCCACCGAAAGCACACAGATTGGAAGCTTTTTTCTTCTCTCCAAAATTGGCATGTAGCAGTTTCTGACACATGGTTAGTACAGTTGTCCCTTGGTGTCCACAGGGGATTGGTTCCAGGACCCACAAGGACACAAAAATCTCAGGATGCTCAAGTCCCTTATATAAAATCACATGGTATTTGCATACAACCTACACACATCCTCCAACATACTTTAAACCATCTCTAGATTACTTATATCTAATACCTAATAAAGACTATATAAATAGTTAACTGTACTTTTTTGTTTTTTGAGACGGGGTCTCACTCTGTCACCCCAGGCTAGAGTGCAGCAGAGTGATCACAGCTCACTGCAGTCTCAATCCAGACTCAAGTAATCCTCTCATCTTAGCCTCCCAAGTTGATAGCCACCACACTTGGCTAATTTTTTCACTTTTATTTTTTGTAGAGATGGGGTCTCCCTGTGTTGCCCAGGCTGGTCTCAAACTCCTGGCCTCAAGCAATCCTCCCACCCGGGCCTCCCAAAATGTTGGGATTACAGAGTAAGCCACCACTCCTGGCCTGTATTATTTTTTATTGTTGCAGTGTTAATGCATTTTTTTCCTGAATATGTCCAATCAGCATTTGGTTGAATCTATGGGTGTGGAACCTGTGGATACAGAGTGTCAACTGTATTTGGTAAGTGATTCAGTGATGGACACTGAACAAATGGTCAATGAGAATCCTCTTAAGTCTAGGGGATATGGTCCTAAGCCTGTCATTCTTTAAGGATCTGACAAGCTTAAACTACTAACAAGATAAGGATACATCAAAAGTCTTCTCTAATGAGTGCTTGCTCCCAAAGCATTTAGAGCATGTCATCTCCATACCCATAAGAGGAGAACTTGGCCAAGAAGAGAAAAGTACGTATAATGAGCCACACTGAGTTAAACAAAGCTGAACAAAGCATCAGGCTACAGAAGAAGAAGAGTTCTCATCTAATAACTACTCTTCTCTGGCAGAGCCTTCTTTTAAGATTCTGGGCCTGGCTGGGCACGGTGGCTCATGCCTGTAATCCCAGGACTTTGGGAGGCCGAGGCAGGCAGATCACCTGAGGTCTGGAGTTCGAGAGCAGCCTGACCAACATGGAGAAACCCCATCTCTACTAAAAATACAAAATTAGCCGGCGTGGTGGCGCATGCCTGTAATCCCAGCTACTCAGGGGGCTGAGACAGGAGAATCGCTTGAACCAGGGAGGTGGAGGTAGCAGTGAGCCGAGATCGCACCATTGCAATCCAGCCTGGGCAACAAGAGCAAAACTCCGTCTCAAAAAAAAAAAAAGAAAGAAAGAAAGATTCTGGGCCCACTGTATTCACACTGTTAAGTATAGGCAGTGGGTACATTAAAAAAAAAAAAAAAGAAAAAAAAAACACATCAAACTATATTCCTAAGTTTCTTTTCCTACTTTACAGATGGAGGAACTGAAACAACCCAAAGAAAACAACTTTCCCCAAGGAAGCACCATAACAAGAAGGATTCTACCTATTTATTAATTCCTCTCAAAACTACCAGGTAGGGTTCTATTAAAGACATAGATGAAAAATCTAGGTGGCAAGCTGAGTAACTCCAGATAGTTCAAACGTAAGGTGAGTACAGATTCTGATTCACCAGCTCTGACTATACGCAGCCAAGGACTTGAGTATGCAACTCCAATTGGCAAAAAACAATGATGAATGCAATAGACACCAACAATCCACTCCTCTCTCTTCCCTGATAGCTCTCTTTTGGAAGTAGCCCCTGCAGGCAGGATCTGATGCCACAGAAGTCACCATCAGAGGTCTTCACCCTAGGTCTGGGTGTAACTATTGACCTAGAATTTCTGTGCTAGGCAGATCCTTGGGGTCACAGACAATCAAGGATCATTCTTTGCATCAGGATTACCATCTCAGTCACACTCCAAAAGGAAACACTCCAGATGTGTCTTTTTTTTTTTTTTCCAACTATTGTCTTTGGAATCTAGTCCAAAAGCAACTGGGCTCTAGCTTTTAAAATGCACTCTGTGCCCATTAAGTTTTGTAGAGAAAGCTTTCCAGCCTTTTTAAAGATTTTCCTCACAACCGATGGTTGGAATACAGTATGCTCCACAGATAGACTTCTTGTACCTTTCCAAAGTAAAATCATTTGAAACCCTCCCTCCCCATATATAAAAAAATATATCCTTCCAGCATCATTTGACCGAAGTATAAAGCAACCTGGTTGGCCTCCATGCATCCGATGGCATCTTCCAAGAGTGAAAACTCCACGCAGACATAGCCATAGTCGTAACCTGGGGACAGCATTTAAATACAGACGGGAGTGGTGTTAGTGCCTTGCAAACACAAAAGACACACTTAAATCCCCTGTTTCTGAACCCCTTAAACACAAGCCCTCCCAACTAACCCCTCCCTCCCCTACACTAGGTAAAGTTGCTACCCCAAATAGAAAAAAGTATTGAAGAAAAGTCTCGATGTTTCTGGACTTTGAGATTCATTCCAAAACAGCCTTTTCTATTAACCAAGAAGATCCTTTGCCCTCTTTAGCACTGGTGATCTGGTGAAGGTACCCCAGAATTGGGTAATCCCACAGAGAGTTCACGTGGGGACCCGAAACATTTTAACCACAGGCTAAATCTTCTGGAAAAACAAAGTCGACAAGAGCAAGAAAGTATCTGGAAAAAAAAAAAAAAAAAGGTATCCCGAGAGAAGAAAAAAAAGCAATTATCCCCAGGCTATGCTAATAGTCACCACTTTTCAAGCAGAAACCACCTTCAAAGACAGAAGTGCTGACAGACTGAGGCAACTATTCTGTTTGGATACCACAGGAGGCTTCTGGTTGGCAGGGGACAGACCATTTCAGGTCTCCTCTTTTTTTCCTTGTTTCAACTCAAGTCATAAACCAGCTAAAATCTTTATAAAAGGAAGAAGGTGTAAAAGCATAAATAAGTACAAATAACTATGTCCAAAATTGTGCTTATGCACAAAGACTGGTGGTGGGGCAAGCTGGGAGAAAGACAGCAGTTGTTAGCAATCAATACATGTTTAAGAACTGTACAAACCATTAGAGCTATAAAATACCCTTCACCTTACTCCTAAGCAAGTGTCATTTGCAGCACAGGCCTGAGAGTTGTATGACTCACGAGACTGGGAAGTCCTGGGATTTATAGGTTGCTGAACTAGAATCTAACCAGTCCTATAATTTCCCTGACACTGCCACCATGTGACTACAAAAATACACTTGTCAATGCAGTGCTCCCCAAGTGGCTTCCATGCTTCCTCCACTGCCTCAGAGGATAAAGAAGCTCATCTCTAGGAATCACACTGTGTAAATGGAACCGCAAGAAAAAGATGTGATGTTCAGATGAGAAGCAAAACTCAGGCAAAGAAAAACACAAAACCCTATGATAATTTTGACCACAAAGTATATATAACAATAGGAAACTGATATCACTGCATCAATATCAAAGATCAACAAAACTAGAACAATAGAAAGTATAAGTTTAAAAACATACCACATTTGGTGAAATAAGATTCCTTGTCACATGAAATGAATGGCTTCAAAATGTTTTACTAATAACAATAAACTTTGATTTTAGACTTGTTAAATACTCCAAGTTAACTGTGAAACATTACAATGGTATAGGTTGATTCTTGTTTTGAGTTTCAGAAAATGACTAGGAAGAAGAAAAACAATCTACTAGAAACCTCAGCACTACTGTAGGATGAGAAATAGATTTTCTAATCTACTTTTAGTTTTGACCAACGTGGATTAAAACTAACCCCTCCAAACTTACCACAAAATCAGTCTCCTCTGCTTAATAACTCTTTGAAGAAATAAAAATACTTTAGAGAAACAGCATGCATATCCTATTAACAATGGAAACTGCTTTGTTAGTTAATTCCTTTCAAGTGAATCTTCTTGATCAAACTCATTGAACACCTAATACATAAATCACTCTGCATTTTATAAACAGCTCTGAATATTCTTGGGAAACATTACAGAATAACAGAAGGAACTAAGACACCTGTTAGCACCAAATATCCACTGCAAACACTCAAATGCATGTCTACAATCAGAAAGGGTTAGCCATGGAACAAACAGGTGTACTCTCTAGTGTGTTGATTACCTCTACAGAACATATCAATGGAGTACCCAGGTGTGTGGAAAGCAACCCTCTCCATAGCTGCCCGGATGAAAAACATAGAGAACTAATACTAAAACTGGCAAAGCCCTAAGTTTCCTTTCTGTGCTTAAAGAAGTAACTACTGTGGCCCAGAGGAGCACACAGAATCTGTGGACAGAGAGAAAAGATTCATGACAACGTTCATACTTTGCTAAAGGACAAGTAGACATTGGGAAGAAAAAGATACAGAAAACATTATGAGCATCTAATATAGCATTTCTAGACATCAACCCTGCAATACTATATGTTGACAACATACTTCAGATTTAATATTATATTCACAAGCCCAACACTAAATTTATTCTGACTGAAACTTTAGCTATCAAACAAGAACAGAAATTTAAGGTTTAACTATACTGCCTAAAACGTTAAAAAAAAAAAAGGTATTCTGTGTGTTCAAGACTCATGGTTGTGCCATAAGGATTTTCAGCAATTAGCAAACTAGCCTATGAAAGTAAGTAATATTTACATAAAACTTGTTGGTTCAAGATTTTATTCTAAATACTTTGTATATACTGATTTAATATTCACAATACTATCTTAAGAGGTAAATATTATTAACCTGATTTTAGCCATGTAGAAGGCGGCAAAGAAAGGATAGGTAAACTGATCAAAGTAACCAAGTAAGTACCAATACTGAGCTTTAAATGCAAGCAGTCCAGATTCAAGTTGATGTTTTTAACCACTACACTCTAGCCTCTCACTCTTCAATAAGATCATAGACCAATTTAAATAATCTTAATTCTAAACTCTAGAAGCCTAGTTACAGAAAGGGTCCCATATGCCTGAAAACATACATCTATGCCCCTGTTAAGAAATAAGCCTAGTTAAGAAATATTCAATTTAGCAGCATAACAGTTGCTTCTATTTTAAATATCTATGGCAGAACTATTGTGAGTAGACCTGAGTATGCAAATTAGAAAGCATTCTAAGGAGCTGATTATACTAGCTCCCAAAATTCTTCTGAAAAGACGAAAACTAAAATGTCTTATTATAAATGACAGCTACAAAAATTGTATAGCAATATGGAAAGATACTTGATATAGTATATTTTAAGAGCCTTAAAAATGAATATACCCTTATGGATAATTATGTAAAATGTATATAGGGAAAAAGGGCTGGAATTAAATTGCATCTAACTCAAGGGTTAGAGACAAAAGTCAGCATGTAAGATAAAAACCATGCACTGTCAAAAATCATACTTGAAGACCCCAAGGTGAAGAACAACATACCATCTTTCAATTTAGGTAAGTCCAACATTGCCAGTTTTTCCTCCAGCGCTGCAACAGATCACTTTTCCTTTGGTTGACACCAGATGAAGAGGTTGGCTTGCATTTAAGGGCCATAAGGTATGAAAATATATTGCTTTAAATAACAGAATCACAGCCAGCACAGTGAATGCCCACTCAGAGAAACTTAGAAAAGGAGACAAACTGAAGCCACAGGCGAGTCTCATCCCCACTGCCCATGCTCACTCCAGGAGTGAGAAAACAGGGTGTGGGAAGTGGGGAGGGGGATACAGTTCAAATAAGCACAGGTGGACATACAAAAATCAGAAAATGCATATAATGCAACACAACTGTATACCAAAATGTTTACAGTGGTTGTATTGCTATAGTGGGATAATCAGGGATTTTTTTCTTTATTTCCCAAATGTAATTTTACAATTCACAGAAAAGGCACAGAAGATATTCTACCCAAAGACCTAAACATTCTGCCAACCAACTTTGAGATTAGAATTGCTAGGAACCATATGGAATCATCAAGATGGTAAACTCAGTGTTAACCTTCCCATGGACAGACTTATTTTTACCAATGAGAGTAACAAAAAAATCTACTTTATTACCCCTTTCTTCCACTGTCACATGCTGGGAAGAAGTCTGGAGGGTCTTTGTGCTTATTTATATGACTATTACAAAACACAGTTAACTAAATTTTCTAACCTAAATTTACAGATCTCATAGAAATGTGAATACTCCTTATACTTTTTTTTTTTTTTTTGAGACAGAGTCTTGCTTTGTCACCCAGGCTGGAATGCAATGGCACACAATCTCGGCTCATTGCAACCTCTGCCTCTCAGGCTCAAGCAATTCTCCTGCCTCAGGTACCTGCAGTAGCTGGGACTACCACGCCCGGCTAATTTTTGTATTTTCAGTAGAGACGGAGTTTCGCCACGTTGGCCAGGCTGGTCTCGAACTCCTGAGCTCAGGTGATCTGCCTGCCTCAGTGCTGGGATTACAGGCGTGAGCCACCGCACCCGGCCTCCTTATATTTTTTTTTAGGCAAATGAGAAGAATGAGAACAGGGCAAGGGGAAAAAATCTATAAAGGTAACAAATTTCACGTCTTCTCTATCTTCATTAACCATGTGGTTGCCTGTTTCCCAAAAATGTATCTATGATAAAAGCCAACCAGGTGGTTACAGGAGAATAAGGTACACAAAACAAAACCCTGATAAATAGTATTCAATCTCAGAACTAACTCTTCAATCTCTGCCCCTAGAAAAGCTGACTCACGAGATACTGACAAACATAACCCTGTATGGTTTAAGTCAATTATTAGTCTATAACAGGCCCAATTTTCATAATAATTATAAGGAATATTTGTTTAGGTAAATGAGATGGATCTTCAAACTGTTCTAGGAAAACCCAATGAACATACCCAAATCCAGCTGAATTTCCCATCAAGAGAGTATTGGTTGACATTGAAAAAGCCCAGAATACACATCCAGAAAGTAAAACGGGGAATCAGGATTTTAAAGAACACAATTAGCAGGAAGGTTTTTTTTTCTCCTTTCTTTTAAGAAGCCTTTGTCAGAAGGAGTTTATTTTACTGCTATCTTTGAGAGGAAAACACACACACACACACACACACACACCCCACAGCCTTTTTCTCCAAACAAAAAGTATTATTTTTGTGAGAACAAAGCATTTTGAATATAAAAGGCACCATGAAACATCAATAGATTGAAGAGGTCTTAACTTCTATAGGTCCTGTTTTCCTAATTCCATTTCATTGATAATACAGGTTTTTAGAAAAGTAAAATATCAAGTTAGAGATTTTAGCAAAACCGAAACAGAATTGATCCAGGTATCTGAATTCCTGTCAGTGGGAATAACAGAATAAAGGAGGCTTTGTGCGCAAGATTTCCAACAGGTACTTTGCTCTGTTAAAATCTCATGCGAGGCTGGGTGTGGTGGCTCGTGGATATAATCCCAGCACTTTAGGAGACCAAGGTAGGAGGATTACTTGAGCTCAGGAGTCCCAGCCTCGGCAATATAATGAGACCTTGTCTCTACAAAAAAAAACAGAAAAAATTAGCCAGGTGTGGGAGCACGCACCTATAGTCCCAGCTACTTAAGAGGCTGAGGTGGGAGGCTCACTTGAGCCTGAGAAGCCAAGGCTACAGTGAGCCATGACTGGCCTACTGCACTCCAGCCTGAACAACAGAGTGAGACCCTGTCTCAAAACAAACAAACAAACACACAATCCCACTCGAATTACGAAAATTAGGAAAATATCTGACTCATATGTCAAATTATCATCAGGGAAGGATAAAATTGGTCCACATGAAACCCATCACCTTGAAATCTTTTTTTTTATTTGAGATGGAGTTTCACCTTTGTCGCCCAGGCTAGAGTGCAATGGCACTATCTCGGCCCACTGCAACCTCTGCCTCCTGGGTTCAAGTGATTCTCCTGCCTCAGGCTCCCGAATAGCTGGGATTACAGGCGTGCAGATTATTAGGCATGAGCAACTGTGTCCAGCCCATCACCTTGAAATCTTATAAACACTTTCAATTATTTCTCCTTCAGCTATGCATACAAGGGTTGTTTTTTTTTTTAAAGAAAAATGAAAAAAGGAAGATATACACTGATGATTATTTCTTAAATTTTTTTTTCTTTTGAGACAGAGTCTCACTCTGTCACCCAGGCTGGAGTGCAGTGGCGCAATCTCGGCTCATTGCAACTACCGCCTACCAGGTTCAAGCAATTCTCCTGCCTTAGCCTCCTGAGTAGCTAGGTTTACAGGCATGCGCCACCATGCCCAGCTAATTTTTGTACTTTTAGTAGAGATGGGGTTTCATCATGATGGCCAGACTGGTCTTAAACTCCTAACCTCGAGTTATCCACACGCCTTGGCCTCCCAAAGTGCTGGGATTATAGGAGTGAGCCACCTGACCTAAATTTTCAAAAACTACACGTGGATCTATCTTATTTTATTCTGTATCTGTGCCAACTGGTTATTTAAAGAAAAAAATTTGTTTGTTTTTTGCTTTAAGTCCAAAATTAATCGCAGGGCCACTCCATCTTGATGATGGTTCCTCAGGCCCAGGATAACATTTGTTAGGAAACACTCGCCCTTACTCAATTTATTTCAATTCCACTGGCAGTAATGGTGTCATATGAGCACAATGAAGAGCAACGTCTTTGCCCCAGAGTTTAATCTAATGGAAGTCATGACAAGTACAAACGGTCATAGATCACCTCAAGATGCTACATAAGTCAAAAGGGGGAGTAATTATTCTTTAAAGAGCCAGTAATCAATCTCATTCAACTTTTGTTCACTTAAAAACAAACAAACAAATATACTCAATCTGCAAAGCAACAATCAGGAAAAAGAGAACCTTTGCAAATCTGCTTTTCCCCAAGCAAGAACACTTCAGTCTGGCAGAAAAGATGGTGCAGGCATGACAGAAGGATCAACCAGAACAGCAGCATCAATACTGCAGAACTGTCTATGCAGAGAGGTGACACCAAAAAAACAGAGGTCCCAGATGAGGGACTGTGATCTTCTTTCATTTCTGTATCCCTAAACCTAGCATAATATCAGGTACATCAATTATAATGACCATCATCACTAGAATAACACACAAGAAAAGTAGCTTCTTAGTTCTGTACATTTGCAGAAGCTACAACTAACTCACCATGTGATTGCAGTCAAGCTACGTCTCTCTGGGCCTATGCTATTCCATATGCAAAGCAGCAAAGATGATAAATCCTTTGCAGGGTGGTTTCAGGGATGCAATGAAATAAGCATTATCAGAGATCAAAGATCAGACAGCTGCCTCTGCATTACTGCTTCTCAAATATGTCCCAGTACTTTAGCAGCTGAAAGGCAGTACGAATTTCCTGACTTCTAGTGTATACTAACAACATATCTGCTGCCTCCATAGATTACATGGCTATTTTTATTTTGACTAGGAAGAAAAACATGGCCCATAAACATTTTTTTTCTACTGCCTTAGCCCTGGTGCAAATAAAGGGCAACTCAACACTGTTCTAAAAGGCTCTGGGACCAAGTTCAGTGGCTCACGCCCGTAATCCCAACATTTTGGGAGGCTGAGGCAAGAGGATCGCTTAACCCCAGGAGTCTGAGACCAGCCTGGGCAAACACACTGGGACACTATCTCTACAAAAGGTTTTAAATCAGCCAGGTGTCGTGGTACACACCTGTAATCTCAGCTACTTGGGAGGCTGAAACGGAAGGATTGCTTGAGCCTGGGAGGTTGAAGCTGCAGTGAGCCATGACTTTGCCACTGCATTTCAGCCTGGGCTACAGAGCAAGACTCTGCCTCAAAAAATAAATAAATAAATAAATAAAATAAAATAAAATAAAATAAAATAAAGGCTCTGGGATGATTCCATAAAGCTGGTTTCTAAGCTGGAAGTTTGCTCAGGATGACAGCAAACATAGTGGCCCAGATATTCACCTATTCCAGAAGTGAACATGCATCCAGAGAAGGATGAAACAACTGACATTAGGTGAGACTTGAAACGACCTAGCCATGAGCTAAGGTACATGAGGTTAATACAGCAGAGATGGGTTAAACGGCAACCCCACTGGGCCACTTATGCCCTGTAACCGATATCCAGTGCCCAACTAAAGGCACTAGACACCAGCTGGAGCTGGCTTTTGGGGTCCCATTCTGTGGTATCACAGAAAGATACTTGGTCTGTCCCAGGTTCCTGGCATACAGCTCCTAAAACCCTTGGAATTTCCTGAGTGATAAGGGTGATAGGAGTGTTCTTTGTTCTAATAAGACAACTCTTGGAAAGCCCCTAGATAGCTTCAGGATGAGGGCTACCTAGAAAGACAAAGCCTTGACCAGAAGTTCAGAACTTTCAGTACCACCCACCAACTTCTGATGAGGGGAGAGGGGCTTGAGCAAATCACCCACTGTCAATGATTTAATCAATCCTGCCTACATAATGAGACCTCCATAAAAACAACTACACAAAAGGGCTCAGAGAGCTTCCTGATTGGTGAATACATCTACATGCTGGGACGGTGGCATATTCCACAGGACAGAGACTCCTACACTCAACACTCAGGACCCTCCTGGACTTTGCCCTATCTATCTCCTCATCTGGCTAATTGTATCCTTTATAAAAAACTGATAAACATAAGTATTTCTCTGAGTTTTTTGCAGCCATATTAGAAAGTTATCAAATCTGAAGGGGTAGACTGTGGGAACCTCCAATTTTGTAGCCAAATCAGACATAAGTGTAGGTAACCTTGGGACCTGATAACTGATCATTGCAATTGGTGTCTGAAGTAAGAATGGTCTTATGGGACAAAGCCCTTCAACCTGCGGAGTCTGAAGCTAACTTCTGGTAGTCGGTATCAGAATTACCTGGTATCAAGAGGGGAAAAAAACTTTTATCATCTCTCTGCCTACATGACACAGGAGGCAAACATTGTTCAAAACATCATTCCTGAACATGTTCAGACATCCATCTATCAATTCACCTGGGGCTTGTTTTTCCCCCCACTTAATGCCAGGTCAAGCAAATACCACTGAAATTTCCTTATAGCACTTGTCCTCCAGGCAGCCATTTTAAAACACAGGCCTATTCTTAGTTAAGGTTTCCCCCACAAAAAAAGATTCATTTGATAAATACGTATGTACATCTGTCAAACATATTCATTATCTGATAAACAAAGTACTTTCTAGTGCTCTTTATTAATACAGAGGCTAAAAAGAAAAATTTTATTTTCTATTATAACAAACAATAGTGTTTTAATTACAGCCATGTGCTGCTTAACTACATTTTGATCAACAGCAAACTGCATGCATATGAAACAATGGTTCCATAAGATTATAATGGCACTGAAAAATTCCTATCACCCAGTGACATCATAGCTGTTGTTGATTTGGTGGCACAATGCATTACCTTTTCTATATTTAGATACACAAATGCCGTTGTGTCTCAATTGCCTATGGTGTTCAATACAGTAACACACTGTACAGTTTTGTGGCCGAAGAGTAACAGGCTATACAATATAGCCTAGCTGTATAGTAGGCTATAACATCTAGTTTGTGTAAATATACCCTATGATGTTTACACAATGAAAAAATCACTTGATCCATTTCTCAAAATGTATTCCTGTCATTATGCAATGCATGACTGTATTTAATAATAATACAAATGAAGGAATAGAAAATTCTGTTCCCTCAATGTAGTATTACTCCATAGTTTTAGAAATTAAAATTAAAGGCCAGGTGCAGTGGCTCACAACTGTAATCCCAGCACTTTGGGAAGCCAAGGCGGGCAGATCACTTGAGGTCAGGAGTTCGAGACCAGCGTGGCCAACATGGTGAAACCTCATCTCTACTAAAAATACAAAAATCAGCCAGGCGTGGTGGTGGGCAACTGTAATCCCAGCTACAAGGGAGGCTGAGGCACGAGAATGGCTTGAATCTGGGAGGCGGAGGCTACAGTGAATCGAGATGATGCCACTGCACCACTCCAGCCTGGGTGACAGTGGGAGAGACTCTGTATCAAAATAAATAAATAAAATAAAATAACGTCTGTTAGCAAC
This sequence comes from Homo sapiens, assembly GCF_000001405.40. NCBI lineage: Eukaryota > Metazoa > Chordata > Mammalia > Primates > Hominidae > Homo > Homo sapiens. The sequence continues at coordinate 49,989,720 of NC_000003.12, read as the reverse complement.
TTTTTGGGGAAATTTTCTTGGGAGTTTTGACTTAATACTTTATTTCTAGAGTTGGCATATGCACATTAACTCATACTTTGGAGTTGAAGAAACATATCCCTGTACTTACACAAATATTATTATTATTTTATTTATTTATTTATTTATTTTGAGACAGTTTCACTCTTGTGGCCCCAGGCTAGAGTGCAATGGCACAATCTCAGCTGCAACCTCCACCTTCCGGGTTCAAGCGATTCTCCTACCTCAGCCTCCTGAGTAGCTGGGATTACAGGCGTGTGCCACCACACTAGGCTAATTTTTGTTTTATTAGTAGAGATGGGGTTTCACCATGTTGCCCTGGCTGGTCTTGAACTCCTGACCTCAAGTGATCCACCCGCCTCGGCCTCCCAAAGTGCTGGCATTACAGGCATGAGCCACCGGGCCTGGCCCACAAATATTATTTAACCGATTGGCATATAACCTATATTGCTGCCAGAAACTTCTGTAGCATGGAGTACAATATAATATACCTGAATAATATTTTCTTTGACTTTCAGACAAACAAAGGCAGGAAGTTGTTTCGTTTGGTGCACAAACCCAGTTGATAAGTCATTAGGGAAAATCTAATGAAGATTTTGCTATGTGATGATTTTCCTACCCTGTCACAATCATTCAGGGACTTTTAAAAAAAAAATGACATTATCTAGTCATCTTTCACCAGAGCTATGAATTCCTGCTAGTCCACAGCCCACTCAACACAGCTCCTGGACAAGGAGATTTTTTTTTCTTTTTTTTGAGATGGAGTCTCACTCTGTCACCCAGGTTGGAGTGCAGTGGTGCAATCTTGGCTCACTGAAACCTCCACAATCTTCTCAGCTCAGCCTCCGGAGTACCTGGTACCACAGGCGTGTGCCACCACACCCAGCTTATTTTTGGCAGAGATGGGGTTTTGCCATGTTGCCCAGGCTGGTCTTGAACTCCTGAGCTCAGAAAATCCACCTGCCTCAGCCTCCCAGCATATAGGGATTTACAGGCATTAGCCACCATGCACAGCCAGATTTTTCTACTACATATTTGATAATTATGAAAACTCACTACTAATAAATGCAAAAGCATCTGTGGGCATTCAAATTAAACACCAAAGGTAAGATTTTGTTTTGTTGTACTTTTTCCTGCTCCTTCTACCTCTAAAGCAAATGAATGAACCATAAAATATATAGATCAAGTCGAGGAATATCTTTTTTCTCTTTCCAGGCCAAATCTAGTTCTAAAAAATAGTGGTTAAAAAAAAAAAAGAAGGCCAGGCGCACTGGCTCACACCTGTAATTCCAGCAATTTGGGAGGGCAAGGCAGGACGGTTGTTTGAGCTTAGGAGTTCAAGACCTGCCTGGGCAAGACAGTGACCCCCATGTCTACAAAAAATACAAAAATTAGCCAGGTGTGATGGTGGGTACCTGTGGTCCCAGCTACTTGGGAGGCTGAGGTGGGAGGATCCCTTGAGCCCAGGAGATTGAGGTTGCAGAGACAAGAGACTGCGCCACTACACTCCAGCCTGAGCAACAGAGTAAGACCCTGTCTCAAAATACTTTTTTAAAAAGCAGTAGGCCCAACACAACCAAGAGAACAAGGAATCCCACAGCAAAATCAATACTCAACAAAATCAGTTGAGTCCCACAAATGATATAACACCATCATTTCCCTGTCTTGATTACCAAAGTATATTTTGAGATGGCTTGGAAATCAGGTTTCAGATTGTTCTAAACATCTCAAAGTGCTCCTGATCATTAAAAACATTATCTTTGATGACCGGGCGTGGTGGCTCATACCTGTAATCCCCACGCTTGGGAGGCCAAGGTGGGTGGATCACCTGAAGTCAGGAGTTCTAGACCAGCCTGGCCTACACGGCAAAACCCCATCTCTACAAAAAATACAAAAATTAGCTGGGCATAGTGGCAGGCGGCTGTAATCCCAGCTACTCAGGAGGCTGAGGCAGGGGAATTGTTTGAACCCAGGAGGCAGAGGTTGCAGTGAGCAGAGATCGCATTATTGCATTCTAGCCCAGGTGACAGAGTAAGACTCTGTCTCAAAAAAAAAAGAAAAAAGAAAGAAAGAAATTTACAAACTCAGCCAGGCACAGTATCTTATGTCCGTAATCCCAGGACTTTGGGAGGTCGAGGTGGGCGGATCACTTGAGGTCAGGAGATCAAGACCTGCCTGGCCAACATGGTGAAACCTGTCTCTACTAAAATTACAAAAAATTTAGCTGGGCGTAGTGGCGGGCACCTGTAATCCCAGCTACTCGGGAAGCTGAGGCAGGAGAATCACTTGAATCTGGGAGGTGGAGGTTGCAATGAGCCAAGATCATGTCACTGCACTCCAGCCTGGGCAACAGAGCAACACTGTTCCAAAAAGAAAACAAAAAAGGAAATTTACAAACTCTTAAATACACTGTAAGGTGGAAAATACTATTTTTAAAAAATATATGCATCAGAGGCCTGGCATGGTGGCTCATGCCTGTAATCCCAGCACTTTGGGAGGCTACTTGGGAGGCTGAGGCAGGAGAATTGCTTGAACCCGAGAAGCAGAGGTTGCAGTGAGCCAAGATCGTGCCACTGCACTCCAGCCTGGAGGACAGAGAGAGACTCTGTCCCAAAAAAAAATAATAAAATAAGGCTCACACCTGTAATCACAGCATTTTGGGAGGCTGAGGCAGGTAGCTCACTTGAGCTCAGGAGTTCAAGACCAGCCTGGGCAACATGGCAAAACCTCGTCTCTACAAAAAATACAAAATAATTAGGCATGGTGGTGCATGTCTATAGTCCCAGCTACTAGGGAGGGTGAGGTAGGAGGACAGCTTGAACCTGGGAGGTTGACACTGCAGTGAGCCGTGAGCATGCCAATGCACTCCATCCTGGGCAACAGAGCAAAACTCTGAAAGAAAAGAAAAGAGAAGAGAAGAAAAGAGAAGGGGAGGGGAGGGGAGGGGAAGGGAGGGAAGAAGAGAGAAGAGAAGAGAGGAGAAGAGAAGAGAGAGAAAGAGACAAAAAGAATGGCAGGTAACACTAAAGAATAAATCACAACTTCTTCACAGTTAGAGAGTATGGTTTAATGTTTTGGTTTTTTTTTGTTTTGTTTTTTTTTTTTTTTGAGACGGAGTCTTGCTCTGTTGCCCAGGCTGGAGTGCATTGGCGCTATCTCGGCTCACTGCAAGCTCTGCCTCCCGGGTTCATGCCATTCTCCTGTCTCAGCCTCCCAATTAGCTGGGACTACAGGAGCCCGCCACCATGCCCGGCTAATTTTTTGTATTTTTTAGTACAGATGGGGTTTCACCATGTTAGCCAGGATGGTCTCAATCTCCTGACCTCATGATCCGCTTGCCTCGGCCTCCCAAAGTGCTGGGATCACACGCGTGAGCCACCGCACCAGGCCAGTTTAATTTTTTAAAATGGGCTGGGCGCAATGGCTCACATCTGTAATCCCAGCACTTTGGGAGTCTGAGACGAATGGATCACTTGAGGTCAGGAGTTTAAGATCAGCCTGGCTAACATGGTGAAACCCCGTCTCTACTAAAAAAAAAAAATACAAAAATTACTTAGGCTTGGTGGCAGGCGCCTGTAATTCCCGCTATTCAGGAGGCTGATGCAGAAGAATCACTTGTACCTGGGAGGTGGAGGTTGCCAGTGAACCAAGACCGTGCCACTGCACTCCAGCCTGGGTGACAAAGTGAGACCCCATCTCAAAATAATAATAATAATTTTTAAAAATGAAAATATAACATTTTCTATACATAACACAATGTACTCAACTGAGACTAAGAACAATCAACTCATTCTTAAGGCCAGGCATGGTGGCTCACGCCTGTAAACCCAGCACTTTGGGAGGCCGAGGTGGGCGGATCACAAGGTCAGGAGATCGAGACCATCCTGGCTAACACAGTGAAACCCCGTCTCTGCTAAAAATACAAAAAATTAGCCGGGCGTGGTGGCAGGCGCCTGTAGTCCCAGCTACTCGGGAGGCTGAGGCAGGAGAATGGCGTGAACCCGGGAGGTGGAGGTTGCAGTGAGCTGAGATCACGCCACTGCACTCCAGCCTGGGCGACAGAGTGAGGCTCTATCTCAAAATAAAAATAAAAATAAAAATAAACTCATTCTTAAAAGAGTGAATACATACAATTCAGTGGTATATTGACAAAGTAGTGCAACCATCACCACTATCTAGTCCTAAGAAGGCTTATATTTAAATCAGACAAAAGACCTAAGAGATAACCTAAGCAAGAAACATGGAACCAGGCAAAAATTAATTTACACTGCAAGGGTAGAGAATGTAACCTAGAAACAGTGAGCAGCATAGGTCGCATCAGATGTTCTGTTGCAAGCAGAAAGTTAAAGGAAGAAGCCAATGTCAACGTATTTTTAAATCCTGTAAACAGTTTTTATAGATGGCCTCTATCTGGTGCTCATTTAAGGTAATTGTATAAATAAATTCCCCTGCCTAGACTGAAGCTGGGAGTCAAGCAGCCCTTGCACTATACAAGCTGAGTAATGCCCTTTTCTTCTTGTCACTGTAGCAGAAGTACCTCTTCAGTGACTTCTAACTACCAAAAGGCATAGGAAGCCCCATACAGCCTTATCAAACCTGGAAGACTCAGCCAAGGCTACCTGAGCATTTGGCAAAAGAGGTAAGTGAGGACTATAGAAGCCAACAGCAATTCTATCTAAAGAAGGGTGAGGGAACTCAGCAAGGCAGTGGAACTGACAGAGGGCTGTAAACAGAGTTCAAACACCTTCCCCAACCTCAGAGAGGCAAATTCCATCTCAGCTAAATGGTTTTCAGGAAAATAATATAACCTGCCTGTGTCTCAAAACTGGTAAGTGGCATCCTCCTCCTCAGAGCTATTTAGCTGAGATGCCAGAAGATGCAAAATCTGAAAATTTCTTTAATTAGTATCCTTCTTCTTGGCTTTATCAACTGCCGAGATTTCTGTGCTCAGGGCCGTGTCCTTGTCAACAAACAGTAAGGCTGACTACAAGATTTCTGCCTTGAAAATTTATGTTATGTTGTGATGTGATGTGATGCAATGCGATGCGATGCGATGCGATGCGATGCGATGCGATGCGATGCGATGCGATGTGATGTGATGTGATGTGATGTGATGTCACGTTAGACAGGGTCTCACTCTGTCATCCAGCCTGGAGTGCAGTGGTGTGATCTCAGCTCACTGTGACCTCTGCCTCAGCCTCCTGAGTAACTGGGATTATAGGCATACACCACCAGCCCAGCTAGTTTTTGTATTTTTAGTAGAGATGGGAGTTTTGCCATATTGACCAGGCTGGTCTGTAACTCCTGGCCTCAAGTGATCCACCCATCTCGGCCTCCCAAAGTACCAGGATTATAGGCGTGAGCTACCATTTTATTTTACATTCACCATTTTATTTTTTTGAGACAAGGTCTCTCTCTGTTGCCCATGCTGGAGTGCAGTGGCATGATCTTGGCTCACTGCAACCTCCACCCTCACCTCCCTAGCTCAAGTGATCTTCCTGCTTTAGCCTCCTAAGTAGCTGGGACTACAAGCATGCACCACCACATCCAGCTAATTTTTTTTGTATTTTTTTTGGAGAGATAGAGTTTCACCATGTTGCCCAGGGTGGTCTCGAACTCCTGAGCTCGAGTGATCCACTGGCCTTGGCGTTCCAAAGTGCTGGAATTACAGGTTTGAGCCACTGTGCCCAGCGGGAAATTTTAAAAATAAAATAAATAAGCCAAATCCCAGGTCATTCCAAAAATGACCAAATTAACCCTTGTTCCAGGACCTCTCTCACCAGGATCACCTGATCCCTGCAGCACTGAATCACAGATTCTTCCCTAGGCCAGCCAAAGCGTCCATCCACTGCCTCCACAAGACTAGCCCAGCCCTATTAGTGTCTCCTGCCTTCCTAAACATTTTGATTTTTTAAGCTCAGCCACCTTAAGGAAACTAAGTTTCCTTAAATTTCAACTGCCACATCCTCCCCGAAGGTTGTATCAAACCTGATAGGACTCCTGGTTAAAAACAAGAACTTCTGCTGTTTTAGAGATGTGACAAGTAAAAATGATATTTTTCAATCAGCCTATCGTCATCTTTTCCCTAAGAAACTAAAAGTGTTTACATATTTTGTAAATGCCAAAAACACTGCAAAATGTGTATTTGCACTTTTCAATTATAATTTTTTTTCTAAATGATGTTAAGCTATTCTGTCTTTAGCTCCTCCAGTTGGGATACCATAAACTATGCACTTTTTTTTTTCCTTTTTTTGAGACAGAGTCTCACTATATTGCCCATGCTGGTCACAAACTCCTGAGCTCATGTCTCGGACTGTTGAGTAGCTAAGACTACACGCACACATCACCACACTCGGCTACTGTGCATGTTTTATATCATCAGTGTCAATTCTCGAGTTTCACAATGGATTTCTATCCCTACATTGAAAGATTCCCTCTGGAATTTTCTTCGTAAGGAAGTTACTTCTGTTATATTGACACAGAAGTAAAGACTCAAAATATTTAAATTGTGAATAATGAAAGGACATGAGCCTGTTACCCTTAAGAAATGTAAAGGGCAGCTGGCCTCAGTGTCTTACACTTGTAATCTCAGCATTTTGGGAGTCCAAGGCAGGAGGATTGCTTGAGCCTTGGAGTGTAAGACCAGCCTGAGCAACAGCGTGAGACCCTGTCTCTACAAAAAAAAAATTTAGGCCAGGCGTGGTGGTTCATGCCTGTAATCCCAGCACTTTGGGAGGCCGAGGCAGGTGGATTGCTTGAAGTCAGGAGATTGAAACCAGCCTGGCCAACATGGTGAAACCCTGTCTCTACTAAAAATACAAAAATTAGCTGGGCACGATGGCAGGCCTGTAATCCCAGCTACTAGGGAGGCTGAGGCAGGAGAATTGAACTCAGGAGGCAGAGACTGCAGTGAGCTGAGATTGCACCACTGCACTCCAGCCTGGGTGACTGAGAGAGACTCTGTCTCAAAAAAAATTTAAAAATAGGCCAGACACGGTGGCTCACACCTGTAATCCCAGCACTTTGGGAGGCCGAGGTGGGTGGATCACCTGAGCTCGGGAGTTCAAGACCAGCCTGGCCAACATGATGAAACCCCGTCTCTACTAAAAAAATACAAAAAATTAGCTGGGCGTGGTGGCGGGTGCCTGTAAGCCCAGCTACTTGGGAGACTGAGGCAGGAGAATCGCTTGAACCCAGGAGGCAGAGACTGTAGTGAGCTGAGATCACGTCACTGCACTCCAACCTGGGCAACAAGAGTGAAACTCTGTCTCAAAAAAACCAAACAAATTTACATTAACCAGGCATGGTGGCACACGCCTGTAGTCCCAGCTACTCAGGAAGCTAAGGTGGGAGGACTGCTTGACAGGAGGTCAAGGGCAGCCTGGGCAACAAAGCAAGACCTTGTTTCTACCAAAAAAAAAAAAAAAAAAAAAAAAAAAAGAAAAGAAAAGAAATGCAGAAGGTACAGGGCCTTTGCTACAACGTCACTTTCAGTAGACCCAAAATGCCAGGCAACAGACCAAGTGACTGACCTAGTCATTGCAAATACTCACTTTCCAAGAAGAATTTTCCTTCCCAAGAATACAGAGACTGTCCATTCACCACATGAACACTGACGGGCTAAAGCAAGATATTGCTTCTTCCTACTAACACCACCTTAGTAATCCTCTAACTTTGTGACATTAGTTAATAAACCAGTACTAAAGTAATTCTGTAGCACTTCAGTTACTATAATTACTTTCTATGTTTGAGCCTTATTAGGAAACATAATCCAGAAGCTGTATCATTTTTGCTTAAATGATATAAATCCCTTTTGGAAAAATATCACAGCAAGCTTATATACTACGTAGTATGCAAACAAACCTAAAAATCAAAAGCAATTCTGCCTGCATTCATATGTCACAGAAACACTGTGTGAATGAGAAGATCTACAACCATTCCAAGATCTCTGGAGGAAGTATACTATATATAAACAGAAAAAACAACTAAGTTATATGTCCTTAGTTACATATAACTAAAGTCATAAGATAGTACCAACACTACTCCAGCTCCTTCTCCTGCTATGCAGAGCAGGAGAACTGATATTAGGTAGGCAAGGCATGTGATCAGCACTGGCTCCTAAAGCACATAAGCATTAGCTTTGTCTACTTACAAAAGGTCCACTTGCTTATTATTAAGTCACTTTTAAACTATACAAAAGTTCTAGAATAAAGAATCTAAACAAACACTTTATCTACTGCCAGTGGTCCTCAGGGTACATTAAAAATATCTGGAGGACTTCTTAAAAGCACAGGCTACTGGGCCCCACCCCAGAGTTTCTGATTCAGTAGGTTTAGGATGGGGCTTAAGAATTTGGATTCCAACAAGTTCCCAAGGGGTAAAGAGATGATGATGGTCCAGGATCCACTCTGAGAACCACTGCTCTATAGTTTACTTGACATAAGCTGTTGATTGCAGTCTTCAGCTTACAAGGTTTCTGCTGATCATTTAAAGATAAAATATAGGCCGGACGCAGTGGCTCATGCCTGTAATCCCAGCACTTTGGGAGGCAGAGGTGGACGAATCATGAGGTCAGTTTGAGACCAGGCTGGCCAACATGGTGAAACCCCGTCTCTACTAAAAAATACAAAAAATTAGCTGGGCATGGTGGCAGGCGCCTATAATCCCAGCTACTCCGATGGCTGAGGCAGGAGAATCGCTTGAACCCAGGAGGCGGAGGTTGCAGTGAGCCGATATCGCGCCACTGCACTCCAGCACTGGTGACAGTGCAAGACTCCGTCTCAAAAAAATAAAAAATAAAATAAAATAAATCAGTTTTGTCAGTTTTTCAACTTTTTATTGGAAATAATTTCCAAGTTACAAAAAAATTGCAATAATAATAGTACAGGGAAAAGATTCATATATGCTTTACCCAGGTTCAACTTTTTTTTTTTTTTTTTTTAAGATGAATTCTTGCTCTGTCGCCCAGGCTGGAGTGCAATGGCGTGATCTTGGCTCACTGCAACCTCCGCCTCCCGAGTTCAAGTGATTCTCCTGCCTTAGCCTCCCGAGTAGCTGGGATTACAGGCACCCGCCACCACGCCCGGCTAATTTTTGTATTTTTTAGTAGACAGGTTTCGTTCGCCATGTTGGCCAGGCTGGTCTCAAACTCCTGACCTCAGATGATCTACCTGCCTTGGCCTCCCAAAGTGCTGGGATTACAGGCGTGAGCCACCGCGTGTGGCCCCAGATTCAACTATTAATAACATTGTGATCCATCTACTTTATCAATACTCTCTTCCTTCCTTCTCCATTTATAGCAAGTATTATTTTCGAAACCATGAGAGAAAGCTGCATACATCACAGTACTTTACTTCTAAAAACTTCATTATGTATTTTCTAAGAATAAAGATACTCTCAGCCGGGCATGGTGGCTCACGTCTGTAATTCCAGCACTTTGGGAGGCCAAGGTGGGCAGATCACCTGAGGTCAGGTGTTCAAGACCAGCCTGGTCAACATGGCGCAACCCTGTCGCTACTAAAAAAAATACAAAAATTAGCTAGGAGTAGGGGCAGGCGCCTGTAATCCCAGCTACTCAGGAAGTTAAGGCAGGCAGAATTGCTTGAATCCAGGAGGCAGAGGTTGCAGTAAGCTGAGATCGCGCCATTACGCTCCAGCTTGGGTGACCAAACGAGACTCCGTTTAAAAAAAAAAAGAAAAGAAAAAAGATGTTCTCTAACATAACCACAGTAGTTATCAACTCGGGGAATTTAACATTGATACATCATCACCACAATCAAGATATAGAACAATTCCATTATACCCAAAAATTCCCTCATGCTTCCGCTTTATAGTTAACTCCTCCCCCAATACCCTGGCCACCACTATTTCCAATCCCTAAAATTTTGTCCCTTCCAGAATGTCACATAAGTGAAATCACACATACACATATAGTATGTAGCCTTTTTAAAAAATTGTAAGCTGGCTGGGCACAGTGGCTCACTCCTGTAATGCTAGCTCTTTGGGAGGCCCAGGCAGGTAGATAACCTGAGGTCGGGAGTTCAAGACCAGCCTGGCCAACATGGCGAAACCCCGTCTCTACTAAAAATACAAAAAATTAGCCAGGTGTGGTGGCACACACCTGTAATCCCAGTTACTTGGGAGGCTGAGGAAGGAGAATCGTTTGAACCCGGGAGATGGAGGTTGCAGTGAGCCGAGGTCATGCCACTGCACTCCTGCCTACACAACGGGAGCAAGATTTCATCTCAAAAAAAAAAAAAAAAAACAAAGTAAGCAAATACACATCAAATAAAATGCATCATTTTAAAGTGTACAATTCAGGAGCATTAAGTACATTCACAATGTCATGCAACCATCACTACTACCTAGTTCCAGAACACTTCTATCAGCCCAAAAGAAGTACCATAACCATTAGGGAGTCGTTCCCCATTCCCGCTTAGCCCCTGGCAACCACCAATCTGCTTTCTATCTCTACGGGTGTGCCTTCTCTAGATATTTCATATAAACTGAATTGCACAATATTTGGTCTTTTGTGTCTGGCTTCTTTTATAATGTTTTCAAGGTTCATCCAACTTGTAGCATACATCAGTATTTCATTCCTCCTTATGGTAGTGTATATATCCTTATGAGTCTAGTTTCTTTCACTCAGCATATTGCCATTGAGATTCATCCATGTTGTTAGGTGCATGAGTAGTTTCTTCTTCATTGCTGAGAAGTATTCCATTTTATATATATACTAGAGTTTGTCTAGTCACCAAAAGACATTTTACTCCTGGTACTTTTTCCAGAAATAATCATATAATTCAAGATAATTTACAATTCATGGGGTTATAATGTATTTGTAAATGGCAAATGAAAAATTCAAATATACACAACATATATAGGTCCAAAATCTCTTATCTACAATTCCAAAATCCCATAAATGTCAAGTTTTTTGGTAAAATTCAACAAACTCATTTTGAGGCAAATCCTGGCCTATACTGTGAGACTTTATTTACTCCTGTTAGTGAGAATATTAATAATTTTGCAGCGTAAGTATTATGTCTGAGTACACATTCCCCTGGGAGATATAATTCCCATATGATCTATGTAAACTACATTTCTATAACTTGAAAAATTCATAAGCTCATTTAACCTCACAGGTTCTAGATAAAATTGTGACCCTGTACTTATACAGCTCTAGAGGAGACAAAAATTACACTAATACATTACTAGAGTCAACGAAGAGGCGTTAATCTTCTCTCCTGTGTTATAGATCAGCCCTCCATTACATCAACTAACAGGACAGACTGTACTCCACAATTCCCCTCTTATGAGCAATATCCATCCTGCATGGTCTCTGCAGGTCATCACTCAGCCTAAAATATTTATTACCAGTTTTCACCTATGAATGTCACCTTTTTGTCTGTGCATACTGGTTCACATCTGTAATCCCAGCACTGTGGGAGGATGAGGCAGGAGAATCACTTGAACCCAGGAGTTCAAGACCAGCCTGGGAAACATAGTGAGACCGCGCCTCTACAAAAAGTTTAAAAATTAGCCTGCCATGGTGGTACGCACCTGTAGTCCCAAATACTCTGGAGGTTGAGACAGAAGGATCACTTGAGCCGAGGGGTTTGAGGTTACAGTAAGCTATGATCGTACCAATGCACTCCAACCTGGGCAACAGAGTAAGACCCTTTCTCTTATAAAAAAAAATTTTTAAGTCACTGTTACTACTAAGATTCACATTTTTTTTTCTTTTTCTTTTTAAGAGACAAGGTCTTGCTATGTTGCTCAGGCTGATCTCAAATTCTCAGGCTCAAAAAATTCTCCCATCTCAGACTCCCAAGTAGCTAGGACTACAGGTGTGCAACACCATGCCTGACTACCACATATGATCTTTTAACAGTAAACACTATAGTTCTTAGAACATCTGATTGTTCCAAGACATATTCTTCAACAGATATGTAAGACCTAAGCTGCACTGCTGTGAAACCTACACTACCCTTTTATGTTCCTCACCTGAGGGGAAATCACAGCTGCTCTTCACATACACCATAAATAATAATCTATTCCATGCATATAGGGAACCTACCGAGTGTCAAGCACTGGTGGAAACAAGAAGGAATAAGGCTCCTGCTGACATTCCTCTCTAGTGAGAGAAATAAGATACACAAAACCACGGAGAAAAATATCAGTGATAGATCCAATACCACTGACAGATTCAATCCAATCAGTGACCAGTGATAGATCAGTGATAGATCCAACTGAAAAATACCAGTGATAGAAATATCCAATCAGTGATAGATCCAAACAAGGATATGATGGAAAACAACTGCCCGATGATTTTAGATTTGAGAGTGACACAAGGCCTCAGAGACGTGAAACTGAAGCCAAGAACTAAACCCCAGAAGACAAGTAAAGATCAGAGAGAAGAGTAGTGCAAAGACCCTGACACAGAAAGAAGTTTGTATTGGTCAAAGACAAGAGAAAAGCTCAGTGTGGCTACAGCAAAATAGGGTAGGTGGAGGGCAGTACTGAATGAGATCAAACAGCCAAGGGTCAGCTCACGCATGGGTTTGTAAGACAAAAGAAGAAGCTGGGAATTTCTTCCAAGTGAAGATGAAGGCCCTAAGAGGGTTTTAGACATGGGAGTAACATGATCTGGCTGATATTGTCAAAAGTTCATCCTATTTGTCACATAGAGATGTAATATAAATAACATGAAACTAGCAATCCAATTCTTTCACTAAAAAACAAAAATAAAAAACACAACTTAACAGAATGCCAAGAAAAGATTGTATTTGCTGAAAGGTATTTTTCGTTTTATTTTTAAGCACTGCCCTGAATGATTTCCCATGTGTATCAATGTCTTCAGTCTGCCAATTCTAACAGCTACCACAATCGGCAAATTTAAGAACTTCCTCTCTAGACACTATATGTTAATACAATTTTTACTGTCCTGACAAATTTGACAATTAGAAAGTCAATGAATACTAAAGAAACTGGAGTTTGAACTGCTATTTAAATATTAAGACATCTCCTTTCCTAAACATATCAATACTTAATGAAAGCACAGTTCATGAAACCAGACTGAGGTTATTATCCTGAGAGTTAAAAAGCATCTCCAGCCTGTAAATTCTACCTTGAGTTCCCAAAGAAAGCATGTATAAGGCATATGCAAAAAATAAATATAACCAACATAAGTGAGATACCAAGAATAATAATATATCTACTCTTACTCATGCTTCCACAAATTCAGGGTTGATGTTTTTAAAACAAATAAATAATTGGCTCTCTGAGAAATAATACTTCTGAGCTTGTTCTCAAATTACAGAACAAATTATTTCTGAACTTAACACCATATTCTTTCAAGCACCAAAATTTATTTTGTGGATAATTTTCCTCTGCAGAAGCATTCTGAAGAAGTTATCTAGTTAATGCAAAATTTTTATCCCATGATAAACTGCTAATAGTAAATTATATCCTCAAAATATGACATGTTCTTACTTGAAGATGTCTTTAACTGAATTACTGAAATTCTAAGTTCTGTGAAGACTCATGCTCTATTCCCTTCCATTTAAAATTCTGCAAAATAGGTCACCTAAAGATTACCTTTATTTTTAAATAAATAAACTTATTATTATACATAGTTCTAAAAATATTGGTCAAAAACCTTGAGTTCTTGGCATTTCACCTTTGCCTACTTTTACTGTAGTAAGATTTAAAGGAAATGACTGAAATTGGTACTGTGAAATACAACTAGGAGGATATTCTGAAAAGTTTAATCTACCATTCAGACCACAGAACAGATGTCAAAGGGAAAGCTCTTCTGGGTCTATTCATGGATTTCAACAAAATAACTGTAACAGGACTCCATTCTCAAAGCAAAACTGAAAATTAAACCACTAATTTGTACAATTTCTCTGGGAAGTCATAAATTTTACTGAAGCAATGAATGTAAAATTTTACATACAACAAGCTTATTAAATCCTATTAGGCTCAAGCATAAACATTCCACCACCATGAAGAACATGCATAGCAAGTTTAATAATTATATAAAATATATTCAAGGCAATTGCTGCAACACTCTATATATCACAGGCATTCAGAAGAACTGGAACATGCATCCTCATCACCCATGTGTGGACAAACATCCACAAAGAACCACAGCTAAAACTAAAGCTGGTTGTTATTTGGAGGCACCAACGGGAGGCTTCTGGAAATTTTAATTGTGGTTTCTTGAAACAAATTTTAAGTAGCACATGATGCAGAGATCTGACAAAGACCCTTCCTAACCCAAGGCCATATGCAAGTCAAGAAACTCACCTGTGTTATACTCCTTCAACTGCAAGTTCTTTACAGGCATGCCATCAGGAGTCCGAAAAGCATTAAGAATCTGCAAAAATATGGCATTTATACAAATGATACAAATCATAATCAAACACTGAATATCAGATTTTCCCTAACAGTTTTTATCATACATAATTTAAAGCCATGATTACTTTGGAAAAGCAAAGTTAAACTATGAACACTCAAGGCATTCACATATTGAATGAGTAGAACATAATTATTCAAAAATTGGTGGGATGCAGTGGCTCCTGCCTATAATCCCAGCACTTTGGGAGGCCAAGGTGAGAGGATTGCTTAAAGCCACATGTTTGAGACAAGCCTGGGCAACATAGTGAGACCCTATCTCTAAAAAAAAAAAAAAAATTCTTAATTAGCCAGGAGAGACCGGGCGTGGTGGCTCACACATGTAATCCCAGCACTTTGGGAATCCAAGGCGGGTGGATAACCTGAGGTCAGGAGTTCGAGACCAGCCTGGCTAACATGGTGAAACCCCATTTCTACTAAAAATACAAAAATTAGCCTGGTGTGGTGGCACACACCTGTAATCCCAGCTACTTGGAAGGCTGAGGCAGGAGAATCACTTGAACCTGGAAGGCTGAGGCTGCAGTGAGCTGAGATCATGACACTGCACTCCAGCCTGGGCAACAGAGCGAGACACTATCTTTAAAAAAAAAAAAAAAAAAAAAAAAAAAAAATTGGCCGGGCACGGTGGCTCACGCCTGTAATCCCAGCACTTTGGGAGGCCGAGGTGGGCAGATCACAAGGTCAGGAGATTGAGACCATCCTGGCTAACACGGTAAAACCCCGTTTCTACTAAAAAATACAAGAAATTAGCCAGGCGTGGTGGCGGGCACCTGTAGTCCCAGCTACTTGGGAGGCTGAGGCAGAAGAATGGCGTGAACCCGGGAGAAGGAGCTTGCAGTGAGCCAAGATCGCACCACTGCATTCCAGCCTGGGCAACAGAGCGAGACTCCATCTCAAAAAAAAAAAAAAAATTAGCCAGGAGTACTGGCTCACACCTATAATCCCAGCTACTCGGGAGGATAGTTTGAGCCCAGGAGTTTGAGGCTGTAGTGAGCCTTGATTGGGCCATTGCACTCCAGTCTGGAGTACCCTGTCTCAAAAATAAATAAATAAATATTTAAAAATTCTCAGGTACATAGGAAAAGCAGGGCCAGAAGCGGTGGCTCACATCTGTAATCCTAGCACTTTGGGAGGCCGAGACAGGCGGATCATGACGTCAGGGGATCGAGACCATCCTAGCTAACACGGTGAAACCCCGTCTCTACTAAAAATACAAAAACTTAGCCGGGCGTGGTGGCACATGCCTGTAGTCCCAGCTACTCAGGAGGCTGAGGCAGGAGAACCATTTGAACCCGAGAGGCGGAGGTTGCAGTGACCCAAGATTGTGCCACTGCACTCCAGCCTGGGTGACAGAGCAAGACTCTGTCTCAAAAACAAACAAACAAACAAACAAACAAAATGCTGGGCGCGGTGGCTCATGCGTGTAATCTCAGCACTTTGAGAGGCCGAGGCGGGTGGATCACTTGAGGTCAGGAGTTCAAGATCAGCCTGACCAAGATGGTGAAACCCCATCTCTACTAAAAATACAAAAATCAGCTGGGTGCAGTGGCAGGTGCTTGTAATCCCAGCTACTTGGGAGGCTGAGGCAGGAGAATCTCTTGAACCCTGGCGGCAGAGGTTGCAGTGAGCCGAGATCGCGCCACTGCACTCCAGCCTGGGTGACAGAGTGAGACTCTGTCTCAAAAAAAAAAAAAAAAAAAGAAAAGCAGAAGAGCATAACCTTCAAAGGCTTAAGCTCTGAAATCATACTGTGTGCATTCCAAGCTCTCTGCTCACTTGCTGTGTAACCTTTTAGTGTCCAGTTTCTCATGTGTTAAATATAAAATGATGTACTGGGTTCATTACAGTCCAGGGCCACAGCACTTCCTCAGCATGAACTGCCTGGGCAGTTCATTTCCCCATATTCATATAAACTGTTCTCTCACGGCATTCAAGCCTGGGCTCGAATGCCTCTTCCTCAGTGATGTCTCCCTAACTACACAATACAAAAAACAGCCCCATTAGCATGCATGCCCGTGGTCCCAGCTACTCAGGAGGCTGAGGTGGTAGGATCGATTGAGCCCAAGAGGTAGAAGCTGCAGTGAGCCGTGATTGTGCCACTGCACTCCAGCCTGGGCAACAAAGTGAGACGCTGCCTCAAAAAAATCAAAAATGGGCTGGGCTTGGTGGCTCATGCCTGTAATGGCAGTACTTTGGGAGGCAGAAGCAGGGAGATAACCTGAGGTCAGGAGTTCAAGACCAGCCTGACCAATGTGGTGAAACTCCGTCTCTACTAAAAGTACAAAAATTAGCTGGGCGTGGTGGTGTGTGCCTGTAGTCCCAGCTACTCGGGAGGCTGCGGCAGGAGAACTGCTTGAACTGGGGAGGTGGAGGTTGCAGTGCACCAAGGTCGCGCCACACACTCCAGCCTGGGCGACAAAGCAAGACTCTGTCTCCGAGTTACAGGCCGAGCTACCATGCCCCGCCTGTACTTTAGTTTTCTTCAGAGTATTTATTTGCTGACTAAAATTGTGTAATCCTTTTGCTTGCTTTTTCATTATCCATGGAGGCAGTGACTTGATAATATACACTGCTGTGTCACTCAGTATCTAGAACAATTACATACAGTAATGCTTAATATTTAGAGTGATTATATTAAATATGTGATAATTAAATGAACTAATGCTTGTAAGTATCACACAATGCCTGGCACAGAGCGAGCACTGCCATAAGTTCAGACTTAATTTAGTCAGCCAATCCTTTGATACAGGGCAGTTAGGCAGTTTCTAGTTTTTACTATTGTAAATAAACTGCATCCTTATGTACATACTCCAGAAATAATATGCTCTAAAGGATGTGATCAGGTCTAAAGAGAGCAATCATTTGTCATAATTTTTTTTAACCTCACCTCAGTGAGTGCATGTATAAATGGTGAAATCTGAATAAACTTTATGTATTATACCAGGGTCAATTTCCTGGTTTAGATACTATACCACAGTTGTGCAAAATATTAACACTGAGGGAAGATGGGAAAAAAATACACAAGACTTCTCTGTGCATTTCTTTGCACCTTCTTGTGAATCTACAATTTTTCAAATTAAAAGGTTTTTTTAATTTTTAATTGACACAGAGAAACAGGAGAGAAGACATGCCTTACCTCTTCTTTTGTGGCATCTTCAGGTACCCCACTTAATCGAATAAGCCTGCTGGGTTTCTCCTCACTTGGGCCGGTCCTATAATCTTGATCCTTAAATTGAGAATGAAAAATTATTTCACAAATATACTTTACTGCACAAAACACAAATCAACATGAAATTTAGCCACTCAGGATCAAAAATGATAATGACATGTCACGTGAAGATATAAAAAATTACAATTTTCTCTATTGTTCTGAGTGCCAGAATGTGACTTCAAATCATAAGAATGTAAATGTGCTAAGACCAAGTCTCACTGAAAGAGTCTTCAAAGTAAAGCAAAACATTACGAGAGACAAGACTGAGTAAGACTTTAATAACCAGAAAGACACACTAACATAGTCTCAAAACAGTAATTTTCTCAGCCTAGCCAACATGGTAAAACCGTCTCTACTAAAAATACAAAAATTAGCCAACTGTGCTGTGCACGCCTGTGGTCCCAGCTACTCAGGAGGCTGAGGCGGAAGAATCACTTGAACCTGGGAGGCAGAGGTTTCAGTGAGCCAAGATTGTGCCACTGCACTCCAGCCTGGGTGACAGAGCGAGACCCCCGTCTCAAAAAAAAAGAAAAATTTCCCTGGTCTGAGAGCTGGAGAATGGGCTGTAAACTAGCAGTACTTCATACCTCTGGTGAGAGAAGATGACTAGATAATGTCTTTTTTTTTTTGAGACAGAGTGTCGCTCTGTCGCCCAGGCTGGAGTGCAGTGGCACAATCTCAGCCCACTGCAGCCTCCGCCCCCCAGGTTCAAGCAATTCTCCTGCCTCAGCCTCCCAAGTAGTTGGGATTACAGGCGCCCACCTCCACACCTGGCTGGTTTTGGTTTTCGTTTTTTTTTTTTTTTTCAGATGGAGTTTCGCTCTTGCTGCCCAGGCTGGAGTGTAATAGTGCAACCTCTGCCTCCCCGCAACCTCTGCCTCCCAGGTTCAAGGGATTCTCCTGCCTCAGCCTCCCGAGTAGCTGGGATTACACACATGCATCACTACGCCCAGCTAATTTTGTATTTTTAGTAGAAATGGGGTTTCTCCGTGTTGGTCAGGCTGGTCTCAAACCCACGACCTCAAATGATCCACCTGCCTCAGCTTCCCAAAGTGTTGGGATTACAGGCAAGAACCACCACGCCTGGCCTAATTTTTGTTATTTTTAGTAGAGATGGGGTTTCACCATGTTGACCAGGCTGGTCTTGAAATCCTGACCTCAAATGATCTGCCCACCTTTGCCTCCCAAAGTGTTGGGATTACAGGCATGAGCCACTGTGCCTGGCCTTATTTTTCTTCCCCACCCTCACATTCTCTCCTGAGGTTGCACCACACTGGTCTCAAGTTCCTGGCCTCAAGTGATCCTCCCACCTCAGCCTCCTAAAGCACTGAAATTACAAGCATAGGCCACTGTACCCAGCCAAATCTACTTTAAAAGAGAATACCTTCATTGTAAAATTACAAATATAACCCTCCTTGCTTAAATCATATATTCAAGAAGTTTAACATTTAAGTTAATTACGTTAGCTGCAAGAGGATAGTTGCAACATTAATATCAGCTCTTCACAACTAGGGAGACTCCTAAGTATTCTCTCAATGAATTTAAATAAGAAAATGATCCCTAAACAATCACAGGTCTAACTAAGCGAGAGTTGCAAGAGTCAACTCCCAAAGACATATACTTTCAAACTAAATTATCCCAAGGCATGTAAATCAGCATCATAAAACAAAATAATGAATAAACACACATCAAAAGGGTAGGGGCAGTGGCTCATTGCTGTAATCCCAGCACTTTGGGAAGCTAAGGTGGGGGGACTGCTTGAACCCAGGAATTTGAAACCAGCCTGGGAAATATGTTGCAACCTTCTGTCTACAAAAAAATACAAAAATTGCTGGCCAGGCATGGTGGTGCATGCCTGAAATCCCAGCTCTTTGGGAAGCTGAGAAGGGTGGATCATTTGAGATCAGGGGTTCCAGCCCAGCCTAGGTAACATGCCTAAACTTCATCTCTACAAAAAATACAAAAATTAGTCAGATTTGGTGGTGCACAACTACAGTCCCAACTACTCAGGAGGCTGAGGCAGGAAGACTGCTTGAACACGGGAGGCGGAGGTTGCTGTGAGCCAAGATCGTGCCACTGCACTCCAGCCTAGGCAACACGGTGAGGCTCCATCTCAAAAAAGAAAAAAAAAAACACAACTAACTAGGAATGGTGAAATATACCTGTAGTCCCAGCTTCCTGGAAGGCTGAGGCGGGGGAACCCCTTGAACCCAGGAGGTAGAGGTTGCAGTGAGCTGAGATCGCACAACTGCACTTCAGCCTGAGCGACAGAGCAAGACTCATTCTCAAAGGAAAAAAAAAAAAACTAGCCAGGCATAGTGGCTGGCGCACATCTGTAGTTCCAGCTACTCAGAAGGCTGAGGTGGGAGGATCGCTTGAGCCTGGGAGGTCAAGGCTGCAAGGAGCCATAATTACACCACCGCACTTCAGCCCGAGTGACAGAGCAAGACCGTGTCTCAAATATATATATATATAGTTCCTTCATATATACACACACATATATACACAAATGGAAAGTGAAGCAGGAAGAAAAGAATAAAAGAAAAAAGAAATATATATATATAAATATATATTCATATATATACATATATATTCATATATATATATACACACACACACACATATATATGATCTGAGCTGAGGACCTTTTCTCTAGAGATTTACATTCCTACATTCCACTCCTGAATACAAATTTTGCTTTCTAATGGTTATGCAAAGATAAAAATAAAATGAAAAAAAAAAAAAAAAACTGGCCAGGCACGGTGGCTCATGCCTGTAATTCCAGCACTTTGGGAGGCCGAGGTGGGCGGATCACGAGGTCAGGAGTTCGAGACCAGCCTGGCCAACATGGTGAAACCCCATCTGCACTAAAAATACAAAAATTAACTGGGCATGGTGGCACATGCCTGCAATCCCTGCTACTCAGGAGGTTGAGGCAGGAAAATTGCTTGACCCTGGGAGGCGGAGGTTGCAGTGAGCTGAGATTATGTCACTGCACTCTAGCCTGGGTGACAGAGCAAGACTCCGTTTCAAAAATAAATAAATAAATAAATAAATAAATGTCATCCTTCACAAAAGTCTTATTTAAAGAAAAAAAAAAAAAGCAGGCCGGGCGCGGTGGCTCACACCAGGCGTGGTGGTGGGCGCCTGTAGTCAGTCCCAGCTACTCAGGAGGCTGAGGCAGGAGAATGGCATGAACCCAGGAGGCGGAGCTTGCATGAGCAGAGATCGCACCACTGCACTCCAGGCTGGGCAACAGAGCGAGACTCCGTCTCAAAAAAAAAAAAAAAAAAAAAAAAAAAAGCAATCCACCCCATCAACATACCTGAAGGTCCCGTTGGGCATCTCGGGCAGTTTTGCCCTCTGGAAAAGACTTGCTCTGGCCATAGCCAAACATCTGGCTTCCTGGCAGCCTATGATCCACATCACGGTACTCCATGCTTCTGTAATCGGTGTCTTGCCGCCCAAGAAAGTCCAGACCGCCTTCTTCTTTAAACAGACCAGCATCTGAACTCTGCTCTTCACGTCCAGAAAGCTGTGACTTATCTTGGTCTTGAACTGGACTTTGGCTGTTCTGAAAGTCTGCTGGAGACTCATGTTCAAAGGCTACACCTTGTGTTTCTCCTTCTCTTGTTTCTGAATGCTCAAATTCTCCCTTCTGAATGCCAAAAGCAGGCCTTTCTATCGTATGGTCATGTGTGGATTCTTCTCTCCTGTTCACATTCATACCAGAATGTTCTCTATCTTGTGTAGAGGGCTGAATGTAATCCAAAATATTTGGATCCACAGGGGGCATCTCCCTATCTTTAAATTCCATACAAGATCCCATCTCTCTGCCCCTAAAATCCTGATCAGTCCTAGATCGGTGTCTACCTCTGAAATCTGAATGTGGCGTATCCCTGTCCCTAAAGTCTAGATCAGTAGTACCTGAACCTCGGCCTCTAAAGTCTACTTGTGTTCCGTCTTTGTCTCTAAAGTCCAAATCAGATACATCTCTATTCCTAAAATCAGAACGGGACTGTTCTCTGGCCCTAAAATCCAAATCTGATAAATCCCTTCCCCTAAAATCTGCATGGGATCCATCCCGGCCTCTAAAATCTAAATCATAAGTGCCCCGGCCCCTGAAGTCAGATGGAGGAGCATCCCTACCTCTGAAGTCAACAGCGTGAGCATCCCTGTCTCTGTAGTTCATATGAGGTGCCTCCCTACCTCTATAATCCATAGAAGTACCATCTCCACCCCTATAGTCCATAGGTGGTCCTTCTCTATCCCGAAAATCCCCAGAATGTATGTCCCTACCCCTGAAGTCCAACTGTGATGAATCTCTGCTCTGGAAATCAGAAGACGAAAAATCTCCCCCCCTGAAATCATGTCCAGGTCCCTCCCCTCCTCGATAGTCACCATGCGGTCCGTCTCTAGCTCCATAGCTGAAAGAATGCTCCTCTACATTTGCAAAAGGAGGCCCCGAATGCCCCTGGAAATCAAAGGGAAGTGAATCTCTGCCAGGAAAGTTGCCAGAGTGTCTCTCTTGAGCATGACTCTTAAGGGGAGGAGGAGGATAATCCCTGTTCCACCCGGGAGCAAACCTTTCTTCTTGGCTCCCACTGTAGAAACAAAGACAGTGTTATTCATATTGTCCAGAGAGTTTGAAATCTACACACCAGCATATTCTTCTCTAATCACAGCACATTCTTCTGTAAACATTTTTTTTTTGGCAGAGTTCTGTAACAAGGTCCTAGATCTGCAGAAAACAGCAAAGTTTTGCTATTTTAAGACGAAGTGGCGGAGTAAACTTTTATGCTCCCATTTCAGAACACGAGGAAAGTCAACACAAGGTTTTCAACATGACTGCTGCAGAAAAAGCTTTCACCCAGTCCTGCAACAGGGAAAATCCGCAATACCAAATAAGCTAACAATGGTGACATACTACAAAAATTTCCATTTCCTACAGCCAGGGAACTTAAGAATTCCAAGGTCAACATGACGATTCCTATATATCAGAAAAATCAATGCACTGTAAATTTCTTACAGTAAGTTTCAGGAGGTATCTTTCTCACGCTGCATCCAGCGGTAACATTCAAAAATATTTTATTACAGATACAGCATGGACACCACCCAATCAAAATGGATGCAGGCCCAAAAAGAAGAAACACTGGTTGTAAATCACCAGTAGGAACAAGCACACCAGTGTTCACCAGCTGAGCATCAGCCCTGGCTGCATCTAAATCCCAGTTCTACAGTGGCTCCACCAAGAAGCACTCTAACCTGGGTCCTATTATAACTACCCAAGGGTATCACAGAAGGTAGAAGGTAGTATGAATCATGCCACAAAGCATGTATAAGTCATCTAAGCCACGCAACAGCATCCAGGGGCTCAATGCTGAGATAGACCTAGAGAGAGCATTAGGTCTTCAAGCATGATCCCCATGACCCAAATGAAGAAGCTGATATTCCATATTCCAATGTCTCATGCTACTTTTTCATGGCAATAAAATACATTTTAAAAATAGACATAGTATTAAATTTACATTCTCAATTTATAGAACTCAAGAGATAAACAAGATGTGACCTAATCTTTCATACTACCCAACTTCTTCCCTTTGCCTAACCTTCAGGGCATTTTACATGTTTTGGCTTCAGTCCAAGATTCCCTAAACTAGTTTAAGTAGGCAATTAGGCACCTAGGATCCTAGGCAGGGAGACATGAAAAAGGAAAACATGAAAAGACCTGAAGGGTCATCTGTTATTCAGCAGTAAAACAAAAGCATTAAGATATTAATACCAACTCAATTCTTGCCTCCCAGAACATACAGGGTCTATCATAAGGCCCTTCTGAGCTCAGACTATGCTACTATACTAAAATTCAAAGGACAACTGATTCTGGGTCACTCAGTTCAAGAGAAATAGTTGCAATGCCAAACCTTTTCTTTCTCTTTTTCTTTTTTTTTGAGACGGAGTCTCGCTCTGTTGCCCAGGCTGGAGTGCAATGGCATGATCTCGGTTCACTGCAGCCTCTGCCTCCTGGGTTCAAGCAATTCTCATGCCTCAGCCTCCAGAGTAGCTGGGATTACAGGCATGCGCCACCATGCCCAGCTAATTTTTTTATTTTTAGCAGAGATGGGGTTTTACCATGCTGCCCAGGCTGGTCTTGAACTCTTGACCTCAGGTGAGCCACCCATCTCTGTCTCCCCAAGGTTAGGGTTACAGGCGTGAGCCACCATGCCCGGCCAACCCTTTCTTAAAGTAACAGGAATTTAACAGCATTAACCTAAACACTAGAATGATGTACATTTAATGGATTTTCAGAACATGATGACTTCCACTGACCCCCATTAACACTAGTTATGTCTATGTGGTTCATCATAAGAGGAGCAAGTTTAGATGTTCTTCTTTTTTTTTTTTTTGAGACGGAGTCTCGCTCTGTCGCCCAGGCTGGAGTGCAGTGGCGCGATATTGGCTCACTGCAAGCTCCGCCTCCCGGGTTCACGCCATTCTCCTGCCTCAGCTTCCCAAGGGGCTGGGACTACAGGCGCCCGCTACCACGCCCAGCTAATTTTTTTGTATTTTTTGTAGAGGCGGGGTTTCACCGTGTTAGCCAGGATGGTCTTGATCTCCTGACCTCGTGATCCACCCGCCTCGGCCTCCCAAAGTGCTGGGATTACAGGCGTGAGCCGCCACGCCCGCCCTAGATGTTCTTCTTAGGCAATACAATTTAACACTAAAATTAAGATGTTACCACTAAATACAGTGTCTCTCATGTTTAAAATCATTCAAGTCTTTCTTGCAGGAAGATTTAAGCTTCATCAGACACTCATGGGATGAGGACTGAGGTATGAAATCTACATGTTTTCTGACCAGAACACATCCAACATGGCCTAAAGATTATCTTACTCTTCTAAATTAAGATCAAATAGATTTAGAGTAACTTACTGTAGCAGGGTTCTTAGATTTGTATTTTATACAGACGAATCAAGAAACCATTCTACTAATATAAAATATCAGTAGTTATGAAAATTATTTTCAACCAAATAAAAACAAATTTTAAAAGAAAAGTTCAAAGGAAATGTAACAAAATCATTTTCCTATATCTGTTTTGGTTCAAATTAGTTCCCAAAAACTGTCTCCCTCCTAGTCAAAGATGTTAAAAAACAGCATATAATGACTTACATTTAAACTAAAATTAAGGTGGGAAAATATAATTTTAAATAAGTTTAAACGAGTCAAAGACAAATGTTCTAAATTTGAAAAAAGTTAGACAATAAAGCTAAATTAACCTAACATTTCTGAATGCTTACCTAAACCACGTTAATTCTATACGAAACAGCCTTACTTACAAAATAGTTACCCATAAATACAAGTAATAAGAGGATAGATTACAACCTAAATATTTTTAAATGGTAACGTACAACCCCATTGATCTAGATGAGAGGTCAGGAAACTTTTTCCATGAAGAGCCAGTTCGTAAACATATCGGATTTTGTGGGTTATACAATCTCTGTTACAACTATTCAACTCTGCCATCATAGCATGAAAGCAGCCATACACAATCTGCAAATGAGTAAGAGTGGCTGTTTTCCAGTAAAACTTTATTTACAAAAACAGGCTATCAGCTGTAGTTTGCTGACCACTGATCTAATCCTTAGTATTTTGAAAGAAAAAAAATACCCAACATCACACTGTTGTTTTAATTTAAAGACCAATCTCTGTCATTCAGCATTTATGAAATACTAGTTTTACTAAACATTATATGGATTTTCTAAACTCAGTTCTCCACCTAAATTTTTCATTGGAACTCCAAGCTTCAGAACAATGAATGAGAACATCTGTTGCATTTAAGTAATAAAATCTTGCAGATTGCCAATCCAAATGGCAGGTGCGGTGGCTCACACTTATAGTCCCAGCACTTTGGGAGGCTGAGGTAGGTGGATCACTTGAGGTCAGGAGTTTGAGATCAGCCTGGCCAACATGGTGAAACGCCATCTCTACTAAAAAAAAAAATACAATAATTAGCCAGGCATGGTGGCATACACCTGTAGTCCCAGCTACTCAGGAGGCTAAGGGAGGAGAATCACTTGAACCTAGGAGGCAAAGGCTGCAGTGAGCTGAGATCATACCCCTGCACTCCAGCATGGGCAACAGAGTGAGACTCCATTTTGAAAAAAGGTAAAAAAAGGAAAATGTACTAGTTAATAGAAGTTTCAACTGGAGCAACAATACTTATGAATGCATACATTTAAAGGTCAGATTTATTTGCTATGTACCAAGTAAAACCAAAAAAGTCACATTCATATAGCATCTCATTAATTGTAAACACAATACGAAAAATGTTTAAATACTAGTTAAAATACAGTGTGTATGATACTAGCTATAAAAAAATTAATTCCCTACAAATTTAAAATACAATCTATTTACAACTAAATGCTACCACTTTCTCCACTCTTCTTGGTACCAAGTAACCCCTAAAATTGAGAGGTGGCTTAGCAAACTGCGTCAACATGCCACAGACAAGGCACAGCTCTGAATTCTAGACATAAATTAGTGAACTCAATACAACTTTTATAAACATTTATGTAAATTTTGCTAGCTTTCCTTACTAGCCAAATATGTATTCCTTCGCTAAGAGACAAAAAGAAATAAAATATTTGGGTATTTTTTAATATTAAAATAATGAAATTAGCCAGGCATAGTGGCACGCGCCTGTAATCCCAGCTACTCAGAAGGCTGAGGCAGGAGAATCACTTGAACACGGGAGGCGGATGTTGCAGTAAGTCAAGATCGCACCACTGCACTCCAGCCTGGGAGACAGAGAGAGACTTGTCTCAAAAAACAAACAAATAAATAAAATTTTAAAATGCTATGTGACAAAACATTTGGCATGCTGGGTATTCAGGCTCACAATCATTTTCGAAATTATTTTCCAAATTGAGTTTCTATTTTTCTTTTTTTTTCTTTTTTTTTTTTTGTTTTTGTTTTTGAGACAGAGTCTTCCTCTGTCGCCCAAGCTGGAGTGCAGTGGCACGATCTCGGCTCACTGCAAGCTCCGCCTCCCAGGTTCACACCATTCTCCTGCTTCAGCCTCCCGAGTAGCTGGGACTACAGGCAGCCGCCACCACGCCCGGCTAGTTTTTTTTGTATTTTTTAGTAGAGACGGGGTTTCACCGTGATAGCCAGGATGGTCTCGATCTCCTGACCTCATGATCTGCCCGCCTCAGCCTCCCAAAGTGCTGGGATTACAGGCGTGAGCCACCGCGCCCAGCCAAATTTCTATTTTTAAAAAATCAGAAACTATTTCTCCACAGAGAAAATATCTTCATTTATAGTAGGCGAAAATGTTACACATTTATAATTAAAATACTGGCAATTTCAATATTCAAATTTGAGAACTTACCGAAAAGGTCCAGTTCTGTTAGCAGGTCGAGAATCCCCCCACATCTCTTTTTATCAAGAGGGCCCCAACAAGTAAATCCTTTTTCTACCAAATTCTGGTTATAGCAGTACCTGTACAAAATAAACCACAAAAATTAGTACTTTAGAATGTGAACTAAAAGCTAAACCAGTTTCCCACTGCTTGGTTTATGAGGGACCACATCAGCAGCAATAATTTTGAAGGTCTTTCTTTTCTTTCTTTTCTTTTTTTTTTTTGAGATGGAGTCTCGCTCTGTCGCCCAGGCTGGAGTGCAAAGGCATGATCTCAGCCCATTGCAACCTCCGGGTTCAAGCAATTCTCCTGCCTCAGCCTCCCGAGTAGCTAGGACTACAGGCGCCCGCCACCACGCCTAGCTAATTTTTTGTATTTTTAGTAGAGACGGGGTTTACTGTGGTCTAGATCTCCTGACCTCATGATCCGCCCACCTAGGCCTCCCAAAGTGTGAGATTACAGGCGTGAGCCACTGCACCCGGCCTTCTTTTTTTTTTTTTTTTTTAAGAGATGGAGTCTTGCTTTGTTGCCCAGGCTGAAGTGCAAAGGCACGATCTCAGCCCACTGCAACCTCCGGGTTCAAGCAATTCTCCTGCCTCAGCCTCCCAAGTAGCTAGAACTACAGGCGCACGCCGGCCGCCCAGCTAATTTTTTTGTATTTTAGTAGAGACGGGTTTTCACTGTGTTACCCAGGCTGGTCTCAAACTCCTGAGCTCAAGCAGTCCGCCCGCCTCGGCCTCCCAAAGTGCTAGGATTACAGGCATGAGCCACCGCATCCAGCTGGAAGTCACTTTCAAACACTTACATCACTTACATATTAAATTTATAATAAGAAAAATACTTTTTTTTTTTTTTTAAAGACAGAATCTCTCTCTGTCGCCCAGGCTGGAGTCCAGTGGCACTATCTCAGCCCACCACAACCTCTGCCTCCCCGGTTCGAGCGATTCTTCTGCCTCAGCCTCCCGAGTAGCTGGGACTACAGGCACGCGTCACCATGCCCGGCTAATTTTTGTATTTTTAGTAGAGATGGGGTTTCACCATATTGGCCAGGCTGGTCTCGAACTCCTAACATTGTGATCCACCCACCTCGGCCTCCCAAAGTGCTGGGATTACAGGCGTGAGCCACCGTGCCCGGCCAGAAAAATAAGTTTTTAATTAAAATGTGTACTCTGGGGTCGGGCACGGTGGCTCATACCTGTAACCTCAACACTTTGGGAGGCCAAGGCAGGCAGACCGCTTGAGCCAAGGAGTTTGAGACCAGCCTGGGCAACATAGCAAAATGCCATCTCTACAAAAAATACAAAAATTACCAGAACTTTGGGAGGCTAGGCAGGTGGATCACCTGAGGTCAGGAGTTCGAGACCAGCCTAGGCAACATGGTGAAATCTCATCTCTACTAAAAATACAAAAATTAGCCAGGTGTGGTGGCAGGCACCTGTAATCCCAGCTATGCAGGAGGCTGAGGCAGGAGAAACGCTTGAAACCGGGAGGCGGAGGCTACAGTCAGCCAAGATCATGCCACTGCACTCCAGCCTGGGTGACAGAGCGAGACTCCATCTTAAAAAATATATATACAAAAATTAGTCAGGCATGATGACTATGTGTAGTCTCAGCTTCTTGGAAGGCTGAAGTGGGGGAGGATCGCTTGAACCCAGGAGGTTGAGGCTGCAGTGAGCCAAGATCGCACCACTGCATTCCAGTTCAGGAAACAGAGTGAGGCTGTCTCAAAAAAAAAAAAAAAAAAAGGTACTCTGGGCACCATAAACTTTTCAATGTGCTATGAATGCTTCACATTTACTACATGAAGTAAGTATTTACTGATTTTTCTAGCGCTCACTAGCCCTTCCTTTTTGGAAACAGCACTGTAGTATCAACCCCACTGTCTCAGACCTGATCGGACACCATCCAGCATGAGCAATCGGAATAATCTATTACCCTCACCACAGTCATTGCTTTGAAGACAGACATGTAACTCAAGTCAAGATAAGAAGTTATTTCCAGGACCTTTGTTATAGCTACTGAAAAAGAGGCAAATCTTCATGACCTTGGATTTGGCAATGATTTCTTAAATATGACCCCTACAGCACAAGGAACTTTAAAAGAAAAAGTAGATAAAGGGACTTCACCAAAATTAAAAACTTCTGTGTATCAAAGGACACTATCAAGAGAGTACAAAGACAGCCCATAGGTCATCAAAATGGCAGACTAGGAAGTTTCAAGGTCTCATTCCTTCATAGAAACATCAGAAAAACAAGTAGTAACTGTCTGAACCAAATTTGACAGTTTTAGAAAAGAGTCAAAGGTTTACAAGCAAATATCCAATGAAGAAAAAGCCATCTTCAAAACAGAAGGAAAGTTCTGTGGTGTTTTACTCAACCTTGCCCTACCCCCTCTCCAGCATGGCAGTGTTTTTTGTCTTAAAGCAGTAGAAGCCCAATTCCCAGCTCCCTCCCTCAAAGAGCAAAGCAGACCTTATTTGCAAATTATCGTACATATCTGTTCTACCCTGTCTGCGGGGGTATTTGAAGGACAGACATAAGGTGCATGTTTCTATTTCAACCTAATACAAAACTCAGGCAGAGAAAGCAGCAGGTATTGCTAATGAAAGCTGCAAAGCAGACTACAGACTAACAGGCACTTGGGGCAAGAGATTACAGATAGATGCCCACAGAAGTTGAGGTGAAACTCTTTGGCAAATTAGGACATTCCAAAGCAACATGTATATGGTGAAATTTAGAAAGCCATATGAATGCCAAGGCAAAATGTATGATCATACAAGACCTAGGCCGGGCGTGGGGGCTCATGTCTGTAATCCCTGCACTTTGGGAGGCTGAGGCGTGTGGATCACTTGAGGTCAGGAGTTCGAGACCAGCCTGGCCAACATGGTGACACCCCGTCTCTACTAAAAATACAAAAAATTAGCCAGGCGTAGTGGCGGGCACCTGTAGTCCCAGCTACTTGGGAGGCTGAGGCAGGAGAATGACTTGAACCCTGGAGGCGGAGGTTGCAGTGAGCCGAGGTCACACCACTGCACTCCAGCCTGGGCAACAGAGCAAGACTCTGTCTCAAAAAAAAAAAAAAAAACCCTAAATATAAATTGCCAACCAAGAATTCTGTAAATGGCAACACTGTCTTTCAAAAAATAGGGAAAAACATTGGCCGGGCGAGGCGGCTCACACCTGTAATCCCAGCACTTTGGGAGGCCGAGGCGGGCGGATCACAAGGTCAGGAGATTGAGACCATCCTGGCTAACACAGTGAAACCCCGTCTCTACTAAAAATACAAAAAAAAAAAAAAAAATTAGCCAGGCGTGGTGGCGGGCACCTGTAGTCCCAGCTACTCACGAGGCTGAGGCAGGAGAATGGTGTGAACCCAGGAGGCGGAGCTTGCAGTGAGCTGAGATCACGCCACTGCACTCCAGCCTGGGCGACAGAGCGAGACTCCATCTCAAAAAAAAAAAAAAAAAAGGAAAAAAATCAAGACATTCTCAGATAAACAAAAGCTGAGGGAGGCTCATTACCACTATACAGACCTTGTAAGAAATGCTAAAAGGGAATTCTTCAGTCCGGGCACAGTGGCTCACGCCTGTAATCCCAGCACTTTGGGAGGCCGAAGTGGGTTGGTCACGAGGTCAGGAGTTCGACACCAGCCTGGCCAAGATGGTGAAACCCGTCTCTACTAAAAATACAAAAATTAGCCAGGTGCAGTAGCAGGCACCCCTAATCCCAGCTAGTCAGGAGGCTGAGGCAGGAGTATCGCTTCAACTTGGAGTGGGGGTTGGTTGCAGTGAGCTGAGATCATGCCATGGCACTCAGCACTCCAGCCAGGGCAACAGAGTGAGACTCCATTTTTACAAAAAAAAAAAAAAAAAAAGGAATTCTTCAGAATGAATTTTTTTTTTTTTTGAAATGGAGTCTCGCTCTGTTGCCAAGGCTGGAATGCAGTTGAGCGATCTCGGCTCACTGCAAGCTCCACCTCCTGGGTTCATGCCATTCTCCTGCCTCAGCTTCCCGAGTAACTGGGACTACAGGCGCCCGCCACCACGCCCGGCTAATTTTTGTGGTTTTTTGTTTTTTGTTTTTGAGACAGAGTCTTGCTGTCTCCCAGGCTGGAGTGCAGTGGCGTGATCTTGGCTCACTGCAAGCTCCGCCTCCTGGGTTGACGCCATTCTCCTGCCTCAGCCTCCCGAGTAGCTGGGACTACAGGTGCCCACCGCAATGCCAGCTAATAGTTTTTTTTGTTTTGTTTTGTTTTTTGTATTTTTAGTGGAGACGGGGTTTCACCATGTTAGCCAGGATGGTCTCGATCTCCTGACCTCGTGATCCACCCACCTCAGCCTCCCAAAGTGCTGGGATTACAGGCGTGAGCCACCGCACCCGGCCTTTTGTGTTTTTAGTAGAGACGGGGTTTCACTGTGTTAACCAGGATGGTCTCGATCTCCTGACCTCGTGATCCGCCCGCCTTAGCCTCCCAAAGTGTCGGGATTACAGGCGTGAGCCACTGCGCCCGGCCCAGAATGAATTTTTAAAAGCTAGACGTGAAGCCATGTGAAGAAATAAAGATCTCGGCCAGGTGCGGTGGCTCACACCTGAGGTCAGGAGTTCAAGACCAGCCTGGCCAACATGGCAAAACCCCATCTCTACTAAAAATACAAAAATCAGCCACGTGTGGTGGCGTACAACTACAGTCCCAGCTACTCAGGAGCCTGAGGCAAGAAAATCTTTTGAACCCGGGAGGCAGAGGTTACAGTCAGCTGAGATTGCGCCATTGCACTCCAGCCTGGGCGAAAGAGCGAGACTCCATCCCAAAAAAAAAAAAAAGAAAGAAAGATCTCTGGTAAAGGCAAATACAGGGGCAACTGTAAAAACTAGCATTATTGCAATTTTGCTTTGTAACTCCTACTTTTCACTTTCAATGTGATCTAAAAGACAGATGCATAAAAAATTATTAATCTAGGTTCCTGAGATACGATTTACAAAGATGTAATCCATGACTTAACAGAAAAGGGAAGAGAAAGGAGCTGGATAGGAGCAGAGATTTGTATACTATGGAACTTAAGTTAGTATAAATTCAAATTAGATTATAACTGTGAGATGTTAAGTGTAATTCCCATGGTAACTGCAAAGAACATATCTTTAGAATATACACATAAGAAAATAAGGTTGCCTGCTTATGCACTAGAAAGAAAAAGAAAATGAGAAGGGGCTAGGCACAGTGGCTCATGCTTGTTGTCCTAGCACGACAAGCACTGGGAGGCTGAGGCAGGAGGATTCCTTGGGCTCAGGGGTTTGAAACCACCATTGGCCATATAGTGAGACTCTCTCTACTTCAAAAAAAAAAAAAAAGAAAGAAAGAAAATGAGAAGAAAGTCAAAACATTTTCACAACAGGCCAGTGGCTAACATCTGTAATCCCAGCACTTCAGGAAGCCGATTGCTTGAGGCCAGGAGTTTGAGACCAGCCTAGGCAATATAGCAAGACCCCATCTCTATGAAAAATTTAAAAAACAAAAAAGGCAGGTGGCACATGTCTGCACTTCCAGTTACTTGCAAAGAATGAAGCGGGAGGATTGCTTGAGTCCAGGAATCCAAGTCTGCAGTGAGCTATGATCTCATCACTGTTCTCCAATCTGGACAACACAGCAAGACCCTCCCTCTTAAAAAGAAAAAATAAATAAAAAATTAAAAAAGCAGGCCAGGCCTGGTGGCTTACGCCTGTAATCCCAGCACTTTGGGAGGCCGAGGCGGGAGGATCACCTGAGGTCTGGAGTTCGAGACCAGCCTGACCAACATGGAGAAACCCCGTCTCTACTAAAAATACAAAATTAGCTGGGCATGGTGGCGCATGCCTGTAAATTCAGCTACTCAGGAGGCTGAGGCAGGAGAATCACTTGAACCCAGGAGGCGGAGGCTGCGGTGAGCTGAGATTATGCCATTGCACTCCAGCCTGGGCAACAAGAACGAAACTCCGTCTCAAAAAATAAATAAATAAATAATAAAAAATAAAAATAAAAAAATAAAGCGTGGGCCAGGCGTGATGGCTTACGCCTATAATCCCAGCACTTTGGGAAGCCAAGGCAGGAGGATCACCTGAGGTCAGGAGTTCGAGACCAGCCTGACCAACATAGAGAAACCCCATCTCTATTAAAAATACAAAATTAGCCAGGCATGGTGGCAAGCCTGTAATCCCAGCTACTTGGGAGGCAGAGGCAGGAAAATGCCTGAACCCGGGAGGCGGAGGTTGCAGTGAGCTGAAATCATGCCACTGCACTCCAGCCTGGGCAACAAGAGTGAAACTCCGTCTCAAAAAAAAAAAAAAAAAAAAAAAAGCGGGGGAGGGGGCAGAAAGTGGCTAATGCCTGTAATCCCAACACTTTGGAAGGCTAAGGCAGGTAGATTGTTTGAACCCAGTTTGAGACCAGCCTGGGCAACATGGCAAAACCCTATCTCTACAAAAAATACAAAAATTAGCCAGGCATGGTGGTGGCACACCTATACTACCAGCTACTCAGGAGACTGGGACAGGAGGATCACTTGAGCCCAAAGTTGCAGTGAGCTGAGATTGTGGCACTGCACTATTTTGCTCACCAAAGCCTAGGCAACAGTCTCATGCTCTCAAAAAAAAAAAATTTTTTTTCACTACCAAAAAAAAAAAAATCAGCTAAACATAAAAGTAGTAGCAAAATGGCAAAAGTCCTTATCAGTAATTACTTTAAATGTAAATACTTTAAACTCTCTAATCACAAAATATTGGCAGAATATATATACATATACACACACACACACACACACACACAGAGAGAGAGAGAGAGACACAGAGAGAGAGAGAGACAGAGTTTTGCTTGACACCCAGGCTGGAGTGCAATGGCTCACTGCAACCACCGCCTCTCAAGTTCAAGAGATTCTCCTGTCTCAGCCTCCCAAGAAGCTGAGATTACAGGTGCCCGCCAGTACACCCAGCTAATTTTTGTATTTTTAGTACAGACGAGGTTTCACCATGTTGGCCAGGCTGGTCTCAAACTCCAAACCTCAGGTGATCCACCCGCCTCAGCCTCCCAAAGGGCTGGGATTACAGGCGTGAGCCACTGCGCCCAGCCTAGGATACATTTTTTAAAAACTGTAATCCCAGCTACTCGGGAGTCTAAGGCAGGAGAATCACTTGAACCTGGGAGGCGAAGGTTGCAGTGAGCCAAGATCATGCCACTGCACTCCAGCCTGGGCAACAAGAGCAAAACTTTGTTTCAAAAAATATATATATAAATATTATAAAGCCTAAATGCACATCAATAGAGACCCTATCTCTACAAAAAAATACGAAAATTAACTGGGTGTGGTAGCAGGTGTCTGTAGTCCCAAATACTGCAGAGGTTGAGGTAGGAGGATCCCGAGGCTTGATCCCAGGAGGCAGAGGTTGCTTAAGCCAAGATCACACCACTGCACTCCAGCCTGGGCAACAGAGCGAGACTCAGTCTCAAAAAAAAAAAAAAAAAAAAAAAAGAAAGAAAAAAAAATACTATGCGGCCCTAAGAATAAATAAAGTAGCTATGTTAATTGATACAGGATAAGCTATTATGTATTAAGTTTTAAAAACATGTGCAAGGCCGGGTGCGGTGGCTCACGCCTGTAATCCCAGCACTTTGGGAGGCCTAGGCAGGCGGATCACGAGGTCAGGAGATCGAGGCCATCCTGGCTAACACAGTGAAACCCTGTCTCTACTTAAAATACAAAAAAATTAGCTGGGCATGGCAGTGTGCGCCTGCAGTCCCAGCTGCTGGGGAGGCTGAGGCAGGAGAATGGTGTGAACCTGGGAGGCGGAGCTTGCAGTGGGCTGAGATCGCGCCACTGCACTCCAGCCTGGGTGACAGAGTAAGACTCCATTTCAAAAAAAAAAAAAAGTGTGCAAAATATTTGTAACCTGATATCTGTGCAAAACAGAAAAGAATATATACAACAAAGTTAGAGGACTGACACTTCCCAATTCCAAAACTCACCACAAAGCTACAGTAATCAAGACAGTGTGGCACTGACATAGTATAGACATACAGACCAAGGAAACAGAATTAAGAGTCTATAAATAGGCCAGACACAGTGGCTCACACCTGTAATTCCAATACTTTGGGAGGCTGAGGCAGAAGGATGGCTTGAGCCCAGAAGTTTCAGACCATCCTGGGCAAATATTGAGACCTTGTCTTCACAAATTTTTTTTTTTTTTTTTTTTGAGATGGAGTCTCGCTCTGTCGCCCAGGCTGGAGTGCAATGGTGCAATCTCGGCTCACTGCAACCTCCGCCTCCAGGGTTCAAGCAATTCTTCTGCCTCAGCCTGCCAAGTAGCTGGGACTACAGGCACGTGCCACCACGCCCAGCTAATTTTTGTATTTTTTTAGTGGAGACGGGGTTTCACCATGTTGGCCAGGGTGGTCTCGATCTCCTGACCTTGTGATCCGCCCGCCTGGTCCTCCCAAAGTGCTGGGATTACAGGCGTGAGCCATTGCGCCCGGCCTATAAATTTTTTTTTTTTTTCTGAGACCTTATCTCACTCTGTCACCCAAGCGGGAGTGCAGTGGCACATTCTCGGCTCACTGTAACCACTGCTTCCCTGGCTCCAGCCATCCTCCCACCTCAGCCTCCTGAGTAGCTGGGACTACAAATGTGCACTACCATGCTCGGCTAATTTTTTTGTGTATTTCTGGTAGACCTAGGGTTTCGTTATGTTGCCCGGGCTGGTCTCAAACTCCTGATTCAGGCGATTACCCCGCCTCCACCTCTCAAAGTACTGGGATTACAGGTGTGAGCCACCCTGCCCAGCCTACAAAATTTTTTTTTTAATTAGTCAGGTCCAGCTAGGCGTGGTGGCTCACGCTTGTAACCCCAGCACTTTGGGAGGCTGATGCGGGCAGATCATCTGAGGTCAGGAATTCAAGACCAGGTAGGCCAACATGGTGAAACCCCGTCTCTACTAAAAATACAAAAATTAGCCAGGCGTGGTAGCACATGCCTGCAATCCCAGCTACTCAGGAGGCTGTGGCAGAAGGATCACTTGAACCCAGAAGGCAGAGGTTGCAGTGAGCGGAGATTGTGTCATGTTACTGCACTCCAGCCTGGGTGACAGAGACGGTCTCAAAAAAAAAAAAAAAGGCCAGGTTCGGTGGCTCACACTCACACCTGTAATCCCAGCACTTTGGGAGGCCAAGGCGGGCAGATCACGAGGTCAAGAGATCGAGACCAGCCTGGCCAATGTGGTGAAATCCCGTCTCTACTCAGAATACAAAAATTAGCTGGGCGTGGTGGCACACGCCTGTAGTCCCAGCTACTCAGGAGGCTGAGGGAGGAGAATCACTTGAATCCGGGAGGTGGAATTTGCAGTGAGCCAAGATCGCTCCACTGCACTCCAACCTGGGCGACAGGGCAAGACTCCATCTCAAAAAAAAAAAAAAATTAGCAAGGTGTGATGGCACGCCCCTAAGGTCCCAGTTACCTAGGAGGCTAAAGTGGGAGGATCACTTGAGCATGGGAGTTTCAGCCTGCAGTAAGCCATGATTGCACCACTGCACTCCAGCCTGGGCAACAGAGCAAGACCCTGCCTCAAAAAAAAAGAAAAGAAGAAAAGGTAAGCTGCGCACATTGGCTCATGCCTATAATCGCAGCACTTTTTGAGGCCAAGGTCAGAGG
The DNA here is from genome assembly GCF_000001405.40 of Homo sapiens. NCBI lineage: Eukaryota > Metazoa > Chordata > Mammalia > Primates > Hominidae > Homo > Homo sapiens. Next base: position 49,952,988 of record NC_000003.12, on the reverse strand, counting down.
ATCACTTAAGACCAGGAGTTCAAGACCAACCTGGGCAACACAGCAAAACCCCCATCTCTACAATTTTTTGGTTTAAATGAAAAGACATCCCACAGAATGGGAGAAAATTTGTGCAAATTACATATTTGGTAAGTGACTTGTATCTAAAATATATAAAAAATGATTTCAACTCAGTAACAAAAAGAAAAATAAGCCAGGAGCAGTGGCACACGCCTGTAATCCCAACACTTTGGGAGGCCAAGGCAGGTGGATCACCTGAGGTCGGGAGTTTGAGACCAGCCTGACCAACATGGAGAAACCCTGTCTCTACTAAAAATACAAAATTAGCTGGCGTGGTGATGCATGCCTGTAATCCCAGCTACTCGGGAGGCTGAGGCAGGAGAATCACTTGAACCCGGGAGACAGAGGTTGCGTTGAGTCGAGATGCACCATTGCACACCAGCCTGGGCAACAAGAGCAAAACTTCGTCTCAAAAAAAAAAAAAAACAAAGGATAAGTAACCTAATTTAAAATATAGTAAAAGTGGCTGGGCACAGTGCTCATGTCTTTAATCCCAGCACTTCAGAAGGCTGAAGTGGGCAGATCACTTGAGGTCAGGAGTCTGAGACCAGCCTGGCCAACATGCCAAAACCCTGTCTCTATTAAAAATACAAAAACTGGGGCCAGGCGCAGTGGCTCATGCCTGTAATCCCAGCACTTTGGGAGGCCAAGGCGGGTAGATCACGAGGTCAAGAGATCTAGACCATCCTGACCAACATGGTGAAACCCCATCTCTACTAAAAATACAAAAATTAGCCATGGTGGCACACACCTGTAGTCCTATATACTCGGGAGGCTGAGGCAGGAGAATCACTTGAACTCGGGAGGCAGAGGTTGTACTAAGCCAAGATCGTGCCACTGCATTCTAGCCTGGGTGACAGAGCAAGACTCCGTCTCAGACAAAAAAATAAAAATAATAATAATAACAAGGCAGGGCATGGGGGCTCACACCTATAATCCCAGCACTTTGGGAGGCCGAGGCAGGTGGACCACAAGATCAGGAGATCAAGACCAGCCTGACCAATGTGGTGAAACCCCGTCTCTACTAAAAATACAAAAATTAGCCAGGCGTGGTGGCGGGCACCTGTATTCCCAGCTACTTGGGAGGTTGAGGCAGAAGAATCACTTGAACCTGGGAGATGGAGGTTGCAGTGAGCCGAGTTTGTGCCACTGCACTCCAGCCTGGGCGACAGGGCGAGACTCCACCTCAAAAAAACAGAACAACAAAAAAATAATAATAATAATAATAATAACTGGAGGCTGAGGCAGGAGAATCACTTGAACTTGGGAGGCAGAGGATGCAGTGAGCCAAGATCGTGCCACTGCACTCCAGCCTGGGCAACAGAGTGAGACTTCATCTCAAAATACATAAATAAATAAATAAATAAATAATAAATAAAATAAAATATAGTAAAGGCCAGGCACAGTGGCCCTTGTCTGTAATGCCAGCACTTTGGAAAGCTGAAAAAGGTAGATTGCTTGATGCTTGAGCTCAGGAGTTCGAGACCAGCCTGGGCAACATGGCAAAACCTTGTCTCCACACACACACACACATATACACACACACAAATCAGCCGGACAAGGTGGAACACATCTGTAGTCCCAGCTACTGAGGACGCTGAGGTGGGAAGATGGCTTGTGCCTGGGAGGCAGAGGTTGCAGTGAGCCAAGATCACACCACTGTACTCCAGCCTGGGCAACAGAGCAAGACCCCATCTCAAAAAACAAACAAACAAAAAGAAATAGTAACTGCTGATTCATCCCTCACACCATCCCTGACAACTATTTTCTGTTTCTATGATTTTCACTACTCAAAGTGTCTAAGTGAAATTATATGGTATTTGTCTTTTACATGACTGGCTTATTTCACTTAGCATAATATCCTCAAGGTTCATCCATGTTGTAGCATATGTCAGAATTACCTTCCTTCCTAACACTGAATAATTTTTCAGTTATATGTACATACCACATTTTCCTTATCTATTCATCCATCAATGAATAGTTGGGTTGCTTCCACATTTTAGCTAATGTGAATAACGCTGTTATGAACATGGGTACAAATATCTCATCGAGACTCTGTTTTTCTTTTTCTTTGTTTTCAATTATTTTGGATATATATCCAGAAGTAAAATTGTTAGATCACATGGTAATTCTATTTTTAATGTTTTGCCTTTCATTCTTTCTGTTTTTTTTTTTTGAAACAGTCTCCCTCTGTCACCCAGACTGTACCACAGTGACATGATCTCAGCTTACTGCAACCTCCGTCTCCCGGATTCAAGCGATTCTCCTGCCTCAGTCTCCCGAGTAGCTGGGATTACAGGCATGCACCACCACACCCAGCCAATTTTTGTATTTTTAGTAGAGACGGGGTTTCACCATGTTGGCCAGGCTGGTCTTGAACTCCTGACCTCAAATGATCCCACACCTTGGCCTCCCAAAGTGCTGGGATTACAAGCCTGAGTCACCACGCCTGGCCTTGCCTTTCACTCTTGATTAATAAAAACATTCCTAACAAATGCTTTCACTCTGGTCTATCTTGCAAAGAACCAGGAATTGCACCTCTAGCAGCACAGTACCAATATCCCAGGCCATCCTTCTTAATCATGACTTTAGCTCCAAAAAACAATGAAACAGAACCAGGGGTCTTATTCTAGTAGTTTTAGCTGTGGTATGCAGCAGCTTGATCCTGCTTTAAACACTCTTAATTTTTTCCCAAAGTAAATGTTGTGGGCTACACAGGACATTCAGCTAAGAGCATCAAGGAGACACCAAGAAGCAAGGGTTACTCTGACCGCCTACCCACTCCCTGGATCCAACTACAAGCTTTTAAACAGTAGCAACTTTAATATGCACTCAAGAACTGGAATTAGTGGCTGCTAGAAGCACCCTTGCCCCCCAAAATATCTCGATTTGAAAATTTTAAGTGTAGTCTGGGCCAGTGGCTCATGCCTGTAATCTCAGCACTTTAGGAGGCGGAGGCAGGCAGATCACTTGAGACCAGGAATTCAAAACCAGCCTGGCCAATATGGCGAAACCCCATTTCTACTAAAAATACATAAATTAGCTGAGCGTGGTGGTATACACCTGTAGTCCCAGTTACCCAGAAGGCTGAGAATAAAATAAATAAAATAAAAAAATAAAAAGGCTGGGCGTGGTAGCTCAGGCCTGTAATCCCAGCACTTTGGGAGGCGGGCGGATCACGAGGTCAGGAGATCAAGACCATCCTGGCAAAGACGGTGAAACCTTTTCTCCACTAAAAATACAAAAAATTGGCTGAGCACTGTGGCTCACGCCTGTATTCCCAGCACTTTGGGAGGCCAAAGTGGTCAGATCACAAAGTCATAAGATTGAAACCATCCTGGCCAACTGTTTCTACTAAAAATACAGAAATTAGCAGGGCATGGTGACAGGCGCCTGTAGTCCCAGCTACTCGGGAGGCTGAGGCAGGAGAATCGCTTGAACCCGGGAGGCAGAGGTTGCAATGAGCTGCGATCACACCACTGCACTCCAGCCTCGGGGACAGAGTGAGACTCCGTCTCAAAAAAAACAAGCAAACAAAAAAAAATGTTGTCCTGAAGGATTTTCCTCTCTGGGAGAATGTACTTCCGTTAAGTTTCAAATGAAGTGTTTTCTTTGATAAAGTAAGAGGGGGTAAGTAGGGGGAGGTAAGTAAAAAGAAGAATCAACAAGACCTATTCTTTTTATTTCATAATTTTTTATGATTCAGCAAAGCATTAACAAATGAAGAAGATTAAAGAATTTAAAAAGAAAAAAATAAAAATAATAAATTCTTGTATAATTATGGTAAAATATTTGGGTATGACCAGGCGTGGTGGCTCACACCTGTAGTCCCAGCACTTTGGGAGGCTGAGGCCAGCGGATCACAAGGTCAGAAATTTGAGACCAGCCTGGCCAATATAGTGAAACTCCATCTCTACTAAAAATACAAGAAATTAGCCAGGCGTGGTGGCAGGTACCTGTAACCCAGCTACTTGAGAGCCTGAGGCAGGAGAATTGCTTGAACCCAGGAGGCAGAGGTTGCAGTGAGCCAAGATCACGCCACAGCACTCCAGCCTGGGCGACAGTGCAAGACACCATCCCAAAAAAAAAAAAAAAAAAAAATTGGGTATGTAAATAGTCTCACTCTGTTGCCCAGGCTGGAGTGCAGGGTGCAATCTCAGCTCACTGCAACCTCTACCTCCTGGGTTCAAGCAATTCTTTTTTTTTTTTTTCTTTTTTGAGACAGAGTCTCACTCTGCTGCCAATCTAGAGTGCAGTGGCGCAATCTTGGCTCACTGCAACCTCCACCTCCTGGGTTCAAGTGATCCTCCTGCCTCAGCCTCCCAAGTAGCTGGGACTAGGTGCGCGCCACCACACCCAGCTAATTTTTTGTATTTTTAGTAGAGACTAGGTTTCATGACATTGGCCAGGATGGTCTCGATCTCTTGACCTGCCTCGGCCTCCCAAAGTGCTGGGATTACAGGCGTGAGCCACAGCACCAGGCCTCAAGCAATTCTTGTGCCTTAGCCTCCTGAGTAGCTGGAATTACAGGCACACACCACACCCAGCTAATTTTTGTATTTTAGTAAAATCGGGGTTTCACTATGTTGCCTAGGCTGGTCTCGAACCCCTGAGCACAGGCAATCTGCCCACCTCAGCCTCCTAAAGTGCTAAGATTATAGGCGTGAGCCACCGTGCCTGGCCTATTTTAACCATTTTTAAGTGTACCATTTAGCTACAGCCATCACAACAGTGCAGTAAGGACATAAAGATAGACATAAAGACCAATCAACTGAATGGAGAGACCAGAAATAAATCCTCACATATATGGTCAATTTTCTTTTTTTTTTAAGACAGATTCTCATGTCTCGCTCTGTCGCCCAGGCTGGAGGGCAGTGGCGCAATCTCAGCTCACTGCAGCCTCCACCTCCCAGTTCAAGCGATTCTCCTGCCTCAGCCTCCCGAGTAGCTGGGATTACAGCCAGGCACCACCATGCCCAGCTAATTGTGGTATTTTTAGTACAGACGGGATATTGCCATGTTGGCAAGGCTAGTCTTGAACTTTAGTCAACTGATTTTCAACAAAGGTGTCAAGACCATCCAATGGGGAAAGTACAATCTTTTTCCCAAATGGAAAATGGTACTCCGAAAACTGAATATCCACATGCATAACAATAAAGTGGGACTCTTACACAACAAAAATATATAAAAAATTAACTCAAATTGGATCAAAGACCCAAACGTAAGCGCTAAAACTATAAAATCTTAGGGGAAAAATTTCATGACTTTCGATTGGTAATATTTGCAGATGAGGCACAGATTTTAAAAAAAGAAGATAAATTGGACTTCATCAAAATGAAAACCTCTGTGCATCAAAAGACACTATCAACAGAGTATAAAGACAACCACAGAGAGAAAATATTTGTAAGTCAAATATCTGACAAGGAATTAATATCTAGAGTGTATAAAGGACTCCTAAAACTCAACAACACAGACAAAAACCTAATTTTATTTTATTTTTAGAGACTGGGCCACTCTGTCACCCAGGGTAGAGTCCAGTGGTGCAATCACAGCTCACTGCACCCTCAAACACCTGGGCTCAAGAGATCCACCTACCTCAGCCTCCTGAGCAGCTGGGAATACAGGTGTGCACCTGCACACCCAGCTCAAAACCCCCCCCCCCCCCCTTTTTTTTTTTGAGACGGAGTCTCGCTCTGTCGCCCAGGCTGGAGTGCAGTGGCTCAATCTCTGCTCACTGCGAGCTCTGCCTCCCAGGTTCACACCATCCTTCTGCCTCAGCCTCCCGAGTAGCTGGGACTACAGGCGCCTGCCACTGCGCCCGGCTAATTTTTTTTTTTTTTTTTTTTTGTATTTTTAGTAGAGACAGGGTTTCACCGTGTTAGCCAGGATGAAAAACCCCATTTTAAAATGGTCAACAAAAGACATGAATAGATACTTCTCCAAAAGAGAATATGCAAATAGCCAATAAGAACATGAACAGACGCTCAACATCACTTATCATCAGGGAAATGCAAATCAGAAACCACAATAAGATACCACTTCACATCCACTAGGATAGCTACTAATGAAAAAAAAAAAAACGAAACAGAAAATAGGCCGGGTGAGATGGCTCACACCTGTAATCCCAGCACCTTGGGAGGCCAAGGTGGACAGATCACTTGAGGTCAGGAGTTCAAGACCAGCCTGGCTAATATGGTGAAACCCTGTCTCTACTAAAATACAAAAATTAGCCAGGCGTGGTGGCACACGCCTGTAATCCCAGCTACCCGGGAGGCTGAGGCACAAGAATTGCTTCAATCTGGGAGGCAGAGGTTGCAGTGAGCCGAGATCATGCCACTTCACTCCGGCCTGGGCAACAGAGTGAGACTCTGTCTCAAAAAAAAAGAAAATGCCAGGCGCGGTGGCTCATGCTTATAATCCCAACACTTTGGGAGGCCAAGGCTGGCGGGTCACCTGACGTCAGGAGTTCAAGACCAGCCTGGCCAACATGGAGAAACACCATCTCAACTAAAATGCAAAAATTAGCTGGGCACGGTGGCGGCTGCCTGTAATCCCAGTTACTCGGGAGGCTGAGGCAGGAGAATCGCTTGAACCCGGGAGGTGGAGGTTGCAGTGAGCCAAGATTGTGCCACTGCACTCCAGCCTGCGTGACAGAGCGAGAATCTGTCTCCAAAAAAAAAAAAGAAAGAAAATAACAAGTGTTGGCCAGGATGTGGAGGATGCAGAGAAACTGAATTGAAACCTATATTACACAGTATGCTAGGACTGCCATAACAAAATACCATGGAGTGGAAGGCTTAAGCCACAGAAATTATTCTCACAGCTCTGGAGGCTGGGAGTCCAAGATCAAGGTGTCAGCAAGGTTTGTTTTAGGTGAGGTCTCTCTCCTTGGCTTGCAGGCAGCCCCCTTCTACCTCTGTCCTCATGCAGCTTTTTCTCTCTGTACACGCACTCCTGGTATCCAGTCCTTTTCTTACGAAGACAGCAGTCCTGCTGGATTAAGGTCTCATCCTTATATCTTCTTTTTTTTTTTTTTTTTTTTTTTTTGAGATGGAGTCTCGCTCTGTCGCCCAGGCTGGAGTGCAGTGGCGCGATTTTGGCTCACTGCAAGCTGTGCCTCCCGGGTTCACGCCATTCTCCTGCCCCAGCCTCCCCAGCAGCTGGGACTACAGGTGCATGCCGCCACGCCCGGTTAATGTTTTGTATTTTTAGTAGAGACGGGGTTTCACCGTGTTGGCCAGGATGGTCTCGATCTCCTGACCTTGTGATCCGCCTGCCTCAGCCTCCCAAAGTGCTGGGATTACAGGCATGAGCCACCCGCGCCCAGCCCCTTATGATATCTTCTAACTTTTTAATTTCTCTGTAAAGGTCCTATTTCCAAATACAGTCACACTGGGGCTTAGGGCTTCAACACGTGAATTTTCAGGGGGACACAATTCAGTCTATAACAAAACCTTTGTACACTGCTAACAGAATGTAAAATGGTGCAACCAGTGTGGAAAACAGTAAGGCAGTTCCTCAAAAAATGATACATAAAGCCTGGGCAACCTAGCGAAATCCCACAGCTACAAAAAAATAAAAAAATTAGTTAGGCATGGTGGCATGCACCTGTAGTCTCAGCTACTTAAGAGGGTGAGGTGAGAGGATAGCTTGAACTGAGAAGGTCAGGGCTGCAGAGAACTGTGACTGCACCACTGCACTCCAGCCTGGACAACAGAGCAAGACCCTGTCTAAAAAAAAAAAAAAAAAAAATTGGCCGGGCGCGGTGGCTCACGCCTGTAATCCCAGCACTTTGGGAGGCCAAGGCGGGCAGATCATGAGGTCAGGAGATGGAGACTATCCTGGCTAACACGGTGAAACCCCGTCTCTACTAAAAATACAAAAAATTAGCCGGGCGTGGTGGCGGATGCTGTAGTCCCAGCTACTCGGGAGGCTGAGGCAGGAGAATGGCAAGAACCCAGGAGGCGGAGCTTGGAGTGAGCCGAGATCACGCCACTGCACTCCAGCCTGGGCGACAGAGCAAGAATCCGTCTCAAAAAAAAAAATTTAAAAAAAAATTACACATAGAATTACCATTTGCTCTGTCAATTGTCGATTCCATTTCTGAGTATATATATTCCCAAAAGAAATGAAAGTAAAGACTTGATATTTGTGGCTGGGCGCGGTGGCTGACACCTGTAATTCCACCACTTTGGGAGGCCGAGGCAGGTTGATCACCTGAGGTCAGAAGTTCAAGACCAGCCTGCCCAACATGGCGAAACTCCTTCTCTACTAAAAATAAAAAAATTAGCTAGGCATGGTGGCGCACATCTGTAATCCCAGCTACTCGGGAGGCTGAGGCAGGAGAATGCCTTGAACCCAGGAGGCAGAGGTTGCAGTGAGCCAAGGTCGCGCCACTGCACTCCAGCCTGGGTGACAAGAGCGATACTGTCTCACAAAAAAAAAAAAAAAAAAGATATTTGTACACTGATATTCATAGCACCATTATATTCACAAGAGCAAAAAGGTGGAAACAACCCAAATGTCCATCAATAGATAAATGGATAAACAAAATGTGGTATATATGTATAATGGAATATTACTCAGCCTTAAAAAGGAATAAAATTCTGATACATACTACAAGATGGATGAATCCTGAAGATATTATGCTAAGTAAAATAAGCCATACACAAAAGATCAAATATTATATGATTCCACTTACATGAGATACCTAGAGTAGTCAAATTCATAGAGACAGAAAGCAGAATGGTGATTGTCAGGGGAGGAGAGAATAGGGAGTTACTATTCAATGGGTACAGAAACTCAGTTTGGGAAGATGAAAAAAGTTCTGAAGCTGGATTTTTATTATGGTTGCACAAAAAGAAGAATGTACTTACTACTACTAAGTAGCACACTTAAAAATGGGTAAAAAGGTACAAACAAGCAAAAACCAAGAAAACACAACGAGATACCACTTCACACCCATTAGGGTGGCTATCATCAAAACACACAAATAAAAAACCACATATACACACACAAATTTATCAAAAAAGGAAAAACAGAAAATAAGTGTTGGGGAGGATGTGGGAAAATTGGAACCCTTGTGTATTACTGGTGGGAATGTAAAACGATGCAGCCATTGAGGAAAACAGTATGGTGGGTCCTCAAAAAGCTAAACATATAATAACCAAGTATCAACTGGGTGCAGTGGCTCATGCCTGTAATACCAGTACCTTGAGAGGCCAAGGAGGGAAAATGGCTTGAGGCCAGGAGTTTGAGACCAGCATAGGCAACATAGGGAGACCCTGTCTCCACAAAAAAATTAAAATAAAAAAATTATGGGCCAGATGTGGTGGCTCATGCCTGTAATGCCAGCACTTCGGGAGGCCAAGACAGGAGGATCACTTGAACTCAGGAGTTCGAGACCACCCTAGACAACAAGGCAAGACTTCATCACAAAAAATAAAAATTAAACAAAAAAATTAGCTGGTTGTGGCAGCCCATGCCTGTAGTCCCAGCTACTCAGGAAGCTGAGGCGGGATGACTGCTTGAGCTCGAGTTCGAGGCTGCAGTGAGCCATGACTGTGCCACTGAACTCCAGCCTGGGCAACAGAGCAAGACCCTGTCTCAAAAAAAAATAAATAAAATAATTAATAATAATAATAATTACCATATAGCAATTTCCCTTCTGGGTATATACCCAAAAGAATTCAAAGCAGGGACTCAAAGAGATATTTGTACACCAATGATCACAGCATCATTATTTACAATAGTCAAAAGGCAGAAGCAACCCAAGTGTCTGCTACAAATGAATTAATAAACAAAATGTAGTGTACACACACAACGGATTAAGCCTTAAAAAGGAATGAAATTCTGATACACAGTACAACATGGATCAACCTTGAAACCATTACACTAAGTGAAATAAACCAGACACAAAAAAGGACAATACTGTATGATTCCATTTAGTATTTGCAGTACCTAGAACAAGCACACTCACAGACAGACACAAAGTAGATTAGAGATTAAGAGGAGGAAATGGGAAGTTAACTTGTTTAATGGTTACAGTTTCTTTTTTTCTTTTTTTTTGAGATGGAGTCTGGCTGTGCAGCCCAGGCTGAAGTGCAATGGCATGACCTCAGCTCACTGCAACCTCTGCCTCCTTAGTAGCTGGTGTTACAGATGCATGCCACCATGCATGGCTAATTTTTGTATTTTTAGTAGATACGGGGTTTCACCATGTTGGCCAGGCTGTTCTTGAACTCCTGAACTCAAGTGATCTGCCCACGTTGACCTCCCAAAGTGCTGGGATTACAGGCGTGAGCCACCATGCCCTCCCTGGTTACAGAGTTTCTGTTTGAGATACTAAAGTTTCAGAAATAGTGGTATTGCTTGTACTACATTGTGAATGTAATTAATACCATTGAATTGTATACTTTTTTTTTTTTTTTTTGAGATGGAGTCTCGGAGTCTCGCTCTGTTGCCCAGGCTGGAGTGCAGTGGCGCAATCTCGGCTCACTGCAAGCTCCGCCTCTCGGGTTCACACCATTCTCCTGCCTCAGCCTCCTGAGTACCTGGGACTACAGGCGCCCACCACCACGCACGGCTCATTTTTTGTATTTTTAGTAGAGATGGGGTTTCACCGTGTTAGCCAGGATGGTCTCGATCTCCTGACCTCGTGATCCGCCCACCTCGGCGTCCCAAAGTGCTGGGATTACAGGCGTGAGCCACCGTGCCTGGCTGAATTGTATACTTAACAATGGTTTAAAGAGCAAATTTTGTTAAAATATACATAAACATACATAAAAATATATATTTACCACAATTTATTTAATTGATTTTTTTTTTTTTGAGACAGTCTTGTTCTGTGGCCCAGGTTGGAGTGCAGTGGCACTATCTCCCCTTACTACAACCTCTACCTCCCCGGCTCAAGCGATTTTTCCATCTCAGCCTCCTGAGTAGTTAGGGCTAACAGGAGCATGCCACCACGCCTGGCTAATTTTTTTTTTTTGTATTTTTTGTAGAGACAGGGTTTTGCGATGTTGCCCAGGCTCACAATTTGTTTTAGAAATACTATAACAGGGCCGGGCACGGTGGCTCACGCCTGTAATCCCAGCACTTTGGGAGGCCAAGGCAGGTGGATCACCTGAGGTCAGTAGTTCAAGACCAGCCTGGCCAACATAGCGAAACTCCGCCTCTACTAAAAAAATACAAAAAATTAGCTGGGCATAAGGCGAAACGCTGCCTCTACTATGTTGGTTTTTGTTGAGTTTTGCGGGTTTTTTTTTTTTTTTTTTTTTTTTTTTTTTGAGACAGAGTTTCACTCTTGTGGCCCAGGCTGGAGTGCAATGGAGCAATCTCAGCTCACCGCAACCTCCGCCTCCCAGGTTCAAGCGATTCTCCTGCCTCAGCCTCCCAAGTAGCTGGGATTACAGGCATGTGCCACCATGCCCGGCTAATTTTGTACTTTTAGTAGAGACGCGGTTTCTCCATGTTAGTCAGGCTGGTCTCGAACTCCCCACCTCAGCCTCCCAAAGTGCTGGGATTACAGGTGTGAGCCACCAGGCTCGGCCTGGTAATAGAATTCTATAAGGAAAGGTGCTACAACTATCCAGAGAGACCTGGGACCTGTCCTGCAGGTTAGGTATCTAGTTAGATGCTAGTTTCTGAGACAAGGTTCAAATTCAACTTTTGTGTTTCACCAAAATGGTAACATATTATTTAGTTACTTTCTTCACTGCCAGTCCTACCATCACGCACCAGCTCTTGACACCTCTCGTTAGAGACCTCACAAATTCAGTAATGGTGACATATTTAAATCATTCACGCTGGTGGCATTTCTCAATAGGAAGGTGGAAACTAGCAAGCCGAGGGCACAATCCAGGGTTCAGAAAATGAACCAGGTGACCATGTCTGCATGTCTACTGAACTCCTTCACTTAAATCCGGCTACTCTGACCTTCACAAGCAAACCTGGAATATGCAAAAAATACAATTACGCTCACGGTTTATGTACCCTACGAAACAGGGCCCTTCCTTCAAAAAAAAAAAAAAAAAAAAGGCATTCCCAAAGTTGAACCCATTCGCCTAACGTCAATTCTAAAATAAAGAGAAAAACATCTATTTACACCGCTAATGGAATCTAAAGCGTGAATACGATAAAACATCCTTCTCCTTCATTGCCTAACGGGCGCAGAACCCACCAGACCACTCTCCCGCTTCCAGGTTCTACCGCCCCGACGACCGGGCTCGGAGCTCTTGTGCCCTCCGGTCCAGCGGAGCCTCCCTTGTGTCTGTCCAAGTCTGAGGACGAGGCTACGTGCTAAGCACAAGAGCTCCCTTCCTAGTGATGCCACAGAATTGGATCTGAAACAGGAAAACCGCAAGAACAGCCCGCTTACAGCTCCGAAGAGTAGGAGCACAGAGCCGCAACCACGCGCCGGCCCCAGCCTCACAGCTGGCCGCTCCGCGGCGGGACCGGTAATCTACTGCCGCGCCGGGCCCCGCCCCAGGCCCGCGACGGTTCCGGGGCGTTCCTGCCACGGGCGGCGCCTCCCTCATCTCACCGTTGCTTGGTCTTCTTCCCGAGCGAGGCCGCAGCCGCCCCGCGACACTGAAGCCACAGCTTTCAGGCTGCGCGGGCCTGCGATGTCTAGAGCGGGCCTGTCTGCTGGCTATTCCCTGGCAGGCTCTGGCACGCCTCCCCTCCAGTCCCGGGCCCTTACCTAGGCGGCGAAGCCTCCACGGCCCGCTCCTCCTTCTCCTCAGCCTCCGCCACCGACCCAGCGCCGCGGACACCGGAACTTCCTCCGCGCGGGGCCACTGCTACCACAAAGGCGCCGCGCCGCTGCCTTCAGCGCTCGGCCCGCTGGGAGATGAAGTACAGCTGCCGGTCCCGCAGACTCTTACTCCCGCCGTGCCCCGCGCGCAGGGGACTTGCCTTCTGGGGTGGGTCGTAAGAGCACGCTGTCCATCGCCATCCAATAAGAAGGCGCGCTTACCCGCCCTACTCCGCGTGACCTGCTGGGAGTTGTGGTTTGGCCTCTGCCCTGTGACACCTGGTCCTCTTGTGCTTTCCTCTCAGTTGATTGAGGCTTACAGTTTTTTGGTGGCTTGACTTTCCTGAGGTTTGCTCCCTGCCAGCAGCTCGGGTACGGCCCTGGCCTGCCTAGCTCGAGGCCTCCTTATTGTCCGTTAGTGTGAGAGAAATGGAAGGGAGCTTCTTCGGGAGTAAGTTTAAGCCATCTCCAGCTGGTTGGCGGGGCGCGGTGGCTCACGCCTGTAATCCCAGCACTTTGGTAGGCCGCGGCGAGTGGACCACCTGAGGTCAGGAGTTCTAGACCAGCCTGGCCAACATGGTGAAACCCCATCTCTACCAAAAATACAAAAATTACCCGGGCTTGGTGGCAGGTGCCTGTAATCCCAGCTACTCGGGAGGCTGAGGCAGGAGAATCACTTAAACCCGGGAGGCAGAGGCAGAGGTTGCAGTGAGCCGACACTGTGCCACTGCACTCCAGCCTGGACAATAGAGCAAGACTCCACCTCAGAAAAAAAGAAAGAAAGAAAAAGGCCGGGCGCAGTGGCTCATGCTTGTAATCCTAGCACTTTGGGAGGCCGAGGTGGGTGGATCACGAGGTCAGGAGTTCAAGACCAGCCTGGCCAAGATAGTGAAACCCCATCGCTACTAAAAATACAAAAAGTAGCCAGGCGTGGTGGCGCATGCCTGTAATCCCAGCTACTCAGGAGGCTGAGGCAGAGAATTGCTTGAACCCGGGAAGCACAGGTTGCAGTGAGCCGAGATCGCGCCACTGCACTGTTGCCTGGCAACAGCGCAAGACTCCGTCTCAAAAGAAAGAAAGAAAGAAAGAAGTTGGGCGCAGTGGCTCACGACTGTAATCCCAGCACTGTGGGAGGCCGAGGCGGGTGGATCACGAGGTCAGGAGATCAAGACCATCCTGGCTAACACGATGAAACCCTGTCTCTACTAAAAACACAAAAAATTAGTGGAGCGTGGTGGCGGGCACCTGTAGTCCCAGCTACTCAGGAGGCTGAGGCAGGAGAATGACGTGAACCCGGGAGGCGGAGCTTGCAGTGAGTCGAGATAGCGCCACTGCACTCCAGCCTAGGCGACAGAGGGAGACTGTCGCAAAAAAAAAAAAAAATTACCCGGGCTTGGTGGCAGGCGCCTGTAATCCCAGCTACTCGGGAGGCTGAGGCAGGAGAATCACTTAAACCCGGGAGGCAGAGATTGCAGTGAGCCTAGACTGTGTCACTGCACTCCAGCCTGGACAATAGAGCAAGACTCCGTCTCAGAAAAAAGGAAAGAAAGAAAGAGGCCGGGCGCAGTGCCTCACGCTTGTAATCCTAGCACTTTGGGAGGCCGAGGCGGGTGGATCACGAGGTCAGGAGTTCAAGACCAGTCTGGCCAAGATGGTGAAACCCCGTCTCTACTAAAAATACAAAAATTACCCGGGCGTGGTGGCGCATGCCTGTAATCTCAGCTACTCAGGAGGCTGAGGCAGAGAATTGCTTGAACCCGGGAGGCGGATGTTGCCGTGAGCCGAGATCGCGCCACTGCACTCCAGCCTCACAACAGAGCAAGACTCCGTCTCAAAAAAGAAAAAGAAAGAGGTTGGGCGCAGTGGCTCACGCTTGTAATCCCAGCACTTTGGGAGGCCGCGGCGGGCGGATCACGAAGTCAGGAGATCGAGACCATCCTGGCTAACACGGTGAAACCCTGTCTCTACTAAAAATACAAAAAATTAGCCGAGCGTGGCGGCAGCCGCCTGTAGTCCCAGCTACTGGGGAGGCTGAGGCAGGAGAGTGGCATGAACCCGGGAGGCGGAGCTTGCAGTGAGCCGAGATTTGCGCCACTGCACACCAGCCTGGGCGACAGAGCAAGACTCCGTCTGAAAAAAAAGAAAGAAAGAAAAGGGGCTGATGGCCGTGCACCCACAGAAGGCCCTGGCTCCTGGCCCTCCCAGCCCTTCTACCTGAAACCTGACAATAGGTACAACAGAAAAACTTGGATTAGAGAATCAATATGTCATGGAGGCTCATCCCCTTTTCCTTTATCTCCATGCATTTGCTCATAATCTATTCTTTTTCTTTCTTTCTTTCTTTTTTTTAGAGACAAGGTCTCACTATGTTGCCCAGGCTGGTCTCGAACTCCTGAACTAAAGCAATTTCCTTCCCCTCCACTCAGCCCCTTTTCCTTCTGATGAGTTTCCAAATTATGTATTCCCTGCTCAAGAATAGCAGACAGGCTCATGCCTGTAATCCCAGCATTTTGGGAGGCCAAAGTGGGCGGGTCACCTGAGGTCAGGAGTTCAAGACCAGCCTGACCACCATGGTGAAACCTCGTCTCTACTAAAAATACAAAAATTAGCCAGGCACGGTGGCAGGCGCCTGTAATCCCCAGCTGGTCGGGTGGCTGAGGCAGGAGAATCGCTTGAACCCGGGAGGTGGAGGTTGCAGTGAGGTGAGATCACACCAGTGCACTCCAGCCTGGGGGACAGAGCAAGACTCCATCTCAAAAACAAACAAAACAAAAAAAAAAACTTCATCTGTGTTAAAGGTTCAACCCATAAAGGAAAAGCCACCCAGCTTCCACAGGTCTTGCTAGCTCTTGGGCAATAAATCTGGCCAAGACTGACTTGTGCAAGGTCACAGAGGAGCTGGAAGGAAACTGCAAGTCAGCAATCTAGCAGAAAACGGGGCAACACAACTCGATTTGCAGCTCGTTTCCAGCATCTTCAACCTAATGTTCTTCCAACTGCCAGCTTGAAGTTCTTAGGTGTACTGTCTACATTGTTGAAAGACTTGCTAGTCTTGGCCATCTGGTGTTCCTGTCAGTGGGCCCTTAGGGAAGGTAACCTGATTTTATAGCCTAAATTCAACATTATGGGATCAAAAAAGTCTTCTGCAAGAAAAGCCCATTAAACATTCAAAAATAAAGTACACTTAGGCCAGGAATGGAGGCTTACGCCTGTAATCCCAGCACTTTGGGAGGCTGAGGTGGGTGGATCATGAGTTAACAAGTACAAGACCAGCCTGGCCAACATGGTGAAACCCCGTCTCTACTAAAAATTCAAAAATTAGCTAGGCATGGTGGCACACACCTGTAATCCCAGCTACTCGGGAAGCTGAGGCAGGAGAATCACTTGAACCCGGGAGGCAGAGGTTGCAATGAGCCAAGATCGCACCATTGCACTCCAGCTCTGGGCAATTGAGCGAGACTGTCTCAAAGGCTGGGCGTGGTGGCTCACGCCTGTAATCCCAGACTTTGGGAGGCCGAGGCAGGCAGATCACGACGTCAAGAGATCGAGACCATTCTGGCCAACATGGTGAAACCCCGTCTCTACTAAAAATACAAAAATTAGCTGGGCTTGGTGGCGTGTGCCTGTGGTCCCAGCTACTTGGGAGGCTGAGGCAGGAGAATTGCTTGAACCCTGGAGACAGAGGTTGCAGTGAGCTGAGATTGTGCCACTGCACTCCAGCCTGGTGACAGAGACTCCAACTCAAAAAAAGAAAAAAAAAAAGATACACAATCTCTCTGGTGGTGGTAATGCTATGGAGAAAAATAAGGGAGGGAAGGAGAGTGAGGAGTTCTGGTGGGAAGTTGTAACTTTAGAGCAGTGAGGGAAGGCCTCACTGAGCTCTTGGAATAAAGACCCAAAGAAGATGAGAACCAAGCTATTGGGATACCTGGGGAAAGAATGTTCTGAACAGAAAGAATAGCAAGGCCAAAGGCCCTGAGGTATGAGCATGACTAGAATTTTTAAGGATCATTAAGGAGTCTGGAACAGAATTGTTTTGGAGAAGTGTGATGAGACAAGTCAGTCTTGGTCAGAAAGGTGTGGAGGTTGCAGTACAGTGGCACGATCATAGCTCACTACAGCCTCGAACTCCTGGGTTCAAACAATGTGGTTGGATTATTGCAGCAGCCTCCCAACTAGCTGTTCTGCTTCTCCCCTTTCCCACCTTCAGTCTGTTTTCCACACAGCAATCAGAGGAATCCTGTTAACATGGAATTCAGGTTATGATATCTCTCTGTTCAGAGCCCTCTAACAACTTTCCATCTCCCTCCTTACAGAAACCAAATTCAGCAGCCTACAAGACTTGGAAGAAGCCACAATCATGCCACTGTATTTCAGCCTGAGCAACAGAGCAAGACCCCATCTCAAGGAAAAAAAAATTCCAACCACAGAAGGATGGTGCTTGCAGCAGTGTGGCCACAGTAGAAACAGGAGACAGACCTGTTGGACTGGAATGAAGGAAGATAGGGAAGAATTTGGGAGAAACAGTTTTGGTAGGAAGAGCAGGAGCTCAGTTTTGGGTAGGTAGAGTTTTCTAATAACCAGTAGACAAGTGAGATGTGGAGCTGGAAGTCGGTTCCATCAGTCTGGAGTTCAGGATAAAGATCAGGACTAGAGATGCAAATCTGGGAGGTATCAGCATGTTGCTAATATCTAAAGCCACAGGCCTGGATGAGATAACCAAGGGAGTAAAGGAGTAAGCAGAGATGGGAAAGCAAAGTTTAAGCCTTGAACACCTAGGCCACACCAGTGCTAACAGGTTTCAGGGAAGAGGAGGAACAGAACTATGGGTATTTTGGCCAGGTGCGGTGGCTCATGCCTGTAATCCCAGCACTTTGGGAAGGCCAAGGTGGGTGGATCACCTGAGTTCAGGAGTTTGAGACCAGTCTAGCCAACATGGTGAAACCTCATCTCTAATAAAAATGCAAAAATTAGCTGGGCATGGTGGCAGGCACCTGTAATCCCAGCTACTCAGGAGGCTGAGGCAGGAAAATCGCTTGAACCTGGGAGGTGGAGGATGCAGTGAGCCAAGATCACACCACTGCACTCTAGCCTGCGCAACAGAGTGAGACTGTCTAAAAAAAAAAAAAAAAAAAAAAAAAAAGAATTATGGGTATTTTGACTTTGCTTCTCAAACTAGGCCCTAGGCCTTTACTGATGGATCTTTCACTTATCAGATAATACTTTATCCTCTTAAGAGGTATATACCATATTAAGGAACTAATTATTATTGGTTTAGGCCCAATCTCCTTGGGTAATAATAATTGCTACACTTTATCAAACCACGTGCCTGGCATGGTGCTGGCACTTCATCTATGATTTCATTTAATCCTCGTAATAACTATATGACATTATCCCCTGTTTTTTGAGATGGAGTCTCGCTCTGTCACCAGGCTGGAGTGCAGTGGCACAATCTCGGCTCACTGTGACCTCCGCCTCCCCGGCTCAAGCGATTCTTCCATCTTAGCCTCCCGAGTAGCTGGGACAATAGGCACATGCCACCACATCCAGCTAATTTTTGTATTTTTAGTAGAGACAGGGTTTCACTATGTTGGCCAGAATGGTCTTGATCTCTTGACCTCATGACCACCTGCCTCAGCCTCCCAAAGTGCTGGATTACAGGCATGAGCCACTAGCCTGGCCAATATTATCCCCTTTTATAGTTTTTTTTTTTTTTTCCAAGACAGTCTTGCTCTTTCACCCAGGCTGAAGTGCAGTGGCGCGATCTCGGCTCACCGCAACCTCTGCCTCCGCCTCCGCCTCCACCTCCAGGGTTCAAACGATTCTCCTGCCTCAGCCTCCTGAGTAGCTGAGATTACAGGCTCACACCACCATGCTCAGCTAATTTTTTGGTAGTTTTAGTAGAGACGGGGTTTCAGCATCTTGGCCAGGCTGGTCCCGAACTCCTGACCTCAGGTGATCCACCCACCTCGGCTTCCCAAAGTTCTGGGATTATAGGCATGAACCACCACTCCCTGCCTCCCCTTTTATAGTTAAGGAAACCAGAGCCCAGAAAGGTTAAGTAACTTGCCACAGCTGAAAAGTGAAGGCGGAAGAAATGTAACAATTAGACGTCTTGTTCTTCCCCATATTTCTTCTCTTTTCTAGCTTTAGTGAAGATGTCAGAACCTGAGGTGCTGCAAGGTTATAACTCAAGTGTATCCTTGCTGGGTGTGTAGTCTTAATTACTCAGGAGGCTGATGTGGGAGGATGGCTTGGGCCCAGTAGTTCCTGGCCAGTCTGGGCAACATATTGAGACTCTGTCTCAATATAAAAATAAAAACAGTCCAGGCACAGTGGCTCACACCTGTAATCCCAACACTTTGGGAGGCCAAGGTAGGAGGATTGCTTGAGCCCAGGAGTTCCAGACCAGCCTGGGCAACATAAGGAGACGCCATTTCTACAAAAAATTTAAAACTTGCCCAATGTGGTGGCACACACTTGTGGTCCCAGCCACTCGGGAGGCTGAAGTGGGAGGATCACTTAGGCCCAGGAGGTCAAGGCTGCAGTGAGCCACTGCACTACAGCCTGGGTGACAGATTAAGACCCTGACTCAAAAAACAAACAAGGCCGGGCATGGGGGCTCATGCCTGTAATCCCAGCACTTTGGGAGGCCGAGGTGGGTGGATTGCCTGAGGTCGGGAGTTCGAGACCAGCCTGACCAACATGGAGAAACCCCATCTCTACTAAAAATACAAAATTAGCCGGGTGTGGTGGCACATGCCTGTAATCTCAGCTACTTGGGAGGCTAAGGCAGGAAAATCGCCTGAACCCGGGAGAAGGAGGTTGTGGTGAGCCGAGATCGCACCATTGCACTTCAGCCTGGGCAACAAGAGTGAAACACCGTTTCAAAAAAAAAAAAAAAAGTGGATTAAAACAAAGTTTTAAGTAATAACCTAAGATGTTTTAGTAAGTACCCACCATGATTTGCTCTGCGAGAATGTCTTAGGCACAAGTCTTAGCGAGAAATATATGAGATATATGGCCACTTGCTTAGCTAAGTAGATGTAATACTTCCAGATGACAGTAGTACTATCTGGTGGAGCTGATGTGCTTAACAGGAATAGTAAGACTCTGGAAGAAATCCTGAGCTAAACATGGAGACTGTCAAGAACTAGTTAGGTAGAAAACTTTAAATTTGGTCAGGCGCAGTGGCTCACACCTGTAATCCCAGCACTTTGGGAGGCCGAGGTGGGTGGATGCGGATCACAAGGTCAGGAGTTCGAGATCAGCCTGGCCAACATTGGTGAAACCCCGTCTCTACTAAAAATACAAAAATTAGGCTGGACGCAGTGGCTCACGCCTGTAATCCCAGCACTTTGGGAGGCCGAGGCGGGCGGATCACAAGGTCAAGAGATTGAGACCATCCTGGCCAACATGGTGGAACCCCATCTCTACTAAAAATAAAAAAATTAGCTGGGCATGGTGGTGCATGCCTGTAGTCCCAGCTACTTGGGAGGCTGAGGCAGGAGAATCGCTTGAACGTGGGAGGCTAAGGTTGCAGTGAGCCGAGATAGTGCCACTGCACTCCAGACTGGGTGACTGAGCAAGACTTCATCTCAAAAAAACAAAACAAAACAAAAAACTGGCCGGGCGCAGTGGCTCATACCTGTAATCCCAGCACTTTGGGAGGCCGAGATGGATGAATCACGAGGTCAGGAGTTCGAGACCAGTCTGACCAACATGGTGAAACATGTCTCTACTAAAAATACAAAAATCACAAAAATTTGCCGGGCGTGGTGGTACGCACCTGTAATCCCAGCTACTCTGGAGGCTGAGGCAGGAAAATTGCTTGAACGCGGGAGGCGGAGGTTGCAGTGAGCTGAGATCACGTCACTGCACTCCAGCCTGGGCAACAGAGCGAGACTCCGTCTCAAAAAAAAAAAAAAAAAGAAAACTTTAAATTTGTCTTCTGGGCGGGGTGTGGTGGCTCATGCCTGTAATCCCAGCACTTTGGGAGGCTGAGGCGGGTGGATCACGAGGTCAGGAGTTCAAGACCAGCCTGGCCAAGATGGTGAAACCCTGTCTCTACTAAAAATACAAAAATTAGCTGGGCGTGGTGGTAGGTACCTGTAATCCCAGCCACTCGGGAGGCTGAGGCAGAGAACTACTTGAACCCAGAAGGCAGAGGTTGCAGTGAGCTGAGATGGCACCACTGCACTCTAGCCTGGATGATAGAGACTTCATTTGAAAAAAAATAAGTAAATTAAATTAATTTGTCTTCTATGGAGATGAATTCTATAGGGTGTAAATTCAAGTTAATGAAATATAGGCAGGATATTAGCCAGGCATGGTGGCTTATGCCTGTAATCACAGTACTTTGGGAGGCCAAGATGGGAAAATTGCTTGAGGCCAAGAGTTCGATACCAGCCTTGTCAACATAGCATAGTGAAACCACCATCTCTAAAAAAAAAATAAAAAAAGAAAAAGAAAAAGGAAAGGAACATAGCCAGGACATTTCTGTACCAAGCAGAGAATGTTATATCTTGACTTAAACTCTCCTTCCTTCCTTCCTTCCTCCCTCCCTCCCTTCCTTCCTTCTTTCTTAACTTTCTCCTTCTTGTTGTCCATGATCATGGCTCACTTCAGACTTGATCTCCTGGGCTCAAGTAATTCTTCCTGCTTCAGCCTGTGGAGTAATTGGGATTACAAGGCTGTGCCACCAAGCCCAGCTCATGGCTCAAACTCTTATAGTGTAATAATTAGAGAAAACAACTGTATAAATGATTCTTGCCCTAAGGGAGGGAACTTGGACTTCTGAGCTAATGAGGAGATAAAATACTGAGTGATCTGTGGAGACCTGGAGAGACTCTCAGTTAAGGAATAGGGCATTTTCTTATGTCCTTACCTAAAAGTGGGGGACATGGGGGTGAGAAAGCTTCCCTTAGACTATGTGCAAGAACTTGATAGCCTTATGCAAAGCCATCTTCAGTGAAAGGCCACAGCTTTGTCACCATGTCAGTCACAGGCCAGTGTTGTGGAAGCAGGCTACAAGTGGCAGCCATCTGAGACTGGAAGAAAAGCCCAGGGGCGGAGCTCTACCCTAACTCCAGTGTAGGGCTTAGAGAGGAAAAGGACACTGCCCCCAGGTGCTTGTGGAGCAGCAGGGAAAGTCAGAGGAGTGATCTGACTTTTTTTTTCATCCTATTAACTTTTGGGAGAATTAACCATAAGGCTGTAAAGTGAATTAATTGCTTCAGAAAAGAACATGAGCAGTGGTGCCAAACACTAATTTTACTTTTTAAAACCATCTCTAAAAATAAGGGTCTTTTGGGAGAGCCTGTTGTTGACTGTTTTCCTGTTGTTTTTATTGCTTTGCGTCTAGGAAATTACAAACAATGATTCTTTGCAATGGTAAATCACCTGGGGAGCTTTTAAAACAATAGTGATGCCTGGCTCCCCAACACTCCACCCTACTCTAAATTCAATTAAATCAAAATCTCTAGGGCTGGTGTCCAGGCATTAGTTTTTTTGTTGTTGTTTTTGAGACAGGGTCTCGCTCTGGTGCTCAGGCTGGAGTGCAGGGCATGATCATGGCTCACAGCAACCTCGACCTCCTGGAATCCCACTTCAGCCTCCCGAGTATCTGGGACTACAGGCACACGCCATCAAGCCTGGCTAGTTTTTGTATTTTTAGTAGAGATGGGGTTTCACCATGTTGGCCAGGCTGGTCTGGAACTCCTGACCTCAAGTGATCCGCCCACCTCGGTCTCCCAAGTGTTGGGATTACAGGCGTGAGCCGCCTCGCCCGTCCTAGTTCTTTTTTTTTTTTTTTAAAGCTTCCCGGCTTATTCTATGTGCCGTCAGAGTTGAGAACTACCGTTCTAGAGCATTATACTGATACATTAAAACGTGGCTACAAATATGTTTTTAGAAACAATTAGTGCGACTTTTGCGCATGCCCACATCCTTTACAGCCTGTGTGGCTGGGCCCACTAATGACATTTATCCAGTCCCCCAAACTTGCACTGTCCTTCCACAATCAGTGGGAGAAACAATCCTAACGTCCCTTTCTCTCACTTGAAATGAACTGCTAGCTGGCTCGGACGGAGAGGCCCAGAGTCCAGGGCTGTTCTGTGTGGGACTCTAGACTCGGAGGAGGCGCCCAGGCCCCTAGAAGGCGGCGCCGGATGAGGCAATCGCGGACCCGGGTCAGGACCTGCCCACGGCTCTGCTGGGACTAGGAGCCCAGAACCAGTCCCTCGGCGCCGCAGGCGGCCAAACGCTAAGGACTACATTTCCCACAATGCACCCCGGGGGCGGGCCGAGTCGGGCTGAGCGGCTGGAGCTGGGCCTTGGCCGCGAGAGGCCGGCGAAAGCTATCTTCCTGCACCGGCGGCCGGGTGAGGGCGGTGGGAGGGAGCGGTGCCTGCGCTGTGGCCATGTCTGTGTACGCAGGGGGCCGGGGCCCCGCGAAGCTGTGCCCTCAGGCCGGCCCCGGCCGGACACCCTTACCCCTCCATGGGTCCGGCAGAGGGCAGTGACCGGCACCTTCTGTGCGTCCTGGACTCCTCTGAGAAACAGGTGAGTTGACTGCCAGCCCACGTGGCCTGGAGGCACCTAGAGACTGGAGAGCTGTCATCTTTGGAGGGAGGGGCTTGAAGACGGGGGCCTCCAGCCATCAACGCTATCGTTTGCAATGGGAAGACTGTGTCTCCCTGCGGTCCCTCAGCCGGCTAGTCCCCAGCTGGGGAATACAAAAGGCGAGATCTGGAACCCATCCTTTGGCTGGGAGGGCGAGATCCGGTAGGGGGCAGTGGCCAGGTAGGACTCTCCCCACTCCCCCACCCCCGCCCCGCCAACAAACGTACACATATTCGGCCGGTAGAGTCTTCTCAAAAAGCAACAGAGGTAACTGGGATGAGCGGGGCAGCACCTGGAAGGGGCTTGGGTCTTTGCTTTGTTGTTTTTAGACGGAGTTTCACTCTTGTTGCCCAGTCTGGAGTGCAGTGGTGTGATCTCAGCTCTCTGCAACCTCCGCCTCCCAGGTTCAAGCGATTCTCCTGCCTCAGCCTCCCGAGTAGCTGGGATTACAGGCATGCGCCACCACGCCCAGCTAATTTTTTGTATTTTTGTATTTTTTTAGTAGAGACGGGGTTTCACCATGTTGGCCAGGCTCGTCTTGAACTCCTGACCTCAGGTGATCTGCCTGCCTCAGCTTCCCAAAGTGCTGGGATTACAGGCATGAGCCACTGCGCCTGGCCGGACTTTGCACCAGTTTGCCTGGTGCAACTGGGTTGTCCCTTGTACTGGGTGAGCCACCCTTTCTGGGCACAAGTTTGCAGAGGGAGAGTGAGCACCCTTTGTCAGGGAGGGAAGTAACCGCCAGAAGTGACAAGGACCAGACTGTGATCTCAGCATGGAGTAGGCATCCTGCTGAAGCAGCCATAGCACAGCCTCACCTGGGCCTTGTCTGCCACACATCCTGTATCCTGGCACCTCCTTTCCAGACAGGCCGCTCCAAAGGGTTAAGGTGAAATGAAGTGCTATCCAAGCAAGAAGAGGGAGCAGGAGTGGTAGGGAGTCAGTAGGGAGGGGCTTCTGAAGGCCTTCTCTGCTCCAAGGCTGCCTGAGTGAGAGAGGCACACTACAAGGGCTGATTGAGCCAACTTGTTTGGTGACATTGCTCACAGGCATAGCAGGGCACTTCTAGGAAAAGCAAGGCCTGGGGCTTCTAGAGGGGTTGTCTGAGAAGGGTTCCCTGAGAAGGGGCATCTGGGGCTGGTTCTAAGAGACCTCCTTTGCCTAACTTCTTCAATTCTAGCCTCCCAGGAGCTTCAGTTGCACAGTTGTGGCTCCAATGGGGGTTGGGGTGGATTTTGCTGTGATTCACTCAGCCTCCCTGTCTGAGTTTCCAGAGTAAGTATTCAGAGAGCTGTTTGCTTCATCAGGCCTCTGGCTGGACCCCAGACTGACCTAGGAGATGCTGAGATACTGTATGATCTCAGGTGGCAGGAGAACTATTGTGAAGGAAGCATCCACTAGCTCTGGCCAGCTGATCTGGCCCCCGCCAACCCTTCCCCATGCAGGTACCGTGCTGGGTACCACTCAGCCACACTGGGCTTAGTCAGCTAAAGCCCACAAGGGATCAGTGGAGAGTGGGCCCTGAGGACAGAATAAGTAAGCTATTGTAGACCTTGTTTGGGTCTTTGAACCAAAAGTGCAACGTCACAGAGCAGTGGCATGTGGCAGACCAAGGAGTTTTTTGTTTTTTTTTGTTGTTTTTTTTTTTGAGACAGAGTTTCAATCTTTTGCCCAGGCTGGAGTGCAATGGCGCGATATCAGCTCACTGCAACCTCTGCCCCCTGGGTTCAAGTGATTCTCCTGCCTCAGCCTCCTGAGTAGCTGGGATTATAGGCGCCTGCCACCATACCTGGCTAATTAAGGAGTTTAATTTAGGAGATACTTCCAAGAGCAGCAGAGAGCCCGTTGTCTATTCCTGCAACTCCAGAGCCAGTGAACAACCAGTTAGCCTGGAGGAACTCCCAGCTGTCTATAAGACAGCTCTTTGACCTGACTCCCAACTGTCTATATGATAGCCCTAGCCTGAAGGTGAGTCGCTTCAGGCTAGGGCCCACCTGGCTTTGCAAGGTCAGAAGCGTATTTGCCCATATGCCACTGTAGGCTGAGCAAAATCTCAGAGGCCCGATTTACATGGCACAGACCACTGGATTCATGTGGTATTATAAGTGCAGTCACACATGGACTGAATGCTAAGTAAGAATAATCAGGATGTGCTAATGGGAGCAACTGAGTATGTAATCAAATTACATGGATTATTTCATTTAATCTTCCCACAACCCAAGGAATCAATACTACTATCCCATTTTATAAATGAGAAAACTGAGACCAGGCCAGGTTAATCCAGGTCCCTCTAACTTCGGAGCCATTGTTCCTGAACACCTGAGTAGTACCAGTGATAAGTCTTCCCCACAGGCAGGGGTTTCCAGAGGCCACATCACAGGTGTGACAGAGCTGGGCATTCTTCAGAGATCTTTCAGTTTTCCCTTCCATTTTTCTTTTTTAATTGCCTGAGGGATAAAAACACAAGTTCAGCTGGGCGCGGTGGCTCATGCCTGTAATCCCAGCACTTTGGGAGGCCGAGGCCGGTGGATCACCTGAGGTCAGGAGTTTGGGACCAGCCTGGCCAACATGATGAAACCCCATCTCTACTAAAAATACAAAAATTGGATGGGCATGGTGGTACACACCTGTAATCCCAGCTACTCGGGAGGCTGAGGCACAAGAATTGCTTGAACCCAGGAGGCAGAGGTTGCAGTGAGCCAAGATCATGCCACTGCACTCCAGCCTGGGCGACAGAATGAGACTCCATCTCAAAAAAAAAAAAAATCTCCCTCCCAAAGATGTCTGTTGGCTGGATGTGGTGGCTCACACCTGTAATCCCAGCACTTTGGGAGCCCTAGGAGGGAGGATCTTCAGTTCAGGAGTTTGAGAACAGCCTGGACAACATACTGAGACCCCATCTCTACAAAAATAAAAATTAAAAAATTAGCCAGGCGTGGTGGCACGTGCCTGTAGTCTCAGGTACTCAGGAGGCTGAGGTGGAAGGATCATTTGAGCCTGAGAGGCCAGGGCTACAGTTAGCTGTGATTGCATCACTGCACTCCAGCCTGGGTGACAGAGTGAGATTCTGTCTCAAAAAAAATAGAACTCCTCCCGCATGTGGCTTAAAGCCATACTGAAATTTGTGGTAGGTCACAGGGTAACCTTCAATCCAGAGAAATAAAGCAGGGCAAGAGGGGTAAGGAGCAGGGATATTGATAAGGTAATGCTTGAGCAGCAACCTGAAGGGAGTGAGGGACTGAGTCACATAGATAACTAGCCCAGGCAATGGAGTAGGTGAAGTGGGGTGCAGGGGGAAAGTTCAGCAACGGCAAAGTTCTAAAGTTAAAGAGTGCCCAGGAGGCTTAAGGAAAGCCAGGAGGCCACTATGGCTGGGCTGAATCACAGTTAGTGGGGAAAAAGGATAAGAGATGAGGTCAAAGAAGTAATGGGGAAGGAGTTATGTTGAGTGGGGCCTTGTGCACCACTGTGAGGAAATTGGCTTTCTCACTGAGTAAGGTGGGACCATTACAGAGTTGTGAGCAGAGGAACTGCATGACCTGAGTTCTGTATCAAGAGAATCACTTTGCTGTAAGAAGCACAGATTATGCAGGGACAAGGGCAAAAGAGGGGAGACTAGATAGGAGATTACTGCAACAATCTCCTAGAGAGACACTGGTGGCTTTGACCACAGTGGTAGCTGTGGAGGTGACAAGTGGTCAGATTCTGGATATAGGCATTTCCCACTTAACATCAGTAATCTGTTTCATGAAAATTGGACATTCTGTGTGAAATCTTCAACTTAATATATTTTCCATTGATTGATTGATTGAGACAGGGTCTTGCTGTGTTGCCCAGGCTGGAGTACAGTGGCACAATCACGGCTCACTGCAGCCTTGACCTCCTGTACTCAAGCGATCCTCCCACCTCAGCCTCTTAAGTAGGTGGGACTACAGGCATGAGCTGCCCCACCCAGCTGATTTTTTATTTTGTAGAGACAGGGTCTCACTATGTCAGCCAGGCTGGCACTCAGTAATTTTCTATCAGTTCTATTTGGAATATAATTTGAAGCTTTAAATGCACATTACTTTGTTAAAAATATAGATAAGATTTTAATGATGTAAATATACATATTTTCTGTATAAACATACACTGGGCCAGGTGTGGTGGCTCACACCTGTAATCCCAGTACTTTGAGAGGCTGAGGCAGGCAGATCACTTGAGTCAAGGAGTTTGAGAGCAGCTTGGGCAACATAAGGAGACCCTGTCTCTACAAAAAATTAAAAAATTAGCCAGGCATGGTGGCACATGCCTGTGGTCCCAGCTACTTGGGAGGCTGAGGTGGGAGGATCACTTGGGCCTGGGAGGTTGAGGCTACAGTGAACCATGATCACACTATTGCACTTCGGCCTGGGTGGCAGAGTGAGACCCTGTCTCAATAGATAAATAAATAAACATAAGCTGAATCAACATAAGTTTGGTATATTAGTTAACTATTGCTGTGTAACAAATTATGCCAAAACTTAGCAGCTTAAAACAACAATATTTATTATCTCATACAGTTCTTGTGGGTCAAGAATTTGGGAGTGGCTTAGCTGGATGGCTCAAGCTCAGGGTCTCTTATTACGTTGAAGTCATCTGAAGGTTTGACTGGGCCTAGATGATCTGCTTCCGAGATGACTCACTCATGACTAGCAAGTTGGTACTGGCTGTTCACAGGAGGTCTCAGTCCCTTGCCATGAAGTTCTCTCCATAGAGCTGCTTACATGTCCTTACAACATGGCTGATGGCTTTCCCTAGAGGGAATGATCCAAGAGAACAAGGCAGAAGCCACAATGTCTTTTATGACCTAGCCTCAGAAGTCACACATTGTTTTTTCATTTTTTTTTGAGACAGGGTCTGCTCTGGCACCCAAGCTGGAGTGCAGCAGTGCGATCTCAGCTCACTGCAACCTCTGCCTCCCCCCGGGTTCAAGTGATTCTCATACCTTAGCCTCCCAAGCAGTTGGGATTACAGGCGCCCGTCATGACACCTAGGTAATTTTTGTATTTTTAGTAGAGATGGGGTTTCACCATGTTGTCCAGGCTGGTCTCAAACTCCTGACCTCAAGTGATCAGCCCATCCTGGCCTCCCAAAGTGCTGGGATTACAGGCATAAGCCACTGTCCCCAGCCACACATTGTTATTTACACAGTGTCCTATTGGTTGCATAGGTCAGCCCTGCTCAGTGTGGAAAGGGAGTATGCAAAGTCGCATAGCAGGAGTTGAGGATTACTAGAGACCATCTTGAAGGCTGACAACCAAGCTGGATATTAAAAACAAAAAGGCATTCTATGGTGAAAATGTTAACTAGAGACATTTTGCTGGATGTGCCTGTATTCTGAAATAGAGCTAACAGGATTTGCTGATGGTTTGGTATATGAGGTGTGGGGAAAAAAAGAGAGGCGTAAGGGATGACTCCAAGGTTTTTTGTTTTTTTTTTTTCCTATGAGACAGAGTCTCGCTCTGCCACCCAGCCTGGAGTACAACGACACGATTTTGGCTCACTGCAACCTCTGCCTCTCCAGTTCAAGCAATTCTCCTGTCTCAGCTTCCTGAGTAGCTGGAACTACAGGCACGTGCCACCATGCCCGGCTAATTTTTTGTATTTTTAGTAGAGACAGGGTTTCACCGTGTTAGCCAGCAAGGTCTCGATCTCCTGACCTCATGATCTGCCTGCGTCGGCCTCCCAAAGTGCTGGGATTACAGGTGTGAGAAACCGTGCCCGGCCGACTCCAAGGTTTTTCACCAAACAACTGAAAGAATGAGATTGTCTTTCTTGGCCAGGTGAGGTGGCTCACACCTGTAATCCCAGCACTTTGGGAGGCCAAGGTGGGCAGATCACAAGGTCAGGGGTTTGAGACTAGCCTGGCCAACATGGTGAAACCCTGTCTCTACTAAAAATACAAAAATTAGCCAATGTGGTGGCACACGCCTGTAGTCCCAGCTACTCGGGAGGCTGAGGCATGAGAATCGCTTGAACCTGGGAGGTGGAGCTGAGATTGCGCTGTTGCACTCCAGCCTAGGCAACAGAGCAAGACTGTCTCAAAAAAAAAAAAAAAAGAGCTTGTCTTTCTTTCGTTCTTCCCTTCCTTTCTTTCTTTCTTTCCTTCCTTTCTTCCTTTCCTTCCTTTCCCTCCTTCCCCTCCTTCCCCTTCCTTCCTTCCTCCCTTCCCTCCCTCCCTCCCTCCCTTCCTTCCCTCCCAGAGTCTCGCTGTGTCACCCAGGGTGGAGTGCGGTGGCGCGATCTCAACCTCCACCTCCCGGGTTCAAGGGATTCTCCTGCCTCAGCCTCCCGGGGTAGCTGGAATTACAGGCATGCGCCACCACACCCGGCTAATTTTTTGTATTTTTCATAGAGATGGGGTTTCACCGTGTTAGCCAGCATGGTCTCGATCGCCTGACCTCATGATCTGCCTGCCTCGGCCTCCCAAAGTGCTGGGATTACAAAGTGTGAGAAACCGTGCCCGGCTGACTCCACGGTTTTTCACCAAACAACTGAAAGGATGAGATTGTCTTTCTTGGCCAGGTGTGGTGGCTCACACCTGTAATCCCAGCACTTTGGGAGGCCAAGGCAGGCGGATCACCAGGTCAGGGGTTTGAGACCAGCCTGGCTAACATGGTGAAACCCTGTCTCTACTAAAAATACAAAAATTAGCCTGTGTGGTGGCACACGCCTGTAGTCCCAGCTACTTAGGAGGCTGAGGCACGAGAATTGCCTGAACCCAGGAGGTGGAGCTGAGATCGCACTGTTGCGGTGAGCTGAGATCGCGCCATTGCACTCCAGCCTGGGCAACAGAGCAAGACTGTCTCAAAAAAAAAAAAAAGAAATTGTCTTTTTTTCTTTCGTTCTTTCCTTCTTTCCTGGCTTCTTTCCTTTCTTCTTTTCCTTCCTTTCTTCCTTTCCTTCCTTTCCCTCCTTCCCCTTCCTTGCTTCCTTCCTTCTTTCCTTCCTTCCCTCCTTCCTTCCCTCCTTCTTTCCCTCCCTCCCTCCCTCCCTCCTTCCTTCTCTCCCTCCCTCCTTCCCTCCTTCCTTCCTTCCTTCCTCCCTTTACAGAGTCTCGCTCTGTCACCCAGGGTGGAGTGTGGTGGCACGATCTCAACCTCCGCCTCCTGGGTTCAAGCTGGAGTGCGGTGGTGCGATCTCAACTCTGCCTCCCAGGTTCAAGCGATTCTCCTGCCTCAGCCTCCCGGGGTAGCTGGGATTACAGGCATATGCCACCACACCTGGCTAATTTTTTTATTTTTAATAGAGACGGGGTTTCACTGTGTTAGCCAGGATGGTTTCGATCTCCTGACCTTGTGATCTGCCCACCTCGGCCTCCCAAAGTGCTGGGATTATAGGCGTGAGCCACTGCTCCCGGCCGTCTTTCTTTCTTTCTTTTTTTTTTTTTGAGACAGAGCTTTGCTCTTATTGCCCAGGCTGGAGTGCAATGGCGTGATCGTGGCTCACTGCAACCTCTGCCTCATGGGTTCAAGTGATTCTCCTGCCTCAGCCTCCCAAGTAGCTGGGATTACAGGCATGCACCACCACACTTGGCTAATTTTGTATTTTTAGTAGAGATGGGGTTTCACCATGTTGGCCAGGCTGGTCTTGAACTCCTGACTTCAGGTGATCCACCCACCTCGGCCTCCCAAAGTGCTGGGATTACAGGCATGAGCCACTATGCCCAGCCATGAAATTGTCTTTTACTGAGATGGTGAAAACTCTGGGAGAAGTGGTAAGTGCCTGTAGTCCCTGCTACTCGGGAGGCTGAGGCAGGAAGTTCACTTGAGCCCAGGAATTTGAGGCTGTAGTGCATGGTGGGGTGGTGATTACACCTGTGAATAGCCACTGCACTCCAGACTTGGTGACAGAGCAAGACCCCATCTCTTAAAAAAAAAAAAAAAAAAGTGCTACCACGCCCGGCTAATTTTTTGTATTTTTGGTAGAGATGGGTTTCCCGTGTTAGCCAGAGTGGTCTCGATATCCTGACCTGGTGATCCGCCCACCTCAGCCTCCCAAAGTGCTGGGATTACAGGCGTGAGCCACTGCACCCGGCCTTTTTTTCTTTTTAAAGACAGGTTCTCTACCAGCCAGGCGTGGTGGCTCAGGCCTGTAATCCCAGCACTTTGGGAGGCTGAGGCAGGCGGATCATGAGGTCAGGAGGTTGAGACCATCTTGGCTAACACGGTGAAACCTCGTCTCTACTAAAAAATACAAAAAATTAGCCGGGTGTGGTGGCAGGCGTCTGTAGTCCCAGCTACTCGTGAGGCTGAGACAAGAGAATGGCATGAACCCAGGAGGTGGAGCTTGCAGTGAGCTGAGATCGCGCCACTGCACTCCAGTCCAGGCGACAGAGCGAGACTCCATCTCAAAAAAAGAAAAAAAAAAGGAGACAGGGTCTCACTCTTATTGCCGAGGCTGGAGTGCAGTGGCACGATCTTGGCTCATTGCAAGCTCTACCTCCCGGGTTCCTGTGATCCTCCCACCTTAGCCTCCTGAGTAACTGGGACCACAGACACGTGCCACCACGCCTGGCTAATTTTTGTATTTTTGTAGAGGCAGGGTTTGCCATATTGCCCAGGCTGGTCTTGAACTCCTGGGCTCAAGTAATCTGCTTGCTTTGGCCTCCCAAAGTGCTAGGATTACAGGTGTAAGCCACCATACCCAGCTAGGAGCAACTTTTTAAGGAGATGACCTTTTTTTTTTTTGATGCAGAATCTGGCTCTGCTACCCAGGCTAGAGTGCAGTGGCACGATCTTGGCTCACTGCAACCTCCGCCTCCCACATTCAAACAATTCTCCTGCCTCAGCCTCCTGAGTAGCTGGGATTACAGGCGTGTGCCACCACACCCAGCTAATTTTCATATTTTTAGTAAAGATGGGGTTTCACCAGGTTAGCCAGGCTGGTCTCAAACTTCTGACCTCGTGATCCACCCTCCTCGGCCTCCCAAAGTGCTGGGATTACAGGTGAGAGCCACCACGCCTGGCCAGGAGATGGCCTTTTTAAGGAGTTCAGTTTGAGGCATATAACCTTGAGATAACATGAAGTAGACAGTTAAATGTGTGTGCCTCTTTAAGTCAGAAAAGATATTGGGGCTGGAGATTAAAAAAAAGTATTAATATGTAGAGGGAATTTAAAACTATGAGACCAAATGAGATCACCAAGGGATTGAGTGAAGACAGAGAAGAGGTCCAAAGACTGAATTCTGTGCCCCTTTACAGTAAGAACTGCAAAAAGGACTCAGAAGGAGTAGTCCATGAGGTCAGAAGAGAGCCAAGAAAGGAGTGGTATGCCATAAAAGAGGAGAAAATGTTTCAAGAGAGAGGAAATAACCAAATTATCTATTGTTTATGGGTGAAGTAAGATGATCCTGGAGGTCGTTGGTGACCTTGATGGGAGCAGTGTTGATGGAGTAATGGAGGTGAGATTCTGTTCAGAACTGGTTTAGAGAGAATGGGAGAAATGGAGAGGCTACGGCAGAGACAATTCCTGCTTTCCAGATATCCGTGAGCTCCATATATTTCCCAGTCCCTCTGGCCACATCACTGGTTCTGGCCAATGTGAGCTACGAAGTATTTAAGAGCTGGTACATGATCCTCCATCTCTGTCTTCCCTTGCCAGGTGATGTGGAAGGCATGTGTTCCGAATGGCTTCTATAGGGTGCTAGTGGCTTGGATTCCTGAATCACTGCTTGGAAGGGAGCTACTCTGAATTGCTACCAGTCCCACAGTAGATTTTATGTGAGCAAAAAATAGGTCTTTGGGGCTGGGTGCGGTGGCTCATGCCTGTACTCCCAGCACTTTGGATCCGTGAAGGTGGGCGGATCACCTGAGGTCAGGATCACCTGAGACCAGCCTGGCCAACATAGTGAAACCCCGTCTCTACTAAAAATACAAAAATTAGCCAGGTGTGGTGGTGGGCGTCTGTAATCCCAGCTGCTCGGGAGGCTGAGGGAGGAGCATCGCTTGAACCCAGGAGTCAGAGGTTGCAGTGAGCGGAGATGGCGCTGCTGCACTCCAGCCTGGGTGACAGAGTGAGACTCCGTCTCAAAAAATAAAAAAAGATCTTTGGGTGTAAAACCTGTAGCATTTGGCATCCATTTTTTACACAGAATAGTCTAGCCTACCTGACTAATGCAAACTCCAAATATTATTTGCCATTTTGAGGGGGTTTGTTTGTTTTTTTATAAAGGGCAACAGAAAAATGGGTTGATAGCTAGTGGGGAATGTAGAGTTAAGGGGAAGTTTGTTTTGTTTTAACTTTGAAGTAAAACAAACATATAGAAAAGTTCACAAATCATAAGTATAGCCCAGTGAATTATTACAAAGCGAACACCCCCAAAATTGTTTGGTTTTTGTTTTTGAGACAGGATCTCACTCCCTTTACCCAGGCTGGAGTGCAGTGGTGTGATCACCACTCACTGCAGCCTGGACCTCCTGGGATCAGGTGATTCTCCCACTTCAGCTTCCCAAGTAGCTGGGACTGTAGGTGCATGCCACCACACCTGGTTAATCTTTTGTACTTTTTGTAGAGATGGGGTTTTACCATGTTGCCTAAGCTGGTCTCAAACTCCTAGGCTCAAGTGGTTTGCCCACCTAGGCCTCCCAAAGTACTAGGATGACAGGCATGAGCCACCAAGCCCTGCTGGGAGGGGGTTTTGAAGACAAGAAATATCACCATATTGGTAATGGATAAGGGAGAAGGGGAAACTGATGAGGAGGGACAGCTGCTGAAGCCATGTACCTGAGTAGGTGAGAGGGGCTGGGCTCTGGTGTACACATGGAGGAGTTAGCCTCTATGGAGCATGAACAGCTCATCTTTAGTAAGAAGAGGGGGCCAGGCACGGTGGCTCATGCCTGTAATCCCAGCACTTTGGGGGACTGAGGCGGGTGGATCATTTGAGGTCAGGAGTTTGAGACCAGCCTGGCCAACATGGTAAAACCCCGTCTCTACTAAAAATACAAACATTATCCGGGCGAAGTGGTGGGTGCTTGTAATCCCAGCTACCTGGGAGGCTGAGGCAGGAGAATCGCTTGAATCTGGGAGGTGGAGGTTTTGGTGAGCCAAGATCGTGCTCCTGCACTCCAGTCTGGGCCACAGAGTGAGACTCTGTCTCAAAAAAAAAAAAGAGGGAAGGCCTATTCTGGCAGATGAGGTAAGCTCGTGGTGGTAATCTCCGGAAGTTCTTTTTTTTTGTTCTTTTTTTTTGAGACAGAGTTTCGCTCTTGTTGCCCAGGCTGGAGTGCAGTGGCATGATCTCGGCTCACTGCAACCTCTGCCTCCCAGGTACAAGCAATTCTTCTGTCTCAGCCTCCCAAGTAGCTTGGATTACAAGCACGTGCCACCACACCTGGCTAATTTTTTTTTATTTAGTAGAGATGGGGTTTCACCATGTTAGTCAGGCTGGTTGCGAACTCCTGACCTCAGGTGATCCACCCACTTTGGCTTCCCAAAGTGCTGGGATTACAGGTGTGTGCCACCGCGCCTGGCCTTCTTGTTTTTTTTGAGACGCAATTTTGGTTTTGTTGCCTGGGCTGGAGTGTAATCTCGGCTCACCACAACTTCCGCCTCCCGGGTTCAAGTGATTGACCTGCCTCAGCCTCCTGAGTAGCTGGGATTATAAGCATGCTCTACCATGCCTGGCTAATTTTTTGTATTTTTAGTAGAGACAGGGTTTCTTCATGTTGGTCAGGCTGTTCTCAAACTCCCGACCTCAGGTGATCTGCCCGCCTCGGCTTCCCAAAGTGCTGGGATTACAGGCGTGAGCCACCACACTCGCCCCGGAAGTTCTCTTCTAACGACTTCTGTCTTCTCGGTGAAATGGAAGGCAAGGTCATTTGCTGATAGTGCTGAGTATGACCATCAGGGAAGGAGATGATGGATGTTTGAAGAGAGAAAAGGTGTGAAGTTGACTAGAGGAGTAGGAAAGTGAGGAGACATAGAAATGTAGGGCATTCCGGCCAGGCGTGGTGGCTTACGCCTGTAATCCCAGCACTTTGGGAGGCTGAGGCGGGTGGATCACCAGGTCAGGAGATCGAGACCATCCTGGCTAACACAGTGAAACCCCGTCTCTACTAAAAATACAAAAAGAAATTAGCTGGGCGTGGTGGCGGGCGCCTATAGTCCCAGCTACTCGGGATGCTGAGGCAGGAGAATGGCATAAACTGGGGAGGCAGAGCTTGCAGTGAGCCAAGATAGCGCCACTGCACTCCAGCCTGGGCGACAGAGCCAGACTCCGTCTCAAAGAAGAAAAGAAAAGAAAAGAAAAGAAATGTAGGGCATTCCAGGCCGGGTGCTGGCTCACAGCTGTAATCCCAGGACTGTGGGAGGCCAAGGCAGGCAGATTGCTTGAGCCCAGGTATTGGAGACCAGCCTGAGCAACATGGCAAAACCCTAATTCTACCAAAAAATACAAAAATTATCCACGCATGGTGGCTCACGCCTGTGTTCCCAGCGACTCAGGAGGCTGAGGTAGGAGGATCGCTTGAGCCCAGATAGGCCTGGAAGCCCTGGCCACAACCCTGGTACTGTCAGGAGCAGCTTACTCTTGGCCTGCACTTGGGCAGACTCATCTCTCAGAGCCCACTCTGGCTTTTAGGATAGCTTTGGAATTACTGGTCTATGAGATTTACGTGGCCTGTGTGTTCTTGCGCAAGACTTAGACATGCCCTAGTTTCCTTGGCATTCAGCATCCTGGGCCTTGTGGTGTTGTGGTGGTTGTTTTGGATTGCTCCTCTTAGTCTCAGTCTCAGAGGGGACCTCTGTGGATGCTACCGCAGGTTCCTGTTGAGGGCATGCAGCCTCTTAGTTCCTCTGGCCCACTGTCTGACAAGGCAGCCTGCGCCTTTTCCTTCTGGGCTCTGACTCTTGCTGGGAACCATTACTCTTGATTGTCCTGATGGATGGGACTGGGGGCCTAGAAAATCCCCAGATTATCTCCCCAACCTTCTTTCTTTGGTTTTATTCTGTGTGGGGTGATGCTGTTGGCAGTGGTGCCCAACCCTCCATGTGCTCTGCGGTCCTTCAGGCTCAGTGCAGGAGTGGCCACCAGGCCAGCTGTCAGGATACAGGCTCTGCTTCCCTATCTGTTTGCACGTGGAGCTTCTGCAAAAGATTCAATTAAAGAAAGAATTACATAGCTTAAAGGTGACAAAAAGAAGAGGTTGAAAATTAGTTCTTTGGGCACACACATAGGAGCTGCCTGACTGGAGCTATGCCAGGTCCAGAGAGAATGTTCTTGGACACAGACTGGCTGATGCCACACAAATGCTACTGATGGTGATGCTATCTGTTTGGGACCACCCTTTTCATGAACTTTTTTGAACACCTACTTTATGCCATGCTTCCAGGGAAGAGTCATTTGCCCAAGGTTACACAGCTAGGAGGGGACAAGAGCTCAGTTATTCCCACCAGACTCTGTGTTCTGGGATGCAGGCTCAGGTCTACTTTGCTCACACTAACACCAGTGCCTCCTGGGCCCCTGGCCTGCCTGCAGTGTTTGCTCCATGAGTCTCTGCCCTTCTAGTCCATCCAGCTAGATCCCTCTTTCTTAAAGGATTGGTACCTGGAATGGATCCCCTCTTGGGTGAACTGTATGTTGCCTGACAAGTGAGGATCCTTCAGCCTGCCATTGAAGGACCCTAGAGGCCAAATAAGCCTTGCTACCAGCCTCGGTGAGCCACCCAGCTAGCTCTGTTACCACTGACATTCACTTGTGGCCACCTCCACCTGGGCCTGGGGCTGTGGAAGGACAAGGAGATCCGGCTGAATCTATCCTGGCCATTACATGGGCACTGAGAGTTGACATGTCTATAGTTGTTTTTAATTGTTAAGACAACTCCTTGTGCCAAATTCAAAAGGTACAAAAGGATATTTAGAGAAAAGCAGGGCTGCAGCCTGAAGACAAGCCTGTTGCCTGTGTCTCACTTTTTTATCTGCAAACACCTAGATATCCAAAAAGAACTATTGGTCAACTTAGTTAATTTTTATTTTTATTTATTTTTAGTTTTAGTTTTTTGAGACAGGGTCTCACTCTGTTGCCTAAACTGGAGTGCAGTGTTGTAGTCACAGCTTACTGCAGCCTTGACTTGCTGGGTTTATGTGATCCTCTCATGTTAGTCTCTCTAGTAGCTGGGATTACAGGCACATGCCACCATGCCTGGCTAGTTTTTAAAATTTTTTGTAGAGACAGGGTCTCACTTTGTTGCCCCAGCTAGTGAACTACTGAGCTCAAGTGATCCTCCCTCTTTGGCCTCCAATCTTTGCTAAGATTACAGGAGTGAGCCACTGGATACAGGATACAGAGTTGTTTCAACTCCCAGATCCAAATCCAGCACTTCTTTCCTGTAGTAACATTGGGCAAGCTCCTTAAGCTCTCTCAGTATCAGTTCTTTCATCTATAAAGCTAGCCTGACAGGAACACATGCCTCATAGAGGCGTGATCAAGATTAGGTAACTTAATCCACAGAAACCTCTTAGCATGATACGCTGACACTGAATAACTGTTAGCTGCTGCTATCAGTTTGTTTAATTATTTACATTTTATGTACATTTTCTAAAAGACCAGGCTGGGCATGGTGGCTCATGCCTGTAATTCCAACATTTTGGGAGGCTGAAGTGGGAGGATTGCTTGAGCCTAGTAGTTTGAGACCAGCCAGGGCAACATGAAAAGACCTTGTCTCTATAAAAAATACAAAAATTAGGCGGGCGCAGTGGCTCACACCAGTAATCCCAGCACTTTGGGAGGCCAAGGCAGGCGGATCACAAGGTCAGGAGTTCAAGACCAACCTAGCCAAGATGGTGAAACCTTGTCTCTACTAAAAATATAAAAATTAGCTGGATGTGCTGGCAGGTGCCTGTAATCCCAGCTACTTGCAAGGCTGAGGCAGGAGAATTGCTTGAACCCAGGAGGTGGAGGTTGCAGTGAGCTGAGATCGCACCACTGCACTCCAGACTGGGTGAGAGAGCAAGACTCCATCTCAAAAAAAAAAAAAAAAAAAAAAAAATTAGGCAGGCGCAGTGGCATGTGCTTGTAGTCCCAGCTATTCAGGAGGCTGAGGTGGGAGGATGGCTTAAGCCCAGGAGGCAGAGGTTGCAGTGAGCCAAGATCACGCCACTGCTCTCCAGCCTGGGCAAGAGAGCCAGACCTGTTTCAGAAAAGAAAGGTGGGGCACGGTGGCTCACACCTGTAATCCCAGCATTTTGGGAGGCCGAGGCAGGCGGATCACTTGAGGTCGGGAGTTCGAGAGCAGCCTGACCAACACAGAGAAACCCCGTCTCTACTAAAAATACAAAATTAGCCAGGTGCATGCCTGTAATCCCAGCTACCCCGGGAGGCTGAGGCAGGAGAATCTCTTGAACCTGGGAGGTGGAGGTTGCGGTGAGCCGAGATTACGCCATTGCACTCCAGCCAGGGTAACAACAGCGAAACTCCGTCTCAAAAAAAAAAAAAAAAAGAAGAAGAAGAAAAGAAAATTAGCTGGCTGTGGCATGTGCTACTGGGAAGGCTGAGATGGGAGGACTGCTTGAGCCCAAGTCAAGGCTGCAGTGAGCTGTGTTGGTGCCATTGCACTCCAGCCTTGGCAACAGAGTGAGACCCTGTCTCAACAACAACAACAACAACAATCTGCCGAGAGGGGCAGATCACTTGAGGTCAGGAGTTCAAGACCAGCCTGGCCAACATGGTGAAACCCCGTCTATACCAAAAAATACAAAAATTAGCCAGGCATGATGGTGCCCACCTGTAGTCCCAGCTACTTGGGAGGCTGAGGCACGAGTATTGCTTGAACCCCGGAGGGGGAGGCTGCAGTGAGCCGAAATTATGCCACTGCACTCCAGCCTGGGCGGCAGAGCGAGACACTGTCTCAAAAAAAAAAAAAAAAAAAATACTAGAAGGAAATACACTAACGTATGAACAGTGAAAGATCCTGAATGGTAGGAAAATCTTGATATTTCTTTCTACTTTTCTGTGCTTTCCAAGTCTTTTTTTTACAATGAATATGTCTTCCTTTTATAATCAGAAAAGGAACAGTATATATTTTTTTGAAAGGAATTCTCAGAATCCATTTTCTAGAGATTTGAGTTAGTGGAGTCCTGATAAAGGACACTTTCCTGTACTTACTACCACTGTTGATTATGCCTGTGACCCTGCCAAAAGCCATCGATGTTGCATTTGTTTGCCCCACAGGAGAGCTCAAAGGATGGCTACTGACATGCAGAGGAAGAGAAGCAGCGAATGCCTTGATGGCACATTGACTCCTTCTGATGGACAGAGTATGGAGAGAGCTGAGAGCCCCACACCAGGAATGGCCCAGGGAATGGAGCCAGGTATGGGCAAGTGTACAGCCTCAGCCAGCTGCCAACCAGAGCAGTCTCCAGGGGGAATTAGGATTCCCAACCACTTTTTCCTTTCCACTTATTCATGCATTTGTCAGTCACTCATTGGATATTTGTCAGGTTCTGGGGATAAGGCAGGAGGCCAGGCTCATTCTGCATCTGGCTTTCCTCTCCACTTCATGTTATGCTGCTCGCCCTGAGCTTTCTGGCTGCCATTGTGGGCTCTTCTGTTCCCTGTGTCTACAGCGCACCTCCCCGGCTCCTTCTCCCCTCCTCACGAGTTAGGCCTGCTCTGACCATGCTCTGTATAGCACACTAATTATTTCATAATTTTATCTCTTTATGCATATATTGCCCATCTCTCTCTTCCACAAGATTGTGAACACTTTGAGCGCAGAGCAGTTATATCCCCAGTGCCTGGTACAGGGCTGAATTCGCAAGAGAGACTCAAAATATATCTGTTAAACTATTTTGTCAAAAAATCAATAAAGGAAGACTGACCTGGTCCCTGCCCTGAGGCAGTCACAGGCTGCGGCGCCATTATAGTGGGGTCAGTCAGGAGCTATGGCCTGAGTAGGGTAGGGGAGCTTTCTCCCAGAGAGAGAGATTCATTGAGTATGGGCAGTGCTCCAGACACAGGGTGAGGTGCTGCGTTCCGGCACCTTACTGGGTACCATTGTAGTTGGGGAGAAGGACAATAACTGGCAAGTGCCACAAGAGAAATCAAAAAGGGATATATAGAGTGCCTGGGGTTGGAGGTCAGTAACTAACATCTTCCCTGAGAGCTTAAGTGTGACAATTAGCCGGCCTCTTGGGGAGGTAGGAGACAGCTGACAGCAGGTGTGGAGCTCCTGAGGCAGGTGGGGGTGTGTTGAAAGTATCTGAGAGCAGATGGATGTAGGCCAGTGTGACCAAGATGGGCAAGGGAGTGGGGTGGGAGATGGGAATGAGAGGTAGGCAGATACCAGCCACCACTGCTGCCATGAGTGGTTTGGGTCTTCTTTCCAGTACGATGAGAGGAGACTGGTGGGCTGTAAGTTGCAGAGAAGCATCATCCATGGCAGACAGTGGCAGAAGGGAACAGTGGCTTGATCCTAACAAGACAGGCAGTCATGCTGGAGTGACCACGTTAGGCACCTTGCTGGTAGGAGTGTCTGCCACTAGCTACCCCTCTAAGCACCAGTGCTTTTGGCCTGCAGGTGCGGGCCAGGAGGGTGCCATGTTCGTCCATGCCCGTTCCTACGAGGACCTGACTGAGTCAGAGGATGGGGCAGCTTCTGGGGACAGCCACAAGGAGGGTACCAGGGGTCCCCCGCCGCTGCCTACAGACATGCGCCAGATCAGCCAGGACTTTAGCGAGCTAAGCACCCAGCTGACGGGTGTGGCCCGGGACCTGCAGGAGGAGATGCTGCCAGGAAGCTCTGAGGATTGGCTGGAACCCCCAGGGGCAGTTGGGCGACCAGCCACAGAGCCCCCCAGGGAGGGCACAACCGAGGGGGATGAGGAGGATGCCACGGAGGCATGGCGCCTGCACCAGAAGCATGTCTTTGTGCTGAGTGAGGCAGGGAAGCCTGTGTACTCCCGCTATGGGTCTGAGGAGGCACTTTCCAGCACTATGGGTGTTATGGTGGCCCTGGTGTCCTTCCTGGAGGCAGACAAGAACGCCATCCGCTCCATCCATGCAGGTGAGCCACCTGGAGAGGGAATGGGGCGGGCTCCCCTGGCCAAGGTTCATTCATAGCAGGTTTTGGACCCCTGCAGACCAGAGGGCTGGGATGTGCTGTGTGACTGAGGGTAAGTCCCTCTACCTCTCTGAGCTTCAAGGTCCTCACCTGAACAGAAGATAACAACACTGCTGGCCTCATGGGGCTGCGGCGAGGACCAAAGTTGCCTCTGACATGGGCTTTGCCTTTGGAGAGAGTGAGAATCCCCCTGGGGAGGCAACAACAACAACAACAACAAACTCTATCTATCTATCTATCTATCTATCTATCTATCTATCTATCTATCTATCTATCTAATCTATCTATCTCCCAGGTCCTGAGCTCCACCCAGCCAGCCCTTGCCAGTTGCCAGTTGACTTAGCACTTAGCATAAGAATGTGTGTTTCAGAGGGAGCTAGTCTTTGAAGCAAGTGGCAGGGATAGGCCCTGAGCCCTCAGGGAGAAGGAGCAATGGGTTTTTATCCTGAACATCCTTAAACCCCTACTGTGCGCAGAGCTCTGAGCGAGGAAAGGATGGGGAAAGCGAAGAGCTGCGCTGGAAGGCGGTTTTCGGAGGGAGCTGCCGCTGAGGCTGACATCCTTCTTTCCTGTCCCGCTCTCAGATGGCTACAAGGTAGTATTCGTGCGCCGGAGCCCGCTGGTGCTAGTGGCGGTGGCTCGTACGCGGCAGTCGGCACAAGAGCTGGCGCAGGAGCTGCTCTACATCTACTACCAGATCCTAAGCCTTCTTACCGGTGCGCAGCTGAGCCACATCTTCCAGCAGAAGCAG
Organism: Homo sapiens; assembly: GCF_000001405.40. NCBI lineage: Eukaryota > Metazoa > Chordata > Mammalia > Primates > Hominidae > Homo > Homo sapiens. Next base: position 49,910,717 of record NC_000003.12, on the reverse strand, counting down.
AACTATGATTTGCGGCGCCTACTCTCGGGCTCAGAGCGCATCACCGACAACCTGCTGCAGCTCATGGCACGAGACCCCAGCTTCCTGATGGGGGCGGCACGGTGCCTGCCCCTGGCGGCGGCCGTGCGCGACACTGTGAGCGCCAGCCTGCAGCAGGCGCGTGCGCGCAGCCTGGTCTTCTCCATCCTGCTGGCCCGCAACCAGCTCGTGGCACTCGTGCGCCGAAAGGACCAATTTCTGCACCCCATCGACCTGCACCTGCTCTTCAACCTCATTAGTTCCTCCTCGTCCTTTCGCGAGGGCGAGGCCTGGACGCCCGTGTGCCTGCCCAAATTCAACGCAGCCGGCTTCTTCCACGCACACATCTCTTACCTAGAGCCTGACACTGACCTCTGCCTGCTGCTTGTCTCCACTGACCGTGAGGACTTCTTTGCAGTCTCTGACTGCCGCCGCCGCTTCCAGGAGCGCCTTCGCAAGCGCGGAGCCCACCTGGCCCTGCGAGAGGCACTGCGCACACCCTACTACAGCGTTGCCCAAGTGGGCATCCCTGACCTGCGTCACTTCCTCTATAAGTCAAAGAGCTCGGGACTCTTCACCAGGTGAGGGAGGGCCTTGAGGGCACTGCTGTAGCGGGACAGGGACATGTGGAGTCGGGAGGCTGTTTGGTCCTGAGCTCTGAGATGTAGCCCTGAAGCTGTCCCTACCTTTGGAAGCAGACCAGTGTGCTGGGCCTGTTTTACTCTGGCACCAGAGACCCAGACTCTCCATCACCCCATGAGCATACCCTCTCTACTTTATTAACCAGAAGGCCTGGAAATGCCCAATATACCCAGAGAAGGAAACTGGAACAGAGGTCTCCGGGGTCCCTTGCCCTGGAGCAACTCTACTTTAGGGGTCATTTTGGTCCAGCTCAGGAAGCACAGCCCTCCTCCACCCCCTCCCCCAGCAGAGGGGCTGGGAAGATATGGCCTCCCTTTGTCCCTTTTGGCCCACAGGATTCCTAGCTCACCTTTCCTCTACTCCAGATCTGTCACTCTGTCTTGGACATCTAAACTCAACCTGGCCTCTCCAAAGAGGGGTCACCAAAGACACTATGAGCTTAGGGGGTAAGAGGGGACATAGCTCTAGTCTCAGTGGGCCCAGCCCTGTCCTGGGGTGCCTGCTATGGTGGGGAGACAATGCCCTGTCCTAAGGGAGCACCTGGAGGGTAGGACATAAGATAGAGTCTTCCTGGATAGGAATAGGTGTTTCTAAATCTCTAGAGAAGACAGTGGAAGTCATTCCTTTGCAAACCCACTCCCTCCACCCTGTCTGCAGCCCTGAGATTGAGGCCCCATACACCAGTGAAGAGGAGCAGGAGCGGCTGCTGGGCCTCTACCAGTACTTGCACAGTCGTGCCCACAATGCCTCTCGCCCACTCAAGACCATTTACTACACGGGCCCCAACGAGAACCTCCTGGCCTGGGTAAGGCAGCCCTGGGATGGGCTGGGCTTTATGGAGGTCCTAGGTATGGGCCATGAGGGGCCTCTAACCTAGATGACGACCCTTTGCCCCTTCTCCAGGTGACAGGCGCCTTTGAGCTCTACATGTGTTACAGCCCCCTGGGGACCAAGGCGTCAGCCGTCAGTGCCATCCATAAGCTGATGCGCTGGATCCGCAAAGAGGAAGACCGCCTCTTCATTCTCACGCCCCTCACCTATTGATGGGAATGTGTGCGGGCTCAGCCTTCCTGGACACACTAGGTGTGGGAAGCCATAGGAGCCTCCAGATGGGGGCTGGCCTCTCTTGCCCAGCCAGCGGGCAGGGACTGTGGGTTGGTGAATGCATTAAAGTGCTTTGGGGAAGACACTTGTCAAGCTCTGTCACTTGTCCCTTCGCCCATCCACCCTCACTCACATACAGACACTGGATCCTCCTCCGTAGCTCCTGCACAGGGACACAGGCACATTTGAGCCCCTCTCCTCCCTCCCTTGCACCAGCATGAGGCCACACACATTCTCAGCTGGATCTTGGGCTGGGGCCGTTTTGGTTTAGTTGAAGTCCTACCATATATAAAAAGTTCTCAGGCACCATACTGCCCTACCCTACCCCCACCCCCATATTCAGTCTGAGCTTCTGCTGTCTGCCTCTCTTATCACTCCTGGGAGGGGCCCCCTGCTGCATGCCACAAAAGACTACTCAACCACCTTCAGAGCCCTCGCTGTGGCTCTGTTTAATGGGTTGCTGTAGTTCAGCAGAAGCTGAGTTGAGTAAGATACAGATGGTCAAAATGGGGGGAGTCTGAGCCCTGGTACTGGATGGAGCCCCTGGTGAGGCAACCCAGTCTTCAGCTGAAATTCAGAATCCAGTCTCCCTTTAGCTGCAGGCCTCTGAGGAAACTGTCCCTGCTCAGGCCTTCCCATGAAGGGCTGTATGCCTCAGTTCTCCTACCTCAGCCAGTGCATTCCTCCAAATGGTCCTCAAGAGTGAGCTGAGGGTCTGAGAGAAGGCCCAGTTGACCCTCTAAGGCAGAAGTGGGCCTGCCATAATAAGAGCTAATACTGCTACGTGCACTCGGCCCTCCTTAGTCACCCTAGTCCCTGGCATGGCATAGGCAGACCTGCATGGGGCACCATGGACATCCAGGAGGCTCGGCAGTGAAAGCCCAGCCCCATTTACTCTACCACAGGACCCAGGGCACAATGCAGAGAGCTTCCACTTTGCTGCCGGGGGATCTTCTAGTTCTGGCCCCAGGGAACACAAGGCCTAGGAAGTACTTATTGGAGAAAACTGTCCTCTGAATGTGGTCTTCAGACTGTCAGAGAGAATCACCCTCATGCAGTTTCTGAGAGTTGAGCCAATATTTTCTGCTACTAAAATCAAGCCATATTGAAGAATGAGCCTGTGTGGGTGACATGGACCCAGGGTACACTGGAACAGTTGTATTTATTGTCCCAGAAAATGGCAGCACAGCCCCTGCCCTTGGCCCCACTGTGGCTCACATTGGAATGGGCATGGCAGCAGGCTACCAGCCCAGATTCCAAAGCCTCCGGGGAGCAGCCATAGGCTTGGTGGGTGCTGTTCACCCTGCACACATGCCCTGGGTCTCTTTTATGCCTGTTTTCTGCTTTTGTTCCTCCCCTGCTCCTAGTAAGAACACCAAACCACTGCCTCTGGGGCCTGGGTGATGCCAAGCCAGCTGTCCCTGATTGTTACTGGCATTCTGGTCAACAGTGAGCCCCTAAGTGCCTCTTTTGGTTGCCCTGACTCTTGTAGGTTTCTCAGCTTCTGTGTAGTTCAGCATATATTCTGGGGAGATCATAGTTGGATAAATGTGTATACCTAGGACTATAGGCACCTAGGAGTGTGGGGTGTACCTGCTTGGAGATCAGGGGTGGGAAGACAGACAAATAGGGAAGGTGTTCGTAGTGGAAGAGCCAGCATGTGCAAAGGGAAGGACCTGGTAAGAACCTAGTACAGGCCGGGCATGGTGGCTCACGCCTGTAATCCCAACACTTTGGGAAGCCAAGGATTGTATATCACTGGAAGTCAGGAGTTCCAGACCAGCCTGGCCAACATGGTGAAACCCTGTCTCTACTAAAAATACGAAAATTAGCTGAGTATGGTGGCGTGCGCCTGTAGTCCCAGCTACTCAGGAGGCTGAGGCAGGAGAATCGCTTGAACCCAGGAGGCAGAGGTTGTAGTGAGCCGAGACTGCGCCACTGCACTCTAGCCTGGGCGACACAGTGAGACTCCGTCTCAAAAAAAAAAAAAAAAAAAGAACCTAATATAACTTGTTTGCAGTGAAGCTGGAGTGGTCCACACAAGGGCTGGGGTTCTCAAACTCCAGGTAACCTGCAGTGTGATGTGGTCATATTACAGTTAGAGAGACTCCCTTGCTACTGCTAAGGTGATCTTGGGATTAGAGAAAGAGGTTAGACCTAGTTCTCTAGAACAGTGTTCAGAGGGGACTGAGAGCTCAAGGAGGGAAAAGTGGCTAGTATTCCTTCAAGGCGTCAGGTGCTAGGGCAGTCGAGCAGGTTCTTAGCCAGCTATGTTAGCTTGGGGGTGCCCTTGTACTTGGCACTTAAGAGTCCCATTAGCTGACCTCCCCCACACACCTTGACTGCCCCCTCCTATAGAGGCGGCAGATGGCGAGAGGGGGAAGGGGTGCTCCTGTGTACCCCTGCTGTTGAGAACCAAGGCTGCCTTACAGGGGACCTCAGCCTGGGGACAGCCATTAGCGCGGCCACACGGTGGCAGCGGAGAACTAACGGATGGTTGCCGCAACACCACCCCCAAAAAGGGGTGGGTGGGGTGATCTAAGAGGGCTTGTGAAGTCTTCTCCCAACCACCAGAGATCCCTCTGAAAGTCTGGAGGTGGGATTTGGGTCACCAGAACCCCTGTCTGTGCGCCAGGCTGAGAATGTTTCATTTTAGTTTTGCCTTGCCTATCTTTAGATGTGTTGACTGTGGAATGCAGGAACCACGCCACGGTTTTCTCCGGGTGTTTATTCATTTCCTGGCCAATTCTGCTTTGGAAAAGGAGTGTCTTTTATGTCACCTCAGGGCACAGTATCAACCCTGCACTGGGTGTGGCCGCCCCCACTTCCATTTCCTCTTTCAGTCTTCAGGTGCTCATGGAGCTCCAGGCTGGAAGGAGGGGGAGTCCTGCACTGGGGATGGAGGAAGTGAAGTATCCAGAGTAAACTGTGCTGGGGTGAGTGTAGCACTGGGTCTGTGAGACCCAGGAGAGGGGACTGGCAAAGTCTGGATCAAAAAGGCTTCCTGGAGGAGGTGCCATTTAGGTGGCAAAAGGAGAAAAGGGAAAGAGTGCTCCTGGAAGGAGGAACAGCACTTACAAAGGTCAGGTTAGGAAGGGGATGCAGGCACAGAAGTATGAACTGAAAGGGGAGTGAGGAGATATAGCTCCCCAAGCCAGGCTAAATCCTGTTGGGCTGAGGGCTCCTCTCTCCCCCAGCCTCCTTATCTACAGCCTTGGGGCCCATAGTTCACAGCCCAGACCCACCCTGTGGACCTTCCCTGTCTTCTAGGGTCCAGGCCTATCTAACTGAGGGGTCTGTCAGGCTAAGGTTGTCCCCCAGGGGCCTCAGTCTAGTGTTGGGGGACCAGTTACCAAGGGGCAGCTGCTGAGATCCAAGTGTGGGACTAGGCTCCCCCACCCCCACTCCTCATAAACAGAAGAGAGAACTCTGGGAAATCACCTAGTCGGAACTACGTTTTCTTTTTCTTTTTTTGGAGATGGAGTCTCGCTCTGTCACCCAGGCTGGAGTGCAGTGGCACAATCTCAGCTCACTGCAACCTCCACCCCCTAAATTCAAGCTATTCTCCTGCCTCAGCCTCCCTAGTAGCTGGGATTACAGGCACCCACCACCACGCCCGGCTAATTTTTGTTTTTAGTGGAGATAGTTTCACCATGTTGGCCAGATCTGTCTGTTCACCATGTTGGTCTTGAACTCCTGACCTCAAGCGATCCACCCGCCTCGGCCTCCCAAAGTGCTGGGATTACAGGCGTGAGCCACCACGCCCGGTCACATATTTTATTTTAAAAACATTTTTAGCAGTTTTTTTGTTTTGTTGAGTTTTGTTATGTTGCCCAGGCTGGTCTTGAACTCCTAACCTCAAGCAATCCTCCTGCCTTGGCCCCTCAAAGGAGTGCTAGGATTACAGGCATGAGCCACGGTGCCCAGCCCAGAACTACATTCTCATTGAAGAGAATAAGATCCAGCAAGGCCTACAGAGCATGTTGGAAGTGTCCTGAGAGCCAAAGCCCATGATTCCTCCATATCAGGGGGGCACTGGGTAGAGCCAGGAAGGAAGGGGGAGTCCCCAAGGCCCATACTGTGGACCCCATTATACAGCTTCCATATACTGAGGCTGCAGAGGAGGTATGGGCCTCCACTTACGTGCCTCTCTGACTCTGAGGTCCAGTCAGCAAGGCCAGATCCCATCCTAAGACCCTTATGGCCCTGGGAGAGCAGGGCATAACACACCTTCCTCTGACACCATCTTGTCGCTGATAGCTCAGGAGAAGCACATGGAAGAATGGTCCCGGCCGGGCGCGGTGGCTTACGCCTGTAATCCCAACAGTTTGGGAGGCTGAGGCGGGCGGATCACCTGAGGTCAGGAGTTTGAGACCAGCCTGGCCAACACTGTGAATCCTGTCTCTACTAAAAATACAAAATTAGCCGGGTGTGGTGGTGCGCGCCTGTAATCCCAGCTATTCAGGAGGTTGAGACAGGAGGAGGTTGAGGCTGGAGAATCGCTTGAACCTGGGAGGCGGAGTTTGCAGTGAGCCGAGATCGCGCCACTGCAATCCAGCTTGGGCCACAGAGCAAGACTCCTTCTCAAAAAAAAAAAAGGACAGTCCTTTCCCACAAAGGGTGGCGCCCCATAACATCTCTTGTAAGTGCCCCACATCTCCCCTCTGGTCTTCCACACAATCCTGGTCTCTGTTCTCCACATGGTGGGCCCCCAGGCCACCTCTGGGCACCAGCCACTGAGGGTGTTGCTACTAAGTGCAAACTAGTTCCACCGCAAGCAAAGAGCCCAGTGTCCTGCCCCCCTTCTCGCTGCGAACCAGTCGGTAGTGGGGGGATGGGATGGGACGGCTCAGACTGGCTCACCTCTCTCCAGGCCACACCATGCACATCCACCCACAGGCCGCTGAGAAAAAGGCGCCAAGACGCCAGGTGAAGGTACAGGAGCCAGGCCTCCAAGGGCCGGAAGAGTCGGATGGGCGGAGGGCCTGGGCTAGGCCAAGCCTTCCTCGCGGCCCCGCCCCCACGGCCCGACTCCGCCCGCCCAGCCCGGCGCCCTCGGGTCGGCTGAGCGCTAAGCGCCAGTGTACAGCGGCGGCTGGGGCGGCAGGTGAGGCGGCTGGGGCGTTGCTGTCGTGCGTCCGCAGGCGTCAGGTGCTCAGACCCGAGGGCCGGGAAGGGATTTGGGTTTCACAGGAACCTGGGGCGGGGGTCCGCTATCTTGGGGCTGTCGGGACCGCTGCTTAAATTTGGCCCAGTCCAGACCTCGAGTCGGGCCCCCAGCCAGGCCCACGCCCAGGTCCAGGCCCAGGCCGGTAGGGATCCTCTAGGGTCCCAGCTCGCCTCGATGGAGCTCCTCCCGCCGCTGCCTCAGTCCTTCCTGTTGCTGCTGCTGTTGCCTGCCAAGCCCGCGGCGGGCGAGGACTGGCAGTGCCCGCGCACCCCCTACGCGGCCTCTCGCGACTTTGACGTGAAGTACGTGGTGCCCAGCTTCTCCGCCGGAGGCCTGGTACAGGCCATGGTGACCTACGAGGGCGACAGAAATGAGAGTGCTGTGTTTGTAGCCATACGCAATCGCCTGCATGTGCTTGGGCCTGACCTGAAGTCTGTCCAGAGCCTGGCCACGGGCCCTGCTGGAGACCCTGGCTGCCAGACGTGTGCAGCCTGTGGCCCAGGACCCCACGGCCCTCCCGGTGACACAGACACAAAGGTGCTGGTGCTGGATCCCGCGCTGCCTGCGCTGGTCAGTTGTGGCTCCAGCCTGCAGGGCCGCTGCTTCCTGCATGACCTAGAGCCCCAAGGGACAGCCGTGCATCTGGCAGCGCCAGCCTGCCTCTTCTCAGCCCACCATAACCGGCCCGATGACTGCCCCGACTGTGTGGCCAGCCCATTGGGCACCCGTGTAACTGTGGTTGAGCAAGGCCAGGCCTCCTATTTCTACGTGGCATCCTCACTGGACGCAGCCGTGGCTGCCAGCTTCAGCCCACGCTCAGTGTCTATCAGGCGTCTCAAGGCTGACGCCTCGGGATTCGCACCGGGCTTTGTGGCGTTGTCAGTGCTGCCCAAGCATCTTGTCTCCTACAGTATTGAATACGTGCACAGCTTCCACACGGGAGCCTTCGTATACTTCCTGACTGTACAGCCGGCCAGCGTGACAGATGATCCTAGTGCCCTGCACACACGCCTGGCACGGCTTAGCGCCACTGAGCCAGAGTTGGGTGACTATCGGGAGCTGGTCCTCGACTGCAGATTTGCTCCAAAACGCAGGCGCCGGGGGGCCCCAGAAGGCGGACAGCCCTACCCTGTGCTGCGGGTGGCCCACTCCGCTCCAGTGGGTGCCCAACTTGCCACTGAGCTGAGCATCGCCGAGGGCCAGGAAGTACTATTTGGGGTCTTTGTGACTGGCAAGGATGGTGGTCCTGGCGTGGGCCCCAACTCTGTCGTCTGTGCCTTCCCCATTGACCTGCTGGACACACTAATTGATGAGGGTGTGGAGCGCTGTTGTGAATCCCCAGTCCATCCAGGCCTCCGGCGAGGCCTCGACTTCTTCCAGTCGCCCAGTTTTTGCCCCAACCCGGTAAGCTGAAAGAAGGGGCCCTTACTTGTGAGCTGCATGCACATGGCTGAACACAGGCTGCTTCCCTTCCATCACTGAGGGGATCTGGGGGCGCGGTGGGGGGGCAGGCGGAAAGAAGCATTCTCTCTCACCCAGTTCCTAAGTGCTGGGGTGGTGTGAGAAACCAGCCAGACAAAGGCTACACTGGAGGCTTAGCTCCCAGGCTGGCCCTTGTGGCTGCCTCATCTTGCTCTTTCCCCTACCTGCCCATCATGGCCTCTGGTTTTTTAGGTAGTTTCCCTGGCTATGTGAGGATAGGGTTACATAACCGTGTCTCTGTTAGCATAGCTCCTGAATGCTGGGTAGAATGATGGGCATTCCCTCCTACTTGTCCACCACCCATATCCTCAGGGACACACGCAGAAAAATAGCACTCCCCCCTCCCCTCCCCCACCCCCGCCACCACCACCACCACCACGCACAAATACACAGGGAGATGCTCACAGATTCACAGACTCACAGCTGCTTGCCAACAGTTTCACTTTCCCTTGTTTTGCTCTGCTTTCCAAAGGGGGTGGGACGGGAGTTGTCAGAGAATCTCCCCTTCCTCCACACCCCCTCCCCCCACCCACCCCCATCCTTCTGCCAGCCACCACGTTCCAGGGAGCCTCCTGGGCCTTGGAAGTTGGGAGCTTGTTAGGGAGCCTGCATGTCCTGGGCTTCACTAACGTTTTTGCCATGATTGGGGGTGATTGGGGGAGTACCCAGAACTCATGGAATGGCAGCTTGGTTCTAGAAGGTTCTGGGAGCCTCACTCTAGTCTTGTGCAAGCAACTATAAACATCTGGGGATAAGTAAAGGCCTAGGAAGGGCTGGTTGGAATTGGTCCATCCCAGACTTTTTTTTTTAACTGTATTTGGAGCCCTACCCCAGGCAGGAAGTCTCAAAGCCTGTGCTGAACTGGGGGCTCCTTCCACAGACTCTATCTAGGTTCTCTCCAGCCATCGTGTAGGCAACAGCAGTAAGATTGGACCAAGGAATGGGACCCACAGCTACTGTTCTTAGATTCTCTAGCTATCATCCTGTGGCCCTGGGCCTGCTGTGACATTCTCGAAAGACTCCTTTCCGCTCCTATTGATGCCTCGGAGATGGGAGAACTTACACCCAATGTGAGGTTGGGGGTCTTTAGCCTCCCTCCCTCTGCTGAGTACATCTGGGTTGAGAGGCCCTAGGGTTGGGGACTCCTTGTCTGGGCCTGGGCAGGCCTGCCTGGCCCCTTCTCCTTCCCAATGGGGAGTCAGAACCTCTCCCCAGCTTGCCTAGTGGTCAGTGGGTCAGAAGACACCCAGCACGGCTGGGCAGTGCCAGGCTCCAGGAAGACTAATCTTGGTCCCTGCTCACAGGCTGGCCAGGCCCCCAGGAGGTGTGTGAATCACCCCGTGCAGTGTTTGCCCAGCAACTCTGGGCATGCAGCCACTAGGGCAGCACCCACATAGTGGTTGGCCTCAGGAGGCCTGAGGGACTCAGAGCTGGTGCCTGTCCTCCATGGGACATTGGACACTTACGTGTTTTCAGGAGCTGGGGGCCCCTACCTAAGCCTGGGAACGTAGAGCTAAGGTCCTGGGGCTAGGGACAAGCAGGCTAGGGTGTGGGCCTGACTAAGGTAGGGCTCTATTCCCCTTCAGAGCCCCACCTGTCCCTGAGTCATGCTAGAAACACCTGGCAGCCTTCCGGCTCGGGCCAAGCCAAGCCGATTTCCTGCCTCAAGTGAGGACAAAATCCCAGTCCCCACCCACCCCAAGCTGTAGGCACAAGGTGTATGGGGTTTCGAGGCTCAGCTCCACATCTACTTTTGCCTCCAGGGCTACTAATCAGTGCTGAGGTCTCAGGACTGGGTTAAGCCTCTGTGGTCTGATGGAGCCTTCAGAGGCTCCTGCTTCGAGGAGTGCCCTCCGGGCTGGTGAGAGAGAGTCCTAAGCACCTAGGGCTGGCTACTGAGCCCCGTCTGCACCTCGCACTCAGCTCCAACACCGCGAGTTCATACCCTGGTGTACTGGTTTCCCAGAGCTTCCACAGTCCTCCCCTGGAGCGTGATTGCAGCCCCCAAAAACACCCCCTTGCTAAAAGCAGGGGAGAGGTTAGTACCCCCTAGCTTCCAGAACTTAGTTCTGGCACCCAGGCTGTAGGGGTTTGGTTTATCCCTTTTGTACCCTGAAGGGGGGTATAGGAAGCAGCCAGGAGTACAGGCAGACCTTTGGAGTCTAGGGAGAAGGACCATGTCCCCAACCTTGTGCTGGCCAATTAACTCCAGCATTCAGCCCCTTATGCAAGTGGGGAAACCGAAGCCCAGAGGAGACAGGGTTTGCTGAAGTGCACACAGAGAGTCAGAGAAGAGCCAGCAGGGGGCAGGAGAAGACTCTTGCGGAGCTGAGACTTCCAACTGGGCTCTCCTCTTGAGGGTCTATGATGCCTTGGACCAGAGACCAAACCTCTTGAGCCTGTTTCCTCATCTGTGAGATGTACGGGGTGGGCCAGGCACCGTGGCTCATGCCTGTAATCCCAGCACTCTGGGAGACCAAGGCGGACTAATCACAAGGTCAGGAGTTCGAGACCAGCCTGGCCAACATCGTGAAACCCCCATCTCTACTAAAAATACAAAAAATTAGCCAGGGGTGGTGGCGAGCACCTGTAATCCCAGCTACTCGGGAGGCTGAGGCAGGAGAATCTCTTGAACCCGGGAGGTGTTGCAGTGAGCTGAGATCACACCATTGCCCTCCAGCCCCAGCAACAGTGTGAGACTCCGTCTCAAAAAAAAAAAAAAAAAAAAAAAAAAAAAAAAAGATGTACGGGGTGGTTGTGAGGATGGAATGGGGGTAACTCACCATCAGGATGGGCATGGCAGGGTGGGGCAGGGAGAATGAGGAGTGGACCTTCCAGCCTGGGCCTTCTCCCTGCCCTTGCTACACTGAGAGCCCTGTGGGGGCAATGTGGGATGGTAACCGGCAGGCCCAGGGCCTTCTCCAGTCAGGCCAGGTGAGGGGTGAGAGTGTTGGGCTGCTGTGGCCACTGACAAAGGCCCCAGAGGGTCGGGGCACAAGGCTGAACCCTGACTCCTTCCCTTCCCTGACCTTTCCCAGCCTGGCCTGGAAGCCCTCAGCCCCAACACCAGCTGCCGCCACTTCCCTCTGCTGGTCAGTAGCAGCTTCTCACGTGTGGACCTATTCAATGGGCTGTTGGGACCAGTACAGGTCACTGCATTGTATGTGACACGCCTTGACAACGTCACAGTGGCACACATGGGCACAATGGATGGGCGTATCCTGCAGGTGGGTCCTCATCCCCACAGTCCCCTAGCCCTGGGTCCTTGTCTCCATCCCCATTTTGCTCACATCTGACCTGTCCTAGGTGGAGCTGGTCAGGTCACTAAACTACTTGCTGTATGTGTCCAACTTCTCACTGGGTGACAGTGGGCAGCCCGTGCAGCGGGATGTCAGTCGTCTTGGGGACCACCTACTCTTTGCCTCTGGGGACCAGGTGAGGTGGGCAGGGGCAGGGCCTGGGGCCAGGGTTGTGGGATCACAGACTCTCCATCCAATCCAGGGAGGCATTGACATACAGGCCCTACCACCCTAGCCTACTGTGTACCGGGAGGGTCTATAGGGCCCAATCTCTCCCTCCAGGCACCCCTGAGTCACCTGTCTTTCACCCACAGGTTTTCCAGGTACCTATCCAAGGCCCTGGCTGCCGCCACTTCCTGACCTGTGGGCGTTGCCTAAGGGCATGGCATTTCATGGGCTGTGGCTGGTGTGGGAACATGTGCGGCCAGCAGAAGGAGTGTCCTGGCTCCTGGCAACAGGACCACTGCCCACCTAAGCTTACTGAGGTATGGCTTCCCTGGCAGGGCACAGGTAAGAGTGGGACAGGCTGGGCCTGGGGTGGTGGTCAGCAAGTCTTGATCACAATTTTTCTCAGGTCTGGGGGGTGTCCTTCATATCTACAAGGAGGGCATTCTTGTCAGAGGGGATGCCACATGCAAAGACTTGGAGGCAGGAAAGTGCTTGAATGCAAGTGACTCCAAATGGCTGGAGCGTGGGGAAGGCAAGGGGTATGGCAGGAGACTTTGGGGAAGCAGGTGGGGCTGAGAGAGCCCAACCCCACATGAGGACTCAGGCTGTTTCCCCCATTTCAGTTCCACCCCCACAGTGGACCTCTAAGGGGCAGTACAAGGCTGACCCTGTGTGGCTCCAACTTCTACCTTCACCCTTCTGGTCTGGTGCCTGAGGGAACCCATCAGGTCACTGTGGGCCAAAGTCCCTGCCGGCCACTGCCCAAGGACAGCTCAAAACTCAGGTACAATCTGGTCCCTCCCCTCCCTTTCCCTGAAGGGGGAAACCAAGCAGCCCCTTCCCCATGAGACCCTGTTCTCTGCTTATCAGAGGCAAGGGGGGATGGGGGAAGCTGCAGTGGTTCTGACTGCTTTTTGAGAGTCAAAAAGGTCTCTGTCCCTTTTTGAGCTTTCATGTGCCCTTCCTGTCTGTTCACTCATGGACCAGCCAAGGTTAATCTCTGCCCCACCAGAACCTTCCTTCCATGGAGGGAGGCATGGGTGGAGAAATGCCATTCTCTGGCTCAGAGGAGCCCTGTGGCTTGTGGCAGGCATGCATCTAGGCCTGTGTAATTCCTGGCTGACCTCAGGGGTTCCCCTGGTGCCCCAGACCAGTGCCCCGGAAAGACTTTGTAGAGGAGTTTGAGTGTGAACTGGAGCCCTTGGGCACCCAGGCAGTGGGGCCTACCAACGTCAGCCTCACCGTGACTAACATGCCACCGGGCAAGCACTTCCGGGTAGACGGCACCTCCGTGCTGAGAGGCTTCTCTTTCATGGTGAGGCTACCTTGCCCTGTCTGTGCCCTTGGCCAGTGCATGGTACGGGAAGGGAGGGGCTTGGAGTGGAGGACCTGCCTAAGCCACCTCTATGTCCTCTTAGGAGCCAGTGCTGATAGCAGTGCAACCCCTCTTTGGCCCACGGGCAGGAGGCACCTGTCTCACTCTTGAAGGCCAGAGTCTGTCTGTAGGCACCAGCCGGGCTGTGCTGGTCAATGGGACTGAGTGTCTGCTAGCACGGTAAGTACCACCAGGCAGGCATGGGAGGCCGCAGGGTTCTATCCAGGTGGGGACCCGGATTCTGTCAGGATGGAGGGAAGAGTGCTTGTTACATGGTCAGTGTGGTGTGGAGAGCAGGTCCAGGAAGAAAAGACTACTGCCCTCTTCAGCCCAGAGGCAAGAGAGCCCATCACAGAGTCCAATGGCTCCAGCCAAGGCTGTGGGGAACCTGTTCCCTCCTTACCCTCTTGGGATGTCTTCCTGGGACCACCTTATTTTCAGACAGACCATGGAGTGGGGCAGGTGGGAGAGATAACAGACGAACTGGGAGAGGTCAACAGGCCCCTGGAAGAAGTGGGCCTGGCCATCACAAAGAGGGTAACCTTGAGCCCAATCTCTTGTTCCTGTAGGGTCAGTGAGGGGCAGCTTTTATGTGCCACACCCCCTGGGGCCACGGTGGCCAGTGTCCCCCTTAGCCTGCAGGTGGGGGGTGCCCAGGTACCTGGTTCCTGGACCTTCCAGTACAGAGAAGACCCTGTCGTGCTAAGCATCAGCCCCAACTGTGGCTACATGTAAGCACTGCCTCTTTGCCCACTCTGGCCTCTGGGGAATGAGAGAGCCAGCTTTGGAGAACACCCAAAGCCTACCACCCTACCCTCTTCCACAGCAACTCCCACATCACCATCTGTGGCCAGCATCTAACTTCAGCATGGCACTTAGTGCTGTCATTCCATGACGGGCTTAGGGCAGTGGAAAGCAGGGTGAGTGAGTGCTGGCCAGGAGGGAGGAAGGCTGGATGAGTTCCCTGAGCTGCAGCCCAACCTCGTGCTGGGCTGAGGCGAGGAGCAATCACAGGTGGGGTTCCTGGCTAATCACTCTCATATTGGTCCCAGCAGTGTGAGAGGCAGCTTCCAGAGCAGCAGCTGTGCCGCCTTCCTGAATATGTGGTCCGAGACCCCCAGGGATGGGTGGCAGGGAATCTGAGTGCCCGAGGGGATGGAGCTGCTGGCTTTACACTGCCTGGCTTTCGCTTCCTACCCCCACCCCATCCACCCAGTGCCAACCTAGTTCCACTGAAGCCTGAGGAGCATGCCATTAAGTTTGAGGTAAGTGTAAGGGATAGGGGCAGGGACAGTTGGGGATCTGAAAGTAGGGGCCAGCCTACTGGCTGGTCCTCATGACCCTCTCTGCAGTATATTGGGCTGGGCGCTGTGGCTGACTGTGTGGGTATCAACGTGACCGTGGGTGGTGAGAGCTGCCAGCACGAGTTCCGGGGGGACATGGTTGTCTGCCCCCTGCCCCCATCCCTGCAGCTTGGCCAGGATGGTGCCCCATTGCAGGTAGGCAGCCCAGCTGGACCTCCCTGGGAAACACGGGCAGAGGGCCTACAGGCTGGGCCTGAGTTGCCACCTGCCCCCAGGTCTGCGTAGATGGTGAATGTCATATCCTGGGTAGAGTGGTGCGGCCAGGGCCAGATGGGGTCCCACAGAGCACGCTCCTTGGTATCCTGCTGCCTTTGCTGCTGCTTGTGGCTGCACTGGCGACTGCACTGGTCTTCAGCTACTGGTGGCGGAGGAAGCAGCTAGGTGAGTTCTCTGCTCCTACCTTTAATCAGCCCCTACCCCCAACCAATGGCATCTTCAAGTCCCTACATCCTCTCTCTGCCCAGGACTTAGGGATCTAAGTCCTCCCCAGAGGGGTCGGCCCCTAGGAGCTTGGAAAGCCAAGCCACCAAGGATTCTCTTTCCACAGTTCTTCCTCCCAACCTGAATGACCTGGCATCCCTGGACCAGACTGCTGGAGCCACACCCCTGCCTATTCTGTACTCGGGCTCTGACTACAGAAGTGGCCTTGGTGAGATAGTGGAGGCATGAGAAGCTAAAGCCACCCCCTGTCCCTACAAGCTCCTCATTCCCTCTCCCCACAGCACTCCCTGCCATTGATGGTCTGGATTCCACCACTTGTGTCCATGGAGCATCCTTCTCCGATAGTGAAGATGAATCCTGTGTGCCACTGCTGCGGAAAGAGTCCATCCAGCTAAGGGACCTGGACTCTGCGCTCTTGGCTGAGGTCAAGGATGTGCTGATTCCCCATGAGCGGGTGGTCACCCACAGTGACCGAGTCATTGGCAAAGGTGTGGGGGCCAGGTGGGGCTGGGGCAGAGATGGAGTCTCAAGATGACATAGGCTAGGCCAGGCGTGGTGGCTCACTCCTGTAATCCCAGCACTTTGGGAGGCCGAGGCGGGCAGATCATGAGGTCAGGAGATCGAGACCGTCCTGGCTAACACAGTGAAACCCCGTCTCTACTAAAAATACAAAAAAATATTAGCCAGCCATGGTGGCAGGCGCCTGTAGTCCCAGCTACTTGGGAGGCTGAGGCAGGAGAATGGCATGAACTCGGGAGGCGGAGCTTGCAGTGAGCCAAGATTGCACCACTGCACTCCAGCCTGGGCGACAGAGCGAGACTCCTTCTCAAAAAAAAAAAAAATGACATGGGCTAAAGGGACAGTTGGAACAGATACTGCTCTAACCTTCTCACCAACCTGTGTGACCTTGGGTATACCACTTAACCTCTCTGAGCCTCCATTTGCTCATCTGTAAAATGGGGATGAGAAAAGTTCTGTCTTCAGTGGGTTCTGGTGTGGATCAATCAGGCATAGGAAGATTGTAGCCTCTGCCATCAAGTGGCTGCTGTTTGTTTTTGGTTTTATTTATGGTTTTGTTTTTGTTTTTGTGACAGGGTCTCACTCTGTTACCCAGGCTGGAGTGCAATGGCACAATCATGGCTCACTGCAGCCTCGACCTCCCCAGCCTCAGGTGATCCTCCTGCCTCAGCCTCCTGAGTAGCTGGGATTACAATCATGCACCACCATGCCTGGCTAATTTTTTGTTTATTTTTTGTAGAGATGGGCCTCGAATCATGTTGTCCAGGCTGGCCTCGAACTCCTGGACTCAAGCAATCTGCCTGCCTAACCTTCCCAAAGTGCTGGGATTACAGGCATGAGCCACCGAACCCAGCCTGTTTTATTATATTTATTTTATTTTATTTTTATTTTTATTCTATTTTATTATTATTATTTTTTTTGAGACAGAATTTCACTCTTGTTGCCCAGGCTGGAGTGCAATGGCGCGATCTCGGCTCATTGCAACCTCCTCCTCCCGGGTTCAAGTGATTCTCCTGTCTCAGCTTCCTGAGTAGCTAGGATTACAGGCGCCTGCCACAACACCCGGCTAATTTTTAGTATTTTTGGTAGAGATAGGATTTCACCATGTTGGCCAGGCCGGTCTCGAACTCCTGACCTCAGGTGATCCGCCCGCCTCAGCCTCCCAAAGTGCTAGGATTACAGGCATGAGCCACTGCCCCCAGCCTATTTTATTTTATTTTATTTTTTTTTTTTTTTTGAGAGGGAGTCTCACTCTTTCACCCAGGCTGGAGTGCAGTGGCGCGATCTCGACTCACTGCAAGCTCCGCCTCCCAGGTTCATGCCATTCTCCTGCCTCAGCCTCCCAAGTAGCTGGGACTACAGGCGCCTGCCACCGTGCCCGGCTAATTTTTTGTATTTTTAGTAGAGATGGGGTTTCACCGTGTTAGCCAGGATGGTCTCGATCTCCTGACCTCATGATCCACCCGCCTCAGCCTCCCAAAGTGCTGGGATTACAGGTGTGAGCCACCGCGCCCGGCCTATTTTATTTTTTCAAGATGGAGTCTTGCTCTATCACCCAGGCTGGAGTGCAGTGGTGCAATCTTGGCTCACTGCAACCTCCCCCTCCCAGGTTCAAGCAATTCTCCTGCCTCACCCTCCCTAGTAGCTGGGATTACAGGCGCCCGCCACCACACCTGGCTAATTTTTGTATTTTTAGTAGAGATGGGGTTTCACCATGTTGGCCAGGCTGGTCTCAAACTCCTAACCTCAGGTGATCTGCCTGCCTTGATCTCCCAAAGTGCTGGGATTACAGGCGTGAGCCACTGTATCCAGCCTATTTATTTATTTATTTATTTATTTATTTATTTATTTATTTTTGAGACAGAACCTCACTCTGTCACCCAGGCTGGAGTGCAGTGGCATGATCTCAGCTCACTGCAACCTCTGCCTCCCGGATTCAAGTGATTCTCCTGCCTCAGCCTCCTAAGTAGCTGGGATTACAGACGTGCACCACCAAGCCCGTCTAATTTTTGTATTTTTAGTAGAAATGGAGTTTCATCATGTTGGCCAGGCTGGTCTCAAACTCCCGACCTCAGGTGATCCGCCCGCCTCGGCCTCCCGAAGTGCTGGGATTACAGGCGTGAGCCATCGCACCCGACCCTGCTTTATTTACTTATTTATTTATTTTTATTTTTTTGAGACAGAGTCTCACTCTATTGCCCAGGCTGGAGTGCAGTAGTGCAATCTCGGCTCACTGCAACCTCTGCCTCCTGGATTCAAGCATTTCTCCTGCCTCAGCCTCCTGAGTAGCTGGGATTACAGGGGCCTGCCACTGCCACCACACCTGTCTAATTTTTGTAGTTTTAGTAGAGACGGGGTTTCATCATGTTGGCCAGACTGGTCTTGAACCCCTGACCTCAGCTGATCCTCCCGCCCCAGCATCCCAAAGTATTAGGATTAAAGGCATGAGCCTTTTTTTTTTTTTTTTAATTTAAAAAAAAGACAGCATCTCACTATGTTACCCAGGCTGGCCTTGAACTCCTGGGCTTATGCGATTCTCTTGCCTCAGCCTCCTGAGTAACTGGGATTACAGGCGCACTGCGCTTGGCTTCTGCTGCTTTTCTTTGAGGGGGATGGAGTCTCGCCCTGTCTCTCAGGCTGGAGTGCAGTGACACGATCTTGGCTCACTGCAACCTCTGCCTCCCGGGTTCAAGCTATCCTCCTGCCTCAGGCTCCCAAGCAGCTGGGACTAGAGATGGGGTTTCACCATATTAGCCAGGCTGGTCTCAAACTCCTGACCTCGTGATCCACCCGCCTTGGCCTCTCAAAGTGCTGGCATTACAGGTGTGAGCCACTGCACGCAGCCCTGCTGCTTTTTTAAAATGTCAGATTGGGCCGGGTGTGGTGGCTCACACCTGTAATCCCAGCACTTTGGGAGGCCTAGGTGGGTGAATCACAAGATCAGGAGTTTGAGACCAGCCTGGCCAACATGGTGAAACCCAGTCTCTACTAAAAATACAAAAAAATTAGCTGTGTGTAGTGGCAGTTGCCTGTAATCCCAGCTACTCAGGAGGCTGAGGCAGGAGAATCACTTGAACCTGGGAGGCAGAGGTTGCAATGAGTTGAGATTGCACCACTGCACTTCAGCCTGGGCAAGAGTGAGACTCGGTCTCAAAAAAAATAAATAAAAATTAAAAATAAATAAAATGTCAGATTGGCCAGTTTAGTGCTCTGAGGTCTGGTTGCCAATGAGAATGTGTGGTGTGAGCCTTGGGCCCTGGATCCCCTCTCATCGACTCATTATGCACCTCACACCAGGCCACTTTGGAGTTGTCTACCACGGAGAATACATAGACCAGGCCCAGAATCGAATCCAATGTGCCATCAAGTCACTAAGTCGTAAGTGGGGCAGAAGATGGGAAGGCAGAGGGAGGGGCCTCAGGCTGGGAGGATTCTTTTTCTCTGTGTTCCCACCTTACTGAGTGACCCTGAGCAGGAGACCTTCATTTCCCATTTCCCCATCTGAGCCTTATAAAGGGACGCCCTGCCCTGTGCCTGACTTGCGCTGCTCTGCAGGCATCACAGAGATGCAGCAGGTGGAGGCCTTCCTGCGAGAGGGGCTGCTCATGCGTGGCCTGAACCACCCGAATGTGCTGGCTCTCATTGGTATCATGTTGCCACCTGAGGGCCTGCCCCATGTGCTGCTGCCCTATATGTGCCACGGTGACCTGCTCCAGTTCATCCGCTCACCTCAGCGGGTCAGTGTTCATCTGGCTCTGGGTTGGGGGCTGGGCAGCAGCTGGAGAAGGAGCTGCTGTGCCCTTGCCCACCAACCCACCTGTGCCCCCAGAACCCCACCGTGAAGGACCTCATCAGCTTTGGCCTGCAGGTAGCCCGCGGCATGGAGTACCTGGCAGAGCAGAAGTTTGTGCACAGGGACCTGGCTGCGCGGAACTGCATGTGAGAGTCCAGAGTAGCTGGGGTGAAGCAAAAGGACAGGGCATGAGGGTGTGCGGTGCTCAAGGCCGCCTCAGGGAAGGGCCCACTCCAGCCTTGTCCTCCCCTCTCTGCACCTTACTTTTTTTGTCTGCCCAGTGCAGACTTGGACTGGACACTGTGGCTTTGAAATTTGGCCAGGCGCGGTGGCTCACGTCTGTAATCCCAGCACTTTGGGAGGCTGAGGAAGGCGGATCATGAGGTCAGGAGATCGAGACCATCCTGGCTAACACGGTGAAACCCCGTCTCTACTAAAAATACAAAAAGATTAGCCAGGCGTGGTGGCGGGCCCCTGTAGTCCCAGCTACTCAGGAGGCTGAGGCGGGAGAATGGCGTGACCCCAGGAGGCAGAGCTTGCAGTGAGCGGAGATCGCGCCACTGCACTCCAGCCTGGGTGACAGAGCGAGACTCCGTCTCAAAAAAAAAAAAAATTCTGTAAGGGCCTAGAACAGGTGGGTTCAGGGCCTGGTAAGGGCCAGTCCTAAGTGTGATCCTCTCCCTACCCCTAAGGCTGGACGAGTCATTCACAGTCAAGGTGGCTGACTTTGGTTTGGCCCGCGACATCCTGGACAGGGAGTACTATAGTGTTCAACAGCATCGCCACGCTCGCCTACCTGTGAAGTGGATGGCGCTGGAGAGCCTGCAGACCTATAGATTTACCACCAAGTCTGATGTGGTGAGGCCCCACCTGCCCTACAGTCCACATGGCTTTGGCACCCAAGAACACTGGGCCTCACCCATTCAGCTCTGAATGATCTGAGCCCAGGGAGTCCCCAGGGTAGATGACCCCCACAGCCCATCTGCTCACCTCTTGGGCAGATGTAAGATGGAATCTGACACCTGCCAGGGCTAGAGGAGGCTGGGAACTCACTGGCTCCTCACAGATAATCCAGGGCCTGCCCAGCCCCAACTCTGGGTAGGATGAGGTAGTGGGAGGAGACAGAGGAAAGACACAGGTGATGTATTGAGGAATGAGCTCTCAGTGGAGGGTAGGGTCTTCCATTTCCAGCTGAAGGACTCTGGGAGGTAGAAGCCCTGGGGGACCCACCTGCCCCCAAATTTGGGGTGAGTTGAGTCCCCTCACCTCCCCCTTTCCACAGTGGTCATTTGGTGTGCTGCTGTGGGAACTGCTGACACGGGGTGCCCCACCATACCGCCACATTGACCCTTTTGACCTTACCCACTTCCTGGCCCAGGGTCGGCGCCTGCCCCAGCCTGAGTATTGCCCTGATTCTCTGTGAGTATGTGGAGGTGGTAGTGGGGAGGGAACTGGGCCCCAGAGACATGGAAGAGACAGGAGACAGAGCTCCTGCCTGGCTTCCTGACTGAACTTCTGGTTGACTAGGAAAGGGACTCTCGCTGGGCCTCAATTTCCTCATCTGTGAACTGGTCCCACCCTCATGCAGAGTAGGACCCTGGGAGGACCTCACAGTTGCCATGGTAACAGCATTCTGAGCTCAGAGTTGGGGTTGAGGCCCGTGGTTTGATTTTCCCAGTGCTCCTCCTACCCGACTCCCACTAACGGGGTCTGCTTTCCACCTTTTCCTCTCATTTAATCTCGAGGAAAGATTCCATAACCCCCACAGCAACCCCCTCTGGATCTCCAGGTCAGGTTTTTTCACTGTATGTGGTTTCAGATTCCCCATTCCTGGAGGGATGGCGGCAGCTGCATTGTCCTCAGTGCCTACGGGGTGGGTTCGGTGCTGAGGTTCAGCTTCATACGTAGCAGGTGTGCCTGAGCTGTGGCTAGGTCTGCTGGGTTAGAACAGAGAGAACCAGGACATAGGTAAAAGTAGTTAACGCCTCCTGTCTCAGGCTGTGCTCCAAGAAGGATGCGAGTAGCCCTTCCTCACAGTCCTACCTGCCTTGGGTTTGCTCTTACTATTCACTTCTTTAATTCACTGCCTACCCATATCCAGATTGGGCTCCTGGAAACAGACTCAGCTGGAGATTTATGTACGGGGATTTACTGAGAGGTTGGGGGCAAGGGAAGAAGGACTGGGCAGGAGAAATGTCACAGAAACTGCAGCCCATCCCACAGGGACTGCTTGAACTGGGATGACCCACCACAGTTTTCTGAAATTGAGACCAACAGGCCAGGTCTTTGTACCAGGCATTAATCAGTTACTAGTCACAGGCTGTCCCTGGTGAGGGGATGTGAGCTTGGCAGAGGCAGTTCTCTTCTGCCTAGGGCAATTCCTAGAGAGAGCCTCAGTCAAGAACCATCAGCAGGCAACACTCCTAGCCACTGGGAAAGTAAAGGGGTATCTGGGTGGCACACCATAGGGTCCACTTCAGCAGTCCAGCCCTTCTCCTCTCTGGGCCTCAATTTCCTCATCTGTAAAGTGGAGACAACAGTACCACCTTCCGAGAGTCTGAGAATTATATGAGATATTGTGTGTAGGGTAGAGTATTATTTCAGGCAGGAATGACATCCCCAAGATAATGGGGCAGGCACTAGGACCCAGCAGGTAAACCTGGGGAACCTCTGCTTCAGGACCAGGGTGCCACTGGTGCTGCCCCAAATGCTCTTGCTTCAGAATTTTTTTTTTTTTTTTTGAGACAGAGTCTCACTCTGATGCCCAGGCTGGAGTGCGGTGGCGCAATGTTGGCTCACTGCAACCTCTGCCTCCCAGGTTCAAGTGATTCTCCTACCTCAGCCTCCTGAGTAACTGGGACTACAGGCGTGTGCCACCACGCCCAGTAATTTTTTTTTTTTTTTTTTGAGATGGAGTCTCGCTCTGTTGCCCAGGCTGGAGTGCAGTGGTGCAATCTCGGCTCACTGCAAGCTCCGCCTCCCGGGTTCACGCCATTCTCCTGCCTCAGCCTCCCGAGTAGCTGGGACTACAGGCGCCTGCCACGACGCCCGGCTAATATTTTGTGTTTTTAGTAGAGACGGGGTTTCACTGTGTTAGCCAGGATGGTCTCGATCTCCTGACCTCGTGATCCACCCACCTTGGCCTCCCAAAGTGCTGGGATTACAGGCGTGAGCCACCACGCCCAGCTTTGCCCAGTTAATTTTTGTATTTTTAGTAGAGATGGGGTTTCACTATGTTGGCCAGGCTGGTCTCGAACTCCTGACCTCGTGACCTGCCCACCTCAGCCTCCCAAAGTGCTGGGATTACAGGCATGAGCCACTGCCCCCGGCCACTTCAGGATTTTTAATTCCTGCTTTGCTGGACCCAGGCTTCCTTCCTGGAAGAACTGTGATGATGACCATTGTACCTCGTGAGCTGGGCCTTGTGCCTAGCACTTCACAGGCATCAGCCTATATGCCTACTTCTCTGTGATCAGAGGAGGACCCAGAGGCACAGAGAAGTTAAGGAACTTATCCAAGATCACATAGCCCAGGCCACAGGGCACAGGAGCCCAAGCTCTTAACACCTGAGGTAGTTCGACCTCTGCCAGGGTGGGAAGGCAGGACTGGAACAGTAATCATAGGGATGAGAAGAGCTGCCCCTGATTGGGTAGTGCTAGGTACTAGGTCCTGTCATCTATCCTCATCCCTGTGTGGCCTGCCAGAGGTTTAACAGCAAGTGGGTGGCCCAGAATCCTTGGGTGGAAATTGCCTTAACCTGACATCCCTTTCCCCCAACAGGTACCAAGTGATGCAGCAATGCTGGGAGGCAGACCCAGCAGTGCGACCCACCTTCAGAGTACTAGTGGGGGAGGTGGAGCAGATAGTGTCTGCACTGCTTGGGGACCATTATGTGCAGCTGCCAGCAACCTACATGAACTTGGGCCCCAGCACCTCGCATGAGATGAATGTGCGTCCAGAACAGCCGCAGTTCTCACCCATGCCAGGGAATGTACGCCGGCCCCGGCCACTCTCAGAGCCTCCTCGGCCCACTTGACTTAGTTCTTGGGCTGGACCTGCTTAGCTGCCTTGAGCTAACCCCAAGCTGCCTCTGGGCCATGCCAGGCCAGAGGGCAGTGGCCCTCCACCTTGTTCCTGCCCTTTAACTTTCAGAGGCAATAGGTAAATGGGGCCCATTAGGTCCCTCACTCCACAGAGTGAGCCAGTGAGGGCAGTCCTGCAACATGTATTTATGGAGTGCCTGCTGTGGACCCTGTCTTCTGGGCACAGTGGACTCAGCAGTGACCACACCAACACTGACCCTTGAACCAATAAAGGAACAAATGACTATTAAAGCACAAATTGTAGCAAACAGTGTGAAAGAATGACAGGAGGCTGCTATAAATAGCTGAATAGAGAGGCAAGGGAAGCCTCCCAGGAGGTGACATTTTGCTGAGGCCTTATCAACCGGGGAAAAACCACCAGAAACAGTGTTGAGGAAAGAGGGTTTTTGGCAGAGAGTCACACATGCAAAGACCCTGAGGCTGGAAAGGAGTTGGATCAGCAAGAAGGATTTTGAGAACAGGGAGGGTGAGCAAGGCCCAGATCCAGGTCCTAGGGCTCTGGGGACTGTTAGATGGAACCAAGGAAGTAGGCTGAGTACCCAAGCATGCAGTGACCAGGATGGTTTCTTCCATGGCTCAGGCTGCCTCCTCCCCTTTCCCCAGCCCTAGCACTTCTCCAGGGCTCCCTGCTCGATCTGCAGTGCCCACCGTCACACCATCCAGGATGGAATGGGGCCTGCCATCTGGGGCATAGAGGCTTGGGTCCCAGCAACACTGCCAGCATTGATTGCGCTTGTAGCCTTAAGAGAGATAAGCCAGCAGCAAGGCCTCAACTCCACACTTTCTTTTTTTTTTTTTGAGACGGAGTCTCGCTCTGTCGCCCAGGCCGGACTGCGGACTGCAGTGGCGCAATCTCGGCTCACTGCAAGCTCCGCTTCCCGGGTTCACGCCATTCTCCTGCCTCAGCCTCCCGAGTAGCTGGGACTACAGGCGCCCGCCACCGCGCCCGGCTAATTTTTTGTATTTTTAGTAGAGACGGGGTTTCACCTTGTTAGCCAGGATGGTCTCGATCTCCTGACCTCATGATCCACCCGCCTCGGCCTCCCAAAGTGCTGGGATTACAGGCGTGAGCCACCGCACCCGGCCTAACTCCACACTTTCAAGGAGCCAACTTCTGGCCAGGTGCGGTGGCTCATGCCTGTAATCCCAGCACTTTGGGAGGCTGAGGCAGGCGGATCACTTGAGGTCAGCAGTTTGAGACCAGCCTGACCAAGATGGTGAAACCCTGTCTCTACTAAAATTACAAAAATTAAGCTGTGTGTGGTGGTGCACGCCTGCAATCCCAGGTACTCAGGAGGCTGAGGTGGGAGACTCGCTTGAACTTGGGAGGCGGAGGTTGCAGTGAGCCGAGATCGGGTTACTGCACTCTAGCATGGGCGACAGAGTGAGACTCCATCTCAAAAAAAAAAAAAAAAAAAAAGGAGCCAACTTCAAAGTGCCAACTGCCCCAGCTATTTGTACTTGTAAAGGCCACTGCACAACAGCCCCTAGAGGGGCGTGCTCCTCTGAGAGGGAGACTTTCCCCTCCTCCTCTTCCTCCCTACACTGACTGCTGAGGGGGTAGCTGGGGTGCCAGGGTGCCTGGCCCAGGACCTGGATCACAGTGTTTCTTCTCCCTTGCTCAGGACCCCCATAGCCTCCATCCCTTCAGTTAGGAGACCCCAGCTCACCCTAAGAGGGTAGGCTTCCTTCCCTCGGAGCCCACAGCTCTGTGCCCTGTCAGACATGGAACCCTGGGTTTGGAGCAAGAGCTCCCTGCTAATCAGAGTGAGAGTCTCCTTGGGACCAGAGCTGCCCAGCTTTCTCCATCCAGCTGCTGCTCGCTCTGCCACCTCAGGCCAGAGAGAAGTCCAGTCCTGGGGACTCTAAGGACTCTGAGGACAGGTGGGTAAGGCTTAAAAGGAGATTCTTGCTTGAGTGCAGGGATCCAAAGATCAGGAACCCGTGTGCTGAAGAGGGGCAGAGAAGGACTATCTGTCTGTTTACCACCGTACCTTGGATGACTCTCAGTGCCTCAGCAGGCACTGAGGAGGTTGTAGCCCCGCATGCTTGGCCACTGACCCTTTGTCTCTGTGTGTGCAGGAGACACTTGTGTTACCCCGGAGGCTGCGAGGGAGGTAAGTGGAGTATCCTGGGGCCCATCCCCACCTCAGTTGGAAAGGACTGCCTTCATCCCTCCAACTTGTAGTTCTCCCCTTTAACCCCATCCTGGGGTTCTAAGGATCACCCAAATCTCTTAAGCCCAGGAGCTCCTTCCCCATTGAGCTTCTGCAGCTCATGGACCACTGGCTTATCTGTTCACATGAGGGGCTCAGAGAGAAAGGGAGTCTCTGGACAAGAAGGGAGCTTAGCATGGGAAAGGCTCCCAGAGAAGAGAGATAGGAGAGAAAGAGGGTGTCAGGTGCAGCCAGAATGTAGGGCTTTGGGCCTGCTTCTGGGCCAAGGTCCTCCAGGGCCAGAATTCTCCAGGGAGGGGCCCCAGTTAGGCACTTGGGGCCCTGGATTGTGACACAGCTGCCCCCACTCTCAATTTCTGCAGCCCCTAAGCTCTGAGCTTCATTCTCAGAGCCATCTGATAGTCCCAACCCCATCTGGGGTGTCAGGAGCTCGGACTGTTTTAGGGCTTCAAATCAGTGACTGGGCTACCAGGGAGAACAGGGTAGGGAGGGTCAGTTCTAGGTCCCTGGATGGGCTGGGGGACCATGTGGCTTCCAGGGCTGATGAAGGCTGGGCTGCCTCTCCTCTAGGGGAGGCCTGGGCAGTAGCTCAGGTATGGTGGGTGGCCAGTGCAAGAGGAGGGTTACTAGTGGCCATGGGAGGCCTGGGCCTGCCACCAGGGTGGAATGGTGTGGACAGAGGTTTCTCCTAGGGCTTTCGGAGACCAGCCTTCCAACCAAGAGCTATGAAGAGTAGGTACCTCTCTGTCCCATCTCCCTCCATCTCAGCCCAGTAGGGCTAGGGGCAAGCAGATGCTAATAAAGGCTGAGCAGGCCAGGGTGGGAGCTGGCGCTGAGGAGGCAGCAGATGACTCACACCCTCCTGACTGCCCATTGGTGTCACTGTTCTCTGGAGCCTGGAGGGCGTGCATGGGGCAGACTGACCTGCTTTGATGGGGTACCATGAATCTGGCCTAAGATTCCCCTTATGTCTCGGCCTCAGCCCCAGCCTTTCAGGGAATATTCTGAGGGACCCAAAGGCTCTCTGGGGGTCTATATCAGGCTAGGTCTCTAGAAAGAAATACCTGAGACTAGGTAATTTGTAAGAGGTTTACTTGGCTCACAGTTCTGCAGGCTGTACAGGAAGCATTGTGCCAGCATCTGCTTCTGGGGAGGCCTCAGGAAGCTTACAATCGTGGCAGAAGGCAAAGCGGGAGCAGGCACTTCACATGGTGCAAGTTGGAGGAAGAGAGAGAGAGAGTAGCAGGAAGGTGCCACATACTTTTAAATGACCAGATCTCAAAATAACTCACTGTTATGAAGATAGCACCAAGATGAGGCATCCACCTCCATCACCCAAACACCTCCCATCAGGCCCCACCACCAGCACTGGGGATTGCAATTCAGCATGAGATTGGGGTGGGGACAAATATCCAAACTATATTAGGGTCATACCTGTGGGCTCCAGATATAGCCCCATTCCAAACCCAGTCTCATTGTTGCTCTATGGGAGCTCAGGGGCCAGGCCTGTGGTGGTTCCTATTTTCAGCTCAGGTGGTAGGAGCTGAGGGAAGTTGCTTATTCCTTGGTAAGGCTCAGCATGTGCCAAAGCAGCGGGACCAGTGAGTACCAGAGACTCCCAATGCCAGAGGTATCTTCACCATCTCACCTCTCCACTCTCTTTCAGTTTGGTTTAACCACCTGCATACTCTTTTTTTTTTTAGACAGAGTCTCACTCTGTCACCCAGGCTGGAGTGCCATGGCATGAACTTGGCTCACTGCAACCTCCGCCTCCTGGGTTCAAGCAATTCTGCCTCAGCCTCCTGAGTAGCTGGGATTATAGGCGTGTACCACCATCCCTGGCTAATTATTTTTTATTTTTAGTAGAGATGGGCTTTCATCATGTTGGCCAGGCTGGTCTGGAACACTTGGCCTCAGGTGATCCACCCACCTTAGCCTCCCGAAGTGCTGGGATTACAGGCGTGAGCCACCTCACCTGACCAACCACCTGCATACTTTTGTAGCCAGTCTTGCACTCGGCGTTTGGGATCTGGAGATGCATTAGGGAAGGCAGGGAGCTTAAAGCAGCAGGCGGTCAAGATCATGGGATTCAATCACCCTTGAAACTAATTATCCCTTCCTCATGCCACAAGTCCCTCGTGGGACACTGCACCCTGGACCATGGAGAATCAGAGGCCCCAAAGGAGTCAGCTCCACCCGTGGGCTCCATGGCAGTGGCAGCTTTAGCCAAGCATTAATCCTGCTGACATGTCCCTCAAAGCCAGGGAGCCTTCTCTTCAAAGAGGGAAAGGAATCTTTTGGGTGGCTCCAGTCACCCTGTTCACATGGGCTCCTGCCCTGGTCTCTTCGACCCAGTCATCTGTTTAATTTAAAGTCACTCCCACTGTCCACCGGACCTGGGTTCCATAGGAACCCTGAAGGAGGGCAGCTCTGCTCACATTCCCTCTGCAGGTGTGACTAGAGGTCAGCTCTGCTCAGCAGTCATGAAGCCATGTGTGCTTTTGGCAGTACCACCTTTGCCTCCACTTTTGCTGGCTTCTGGATGTGGGGGCTGTTCCCAGGGAGGGTGAGGAGCTCTCCCAGCCCCTAAGACAGCTGTGGGCAGCAGTCAGGGCGGCTGTGCTGTTGCCTTCCCTCTGGGCTGATGCGGCTGGCCACCTTTCACGCAGAGTTACGTAAGCTCGAGTCAATTGGGGCTCAGAGCAGTTCATTGTGGGCTATTTTTAAGCTGCAACACATCACAGCAGAGGGGTCACTGCACTGCCGGCTTGCAGGGAAGATTGTTTAAACATCTGTTATTTAAATTTCCCTGTGCCTTAGAGCTCAGAAGCCATATCCTGCTAGTACTAGTGGGTTCTGCCTTCCACATTTCAGAATAGGAGTGGATTATCTCCCCTAACCCTGCCTAAGGTTCCCCTAAGGCTGGGGTTCTCTGATACTTCCTGTCTTCCTCTGGGGTCAGACAGGGGGGCCATGGAGCAGGAGGTGCCAGCTCCTTTAATCATAGTCCTGCCTCTGTGGAATGGGTGTATCCTGGCCAGGAGAAATGTCAGGGAAGCAGGAGGTCTAGGTCTAGGGTTCACAGGTCACTTGGATAGCTCCAGGGAGGAAGGTAAGGAGAGGAAGGTAAGGAGTGTGGGCCATAGAGCTAGGAGACCAAGAGTGCATTCCTTCCTCCTTGGGGGGCCTCAGCTTCCCATCAGCACCAAGAGAGGGTTGAATCAAGATACCTTTGAGTCTGTTCAGAAGCCTGCCTTTGCTTGAGCTGTGCTCAAGAGGGAGGGGAATGCCCTCCCTCTGCAGATCTAAATGCTACCCATCTGTCACCTCTGGGGTAGAAGGGCTGATGTATGAACCCCTGGACAGTGGCTGGGGTGCGAACCCGTGGGGAAACATGCCTCCCTTTTTGCTCCATTATCAAGTGAAGGGCTGCACTGGGAGTCCTTTAAGGCTCTTTCTGATCCTAGCTTTTGGAGATGTCCAGACCCTTCCCAATGCAGTAGAAGGCAGGCAGACCGGACGGGTGCAAGGCCAGGGGCTTGACAAAGCTAGCTGCCTCCTGAGAACACAAGGGAGCCGAAAATAGGTCTGTATTGAAGCAGGTGTGGGAGCCAGCTGTAGAGCTCCTAATAGGGTGTGGCGCTGTGCCTCTCCCCTTGACGCCCTTCTTGCCACCTCTCTACTATCCTCAAGACCTCCTAAGTGGGAGGGTTCCAGCCTGATCCACAGGGGAGAAGGGTTTCTCACAGTGATTTGACCCTTGACCCTCTCTGCAGAGGTTGGGGCCTTCCTAGCAAGCCTGCCTAGAGGGGTGAGGTGAAGTGTGAGGAGAAGGTCATGCAGGACTTGCCCTCACAGGGACGCCATCTGGCCTCATCCACAGACTAAGCTCCTCCCAGCTCCTCCTTGCCACCTCCCTCCCACCCCACAGCCCTCAGCCTGGGGAATGGGCTCAGTCTGGGGGAGGGGCTCTCCAGGTTGCCATGGCAACACGTTGGCCCTCCTCACTTCCCAGATTCAGAAATAGAATTGGACGCCCTTCTTCCTGGTGAGACACTATTTAAAAACATGTTGGGGGAGGGGCCGAGGGGCGCTATCCCTAGGGGCTGGGAAGAAGGGACCCAGCCTGAAAGCCTCTTTATTTGCCCTGCTGCTCCTCTCCCCAGCTGGATGAGATGAGCAGGCTTTGGCCAGCTAAGAATTCTGAATACGAAGGATTCAGTCTGGCCCATACTCAGCACCACCAGGTTCCTGGAAGGGCCTCCTCTCAGGCTTGAGCTACCTGATAAGCTATCAGGAGGAGGAGCAGGTCCATGCAGGACCCAGCTTGGGTGTAGGGCTTGCTGCTGCAGAACCCACAATGGAGTCATTTTAGCTCCCCTCCAGCAGGGTCTGTGACTGCCTGGCCCTGAGCATGGCACCCAGTGGTGGCAACACAGGATCCTGAAGTATGAATCCAGAGCCTGGTGGCCTGGCTTCAGATTCTGGCTCCACTACACACTAGCTGAGACAGACCTCTCTCCCTTTCTTTCCTTGCCTTGATTTCCTTATTTGTAAAATGAGGTATGACAGTGCCCAGCTCATTGAATTGCTGTGAGTCTGGGTTGTGAGTGCTCCACGTTGTGCTGGCACAGAGGAAGGACCCCATCAATATCAGTTATTGTTATTATTACTATAAGGGGTGTTTGCTATAAGGACCTTTGCAGCCAGACATGGTGGCCCATGCTTGTAATCCCAGCACTTTGGGAGGCCAAGGTGGGAGGAAGCCAGGAGTTTGAGACCAGCCTAGGCAACAAAGTGAGAACCCTTCTCTATTAAAAAAAAAAAAAAAAATTAGCCAGGTGTGGTGGCTCACACTATCCCAGCTACTCAGAAGGCTGAGTGGTGAGGATTGTTTGAGCCCAGGAGTTCAAGGCTGCAGTGAGCAATGATAATGCCACTGCACTCCAGCCTGGGCAACAGAGTGAGACCTTGCTTCTAAAAATGAAAATAAAAATAAGGGCCTTCTCTATCCTGGCTGCTTCCTTTGGGCCTTCTTTCATGGGCTAGACGCTTCAGCCAGTTCTGCTCCCTTCCCCCAGGAGACCTCAGGCCAGTTGTTTACAAAGGACCACAGTTCTGGAAAGGAGTGTTATGCCCCACCTCTGCAGGAGGTGGACGATGGCTCAGTGGTGAGACAGGCCAGAGGCTCTCAGGACCTCTCTCCATGCCTCTCCAACCCTCCAAGGCACAGTCCAGCTCAAATGCTGCACAGGCACTAGAGGCTGTTACTAGCATCTCTGTTGTAAACAGAAAACTAGCTTGCTTAAGCCAAAGATTAATGACATTAATAGTGGGCAGCAAGTATGTGTGTACATGAATGTAGGCACACATATGCACAGGCAGACCCTTGGGCTTTGGACGTTCGCATGAGAGGATGAGCAGCTCCCCCTTGGTGTCCAGAGCTATCGGTTTCCACTCTTTTTTAACTTTTTAAAAAAAATCATTTTTAATCCTAGCACTTTGGGAGGCTGAGGCAGAGGGATCACCTGAGGTCAGGAGTTCAAGACCAGCCTGGCCAACATGGTGAAACCTGTCTCTACTAAAAATACAAAAATTAGCCTGGCGTGGTGGCGGGTGCCTGTAATCCCAGCTACCTGGGAGGCTGGGACAGGAGAATCACTTGAACCTGGGAGGCAGAGGTTGCAGTGAGCCAAGATCGTGCCATTACACTCTAGCCTGGGCAAGAAAGGGAGACTCCATCTCAAAAAAAAAAATTATTTTTATAGAGACGGGGTCTCGCTTCGTTGCCCAGGCTGGTCTCAAACTCCTGAGCTCAAGCAATCCTCCTGTCTTGGCCTCCCAAAGTATTGGGATTGCAGACGTGAGCCACCACACCTGGCCCTGTCCCCATTCTTAACCAAAGGCAGCATCAAGGGAAGAGGGGTGGGAGCCCAGGGGGCCTGAGATGTGGCAGAGCCTGGCTGTGCCCAGTGCCAAGTTAGCAAGCTGCAGATGCAGCACCTTTGTGTTAACTTTTGTCCCTGGTCACAGAGCCTCACACCCCACAGCCAACTGTAAACACTATTTTTAACCTCTGTGAAAACAGTTTCAGAGAACAAACCTACAGTTATATTGTCCACAAACCTGTTTCCTGGGTGGAAAGACTGAGGCCTGAAAGAACACAGCCCTGCCAGACAGAGGGAGGAGGCCCAGAGCTCAGATCTGGTGGGAAGGAGGAGGGCCTGACCCTACCACAGGTTAGAACCTCCAGACCTGGGCCTGTGGCAATGTGCAGCTCTCCAAACTGTTGCCTAGGCCTGTCCTTGTGGCTATAGGGCAGCTCTGAGCCTAGGCTGCTGCTCCAGGCAGGTTCCACTCCTCCCTGCCCCCCTTTTTTTCTCTCTATTTAAGAAATGGGGCCGGGCACAGTGGCTCACGCCTGTAATCCCAGCACTTTGGGAGGCCGAGGTGGGCGGATCACGAGGTCAGGAGATCAGGACCATCCTGGCTAACACGGTGAAAGCCTGTCTCTACTAAAAATACAAAAAATTAGCTGGGCGTGGTGGCGGGCGCCTGTAGTCCCAGCTACTCGGGAGACTGAGGCAGGAGAATGGTGGGAACCCGGGAGGCGGAGCTTGCAGTGAGCCGAGATCACGCCACTGCACTCCAGCCGGGTGACAGAGCGAGACTCTGTCTCAAAAAAAAAAAAAAAAAAAAAAAGAAAAGAAATGGAGGGTGGAATTGCCCACCTGGTCTGGTAGCTTATATTTCCTATGCATCGCCCCATCTAATTCATTGTCTGACTTGTCCTTGCTGTATATGCAGCTCTATGCCCACTGTGTACTCAGTCCTCCACCCACTATGTCCCCACTGTGGGGCTAGCCCTGAGACCACTGTGGTCTTACCATCCTGTAATTGCCACTTGGCTAGCCCTGTGGCTGCTGTGGTGCAGCCCTGTGCCCAGAGCTCTGCCCCCATTATGGCCAAGATGAAGCTGACACAATGTGTCAAGAGCTAGAAATTCTGACTTGAGGATTCTGAGCAGAGGCCCCACCCCCACCCCTGCCACCCCCATCCCTACCCCTGCAGGATACTGGTCCTGGGCTTCAGGGACATGTGGCTCTGGGGAGGGGGCTCCATGAGGCACAGGCAGAGGAGAACCATCTGGAGCAGCAGAGACTGCCAAGGAGCTGCTGTCCCTGGAGCGGGAGCCGGGGAACATAAGGAGGGGAGCTTGGGACTGAGCTTGGGTCCCTCACCCACTTCTGCCTCCCAGGGCTGAGTGGTGAAGGGACTTTGCACACCATCCAAAGGTTCTGTGCCAGGGGCTTCCTCAGAGTCTCCCCTGCCTACCTTTTTCCTCTGGCCTTATCCTGACAGTTCCTGGCCCTCACTGTGGGACTAGCCTGGGCAGAATGTGCACCTGGCTGGGAAGGATAGGGGAGGCTGGCCTGCAGCTGACTGACTTCACTGGTGTCCCCTGGCCCCCTGCCTCCTAAGGTTCCCTGGGCAAGCCTCCATTCTTCAGGAGCATGGGGACCCTGGTTTCCTACACTCTGGCACTCCCCAGGTCACTGTGATGTCACCCCTTCCCAGAGCCACATGTCCCTGAAGCCCAGGACCAGTATCCTGCAGGGTTAGGGATGGGCGCAGCAGGGGTGGGGGTGGATCCTCTGCTCAGAATCTTCAAGTCAATCCCCAGGGGGCTGTGATGTGTAAGGTCACCATGGCAATGGAGTGAGGGCAGGGCACCTAGGGCATGGAGCAGGAGGACTATGGAAGCCACCAAGAAGGTGGGGGGCCCTGATCCATCGGGTCCCCAGGACCACCCCTCAGCCGGCAGCCAGCAGCTGGGGAGTGGCCTCAGAGGGTCTCAGGGACCACGGATAAGCTCAGAATCCCTATACTTCAAGCAGGGGTTGTCATTGTCTACCAAGACCATCACTGATGGTGCCTGTGGCCCAGCCTCCCAGGCCTGCATC
The DNA here is from genome assembly GCF_000001405.40 of Homo sapiens. Lineage (NCBI taxonomy): Eukaryota > Metazoa > Chordata > Mammalia > Primates > Hominidae > Homo > Homo sapiens. The sequence continues at coordinate 49,877,098 of NC_000003.12, read as the reverse complement.
CCTGGGTCCATTTGCCAGCTACTCCAGGATCCTGCTTGGGTTAGCTCCCAGTGCTGCTGTGAGCAGGCCTCCCAGGATGCCCCGAGACTCTCCTCCACTAGTGTATCTTCAAGTCCCATTGTGGGAGCCCAACAACATCTCATCATGGAGGATGTCACCCTGACCTTACCAGAGTGCATGCACAGTGACAGCACCAGTGACATAGCCCAGTGTGGACCCTGCCACCTTCGGTTTCAGGTGCAGAATTTGGGGGAAGGCAAGCGTCCAGCTAAGGTCCTGGTAGGCTGGGGCAAAGGCCCCTGCAGCTCCGACCAGATAGCCTCCTTGGGCAGCAGGAAGAGTCGGTGGCTGCCCTTCCTCCTCTCAGGAGAGAATGGTGCTCCCGAAGCCCAAGGTGCTCTTCTGGCTCCAGCTCAGGATCTAGCCCAAGATCAGGACCAGGGTAAGTGTCCAGCTCAGGCTGCTGCCCTAGTTACACATTCTTTTTTAAAATTTCTTTCTTTCTTTTTTTGAGATGGAGTTTTGCTCTTGTTGCCCAGGCTGGAGTGCAATGGCGCGATCTCAGCTCACTGCAACCTCCGCCTCCTGGGTTCAAGCGATTCTCCTGCCTCAGCCTCCCAAGTAGCTGGGATTACACGTGCCCGCTATCACATCCAACTAAGTTTTGTATTTTTAGTAAAGACTGGGTTTCTCCATGTTGGTCAGGCTGGTCTCAAATTCCCAACCTCAGGTGATCCACCTGCTTTGGCCTCCCGAAGTGTTGGGATTATAGGTGTGAGCCACCGTGCCCGGACTTACACCTTCTTTTCTGTCACTGACTCCTCCAATTCCAGCTTGGGCTACGACTCCAGCTCTGGATGTTACCCCAACCCCCACTGCAGTTGAAACTGACATCCATACCATTGATCACCTGACTGACACCACTGCAGTCACCAAGGGCCCATCTCAAGACCTCCTTCTCAGGAAGTGTGGCAATCAGTGGTCAACTGTCTTGGAGTCTTCCAAAATAGTTGCATCTTGCCAGGACAAAGTGAATCTCCACTCTAAAGAGGAGGCTCCCATCCCAAAGCCTACTCTAGAAGAGCGCCCAGACCATGCCCAGGAGGAGGAGGTTACCAGAAGGAAGGTGCCCAGAAGGAAGGTGCCAACTGAGGAGGCTGAGAACCCCATGAAGAAACTTCCAGTCTCTACCTCCAGGCCAGGCAGCCCAATGCCAGGCCCAGAGCCCCCAGTTATCTCCAAGTCCCAGAGGAGTAGCCAGGAGATCTGTAGCTCTCAGCCACAGAAGCAGCTCCCCAATGTCTGTGACAATACCAGCTCTAATGTGCCACTGTCTGCCTACCAAGTAACCTGCCACAAGCAGTCCCCATTCCAGTCTCCGAAGGAAGCCATGCAGATCCCCCTCTCCAGTGCCCCAACCTGCCAGCTTCAGGAAGTTGTGGAGGACCGTGTGCTGGTATTTGATGGGGCTGCTGTGCCATGACCCTGTGGGCTCACGGGCAGTGCTTGTGGGCCTCATGCCCAGCCACCCATCCATCTATGTCCCTGAAAATATGCTGTCCACCCAGCTGTCGGCCAAACCCATCCTGTCTCCTGACAGCAATCACTCCAGCTTTTGGTCTATCACACCCATGCTGTCCAGCCCAGTGCCCTGCAGCCTCTCATCTGGCAGCTACCGAGAGGTAGCCCTGATTCCCAAGGAGGCCAGGCTCAACCTGGAGTCATGGGACTCCCCTGGTACTGAGACACCCATCAGGGTTGGGATGCTGACTGGGCCTGTTCCACTGGGGATGCCCCTCCAATTTGATGAGAGGATACTGACCCATGTCCCTAATACTAGCTGGTCCAAGCCTGATGGTGAAAAAAATGAACCTAGTCATACCATCTGGATGCTAGACCCTTCCATGGCACCCTCTAGGATGCCAGATGCCTCCATAGTCCAGACCAAGAAACTGCAGTGGATGAACTCAGAGCCTGCTGCACCAGCCGATACCCAGGAAGTGCCCAGATCCCTCCTCCAGGAAGACATAGGCAGCCACGAAGAGGTCATTCCTGCTCACCCTGATAACCCTCAGGCCAAAGATGCTGGACAGACTCTCCTCACTGGGCAGATCCTCCTTGCTGGACAGCCACCCCTACCTGAGCACCCCCTTACTGATCAACCCCCTCTCACTGGGCAGACACCCCTTGCTAGGAATCCCTCTTTATCTAAAGAACCCCCCATCACCAAAGAGCCCACTCTTTCAAGATGGTCCCCCAACCCTGGAGAACCTGGCCAGGTCTCCACCCAGGAAGATGAGCCCTTAGGCCTGCCTACTCATGTAGGGGTATTTCAGGTGCCCCTGACCCCTGAGGAGACCTGTATCTATATGAGTAGAGACAAGGTTGGCATCAGTAATACTCAGCACTCCATCACGCATCAGCAGCAACCTGGCAACTCCCCTAGGACCCAGGAGGAGCAGCTTCCCTTGATCACATTTACCACACCTGGCACTGGACGCAAGGTCTTGCCCATGGCCATGGTGGCCACTGAGCCCCAGAGTGCCCCATTCAAGCTGACAGCTGAGGATCTTACACACTTATCAGTAGTTGCACACCTTGGACTGCCCCACGGGGCCTGCTATGAACTGGTGTCCACCATGGATGCTCTGCCAGTTCGGTCGCCAGTGCTCTGCTGCCACTCACTGGGACCCTTCCAGGACATGGCGGCCGTGGTGATTGATACAGGCACAGGATTCACCAAATGTGGACTGGCGGGAGAGGACCATGTCCTCAGTGTCATACCCTCACGAGTTCAGCTGCTGCAGCACCCAGCCCAGGGCCAGCCACGATATGCAGTGCCTGAAAACCAAGTGGGATCCTATTCAGTGCTGAACCGTGGTGTGGTCTATGACTGGGATGCACTAGAGGTGCTATGGCAGCACCTGTTCTATTGAAGGCTGGGTGTGCAGCCCGAGAAGCTGTCTGTGCTCGTAGCCGACTCGCCCATCTCACCACTCACCAACCGAGAAAAGGTGGCTGAAATACTCTTTGAGCATTTCCATGTCCCAGCCATGCAGACAGTGCATCAGGCCCTGCTGGCGCTCTATGCTTATGGACGTACCACTGGGCTGGTGCTGGGCAGTGGCCATGGCACTTCCTATGTGGCACCCATCCTCACTGGGGATCTGGCCCCACTTGACACCTACCGGCTGGATGTGGCTGGTGCTGACCTTACTGACTACTTGGCCCAGCTGCTGCAGAGAAGTGGCCACTCACTGCCCCAGGCAGGACTGATCAACCAGATGAAAGAGGCCTGCTGCTACGTGGCCATGGATGTGGCAGCTGAGAGGGCCCACACCCAGGCGCAGGCCGAGGTGGACTTTGTGCTTCCAGACAAGCAGGTTATCACGCTGGGGCCTGAGCGCTTCTGCTGCCCTGAGGCCCTCTTCCAACCCAATCTGATAGGTCTCAACCAGCTGGGCCTTCCACAGCTGGCCCTCCTAAGCATCAGCCGGTTGGAGGCCAAGCAGCAGGAGCAGCTACTGGCCAATGTGGTACTGGACGGTGGCAGCACCCTCATGAGTGGCTTCCCTGAGCGCCTGAGACAGGAGCTGGGCCCTGGTGCCACTGTGCTGGGGTCTCCCCACCGTGCAGTTGCTGCCTGGCTTGGGGGCTCCATCATGGCATCCCGGAGCTCTTTCCAGAGCCTGTGGCTCAGCTGCCAGGAATATGAGGAAGAGGGCCCATGGGCTATCTATAAGTACCAGCTGTGAGCATATAAAAGTTCTGGTTCTGCTTTCTTTAAGCACCGTGGCATGTTTCAGCCACAGGGTGGTGTGGGAAAAGCAGGAGTCCAGGCATGGGGTCATGGATGGGGGCCCTGGCTCTCTCCAAAGGCATGCCCTGCCTCTGCACTCTGGAACTCCATGGGCCCTGGCAACCTACCCTTTCTAGACAGCCCCGGAGCCCCTTGACTGGCATTGGCTCTGATCTGGCCTGACCTTTACTGCACCCCAAGGGCAACCACAGACAGTGGCTGCTGTGGGTTTTGCCCCGTTGCCCTGACGACAAGTGCAATTACCCTTGATTGCCAGCTTGTTGCCATGGCAATTTCAAACATAATGTAATAACCCACACAGCCTGGAGTGAGTCACAAGGTGGGGGGCGGGGGGCAGCCCCCTCCCCTGGCTCCAGAGGAAAAGACTGCTTGCCCTTCCCCATTGTGGGCCCTCTTCTGGGGACTGAAGCCAAGCAACATGGACAACAGTCAGGCAGTTTCAAAGATGGCTGGGGGCCTGGGGTGGGAGGGTTCTGTCAGAGTTCAGGCTTCTTGGGGAGCTGCACTGGTAATCTAGGTACCTCCTAGAGTCTGAACCTTTGCTGGAGCGCTATGCTGGGTTAGCAGGGGCTTCTATCAGCCAGCCAGAATCTAAGGGCATAGGAGTGCCGGCCTTTGGCACCCTAGAGCTGGGAGTTGGGGGCACAGATAAGTCCTGGATCCTGGGTAGGAGGCCCAACCTGAGCTGGGGGATGAAGCTCTGTGGATACTGCGGCTCGCACCTTATTCTGCCCCTCTGACTTTCTAGCTTTGGTGGGAGCCAGAACTACGAACTTGGGCCCTCTTCTCCTCCTCAGCCTCCCAACCCAGGCAGCCCCTGTCTTCAGGGTACAGGCCTCCTTAGGAGGGTCCTCATAAAGGCTACTAGGCAATGCTAATCTGGATTGCCTCTGCTCTTGTTCCAAACTCTGGTCTGTGCTAAAGGGCCTCCTGCCATCACTCTGGCCAGTGGAGTGGTGAGAAATCATGTCCCCTGACCCCGTCTGGCTTTGAATAGTGGAAGTAAGAACAAAGCTCAGCATTGGTCCCGTCCCTGCCCTGGAAGAGCTAAGAGGATGGCATTCAGCTGATGTTACTATCTCCTGCCTGAAAGGCAGCTGGAGGTTGAAGCCAAAACATTGAAGCCGGTCCTACCCTGCCTGTGCCTTCCTGTCTAGGGGCTGAGGGATAAGCCATGGCTCAATCCTAGCCCTGGGTTCTTGTCTTCAGATTGCCCTCCACAAATGGCAAAGACTTGTCTATCTTCACATACACCAGAGATCAAGGGGCTGCTCTGGTGGGGAGCCTGAAAACAGCCAATGATGTAGGGTCAGCACAGACCCTGCCCACTGCTGGACATGGTCCAGCCCCCTTCCCATGTCCAGCTCTCAAAGCCTGATTCAGCCTCCACAATCCTGAGACTTGTGTCAGGCAGGAAGGGGACTGATAACTCCAGGGACCAGCTACAGCGTCCACACACACGTGCCAGCAAGCATGCCTGGGTGCACAAAGAATGCAGACACACGTGCCCCTGGGCACCACTGCATACACTGTGCTGTTGCATCTCCCTCGGCAAAAGAGAGCATACACAACACGTACACGTGTGCACACACACCCTGCCACGTGCTCTCACCCACATGCACAGAGCGTGCTTAGGACCAAGAAGAGGTGGAGTACTGCCAGCAGCAGGCAGGGCGCTAAGGAGCCACCCCTTCCCCTGCCTAAAAATCCCCATTCCAGCTTCTCATTGACCCCCATGCCTGGATAGCCATGACCCTCAGGAAAGACAGAAAACATGTATGTGGCATGTGTGGGGTCAGCAAGCTACAGCTTGGCTACACCATAAAACTCAGAGACCCATTGTTTCAAGAATAGTGGGCAGATGGCAGGAAGGACTCAGTGCCAGGCCATTCATTCATTCTGCAGACATCAGCCGAGCATACTGAGATGAGAAACGGGTTCTGCCTTGCAGATACCCAGCCTGCCAGGAGATTCCTACCCAGTGGTGGGGTGGGTCCCATAACCCGAGACCACTCAGAGCCCAGGGACCCCAGAAGTGGCACCAGCCTGGCCTAGAGGAGGTAACACCAAGCCAGGGAGGAAGGTGAAGGGCTCAGTACCCCCTCTGGAGGAAAATTTTGAGGAACCTTGTTTGAGGCGGTCATTTCCTAAGCTAGCCTTCAGTCTGAGCCCCAGCCCCAGCTTCTGGACTTGGACAGTCCCTCCTGTCATCAGCCATGGGTGGCCAGGGCAGCCTCAAGATGGCTGAGGGTTTGGGGATGACCCCAACTCCCTCTCCCACAGCAGGGTCAGGAGGCTCACTGGGAGGAGTGAGGTGGGATAAAACCCAGCTCCAGACACTGAGAGGCCTGAGTCTGGTCTTCAGATACTGGCCTTAGGATGGTCCTCAGGGCTTGTGAGGGGTGTGGGTCAGGCTTTGGGTCCGTGAGCCTCACTGACAAGGGACAGAGAAATGGCCAAGGACTTCCTTTAAAGCTTCCTCCTGGTGGTTCTGAGCCTCCTCCCTCTGATTAGCACCCAGGCCAGGTGGGATACCTTGGTGCCACAGTTCTCCTGTGTCCCCATATCCCAGGCCAGGCCACTAGAGTGATACAACTCATGAAGTGTTTGACAGTGATTAGACTGAAAAGAAAGCAGAGGCCACACCATGTCACAGGTGACTTTTATAGTTTGGGAAATTTGGTGCCACACAGGAAGGGGCTGACTGTGCTGCCACCCTTGCTGGTACTTATGTTTGGGAAAGACTCTGGCCTTGCAGGAGTTGGGGATGGGGTGGGATAGGAGACTTTGCTACTACAGTCTAGGGCCCTCACTGTTTTCACACTGACTACCTGCAAACACACACCTCTGTGTGTTTACTGCTCCTAGCTAGGGGATGCGTAGCTAGGGGATGCTAGGGGATGCCACACTGACTACCTGCAAACACACACCTCTGTGTGTTTACTGCTCCTAGCTAGGGGAGCCTGCCCTAGCCCGACTGCCCATCTGGTTTTTCTAAGTTGGTCCTGCCTTTTGGGTCGGGTTCGGGGAGCTGGGCAAAGCCCCGTTCCCTAGAGACTAATGACTGGCAAGCGATCCTATGCAGCTCCAGGACTCAGGCTTTCCCCCAACTCTCCACTCACCACCCCTTACATTGGGCATAGGAGGCCTCCTCCGGCCCCAGGCTGAGGGCCTAAGGGAGCCATTGAGAACCTTGGCCAGGGCTAAGCAGGCCAGTGCTCACCAGCACCGCTGCCATCCCGCGCGCTCCTGCTCTCCAGTGGGATTCTGCCCTTAAGGCTCCGCCAGGGTCGGGGCGGGGCCGGTTGGGAGGCCCCGCCCCCAGCCCGCCCCCGGCCCGGGGTGCGAATCCGGTGCCGGCAAGCGGCTGGCGATGCTGGAGGTTCGCTAGCCGAAGCGGCTGCATCTGGCGCCGCGTCTGCCCCGCGTGCTCGGAGCGGATTCTGCCCGCCGTCCCCGGAGCCCTCGGCGCCCCGCTGAGCCCGCGATCACTTCCTCCCTGTGACCAACCGGCGCTGCAGGTGCGGGGCGGGCCGGGCTGGGGGCGCTTCCCGAACGCAGGTTGTGGGGCCTTGGGGGATTGTTTCCCTGGCTCGAGGTGCGGGATGCAGAGTGCGCGGGGGCGCAGCGAGGGCTCGAGGTCCTGGCGGGGTCAGAGCGCGCGGGCTTTGCAGATTTGGGGGAGGGAGTGCGGGGTCGGGCTAAAGTTCCCCATTACCTCGGACGGCTTGGGGGTTCTGGGGGGAAGCTTCTGCGGCTCGGAATTGTGAAAAGATTAACCCTCGAAGATTCGTGGTCCCCCGTGAGGATAGGGGCCGAGAGCTGAGCCGTCCCTCCCCGTTCCCAGAGCCGCCTCCAGCCCCTCCCAACTGTCCCCGGGCCCCTTCCCTCCCGCTTAGCAGTCACTAATTTCCATGACAACGGAGAGTTCTTTATGGGCGACAACCCGGAGGGGGCTGGGCGGGGCTGCCGCGGGGTGGGGGAGGAAGCTCCAAGCCCCTGGGGACCAGCAGCCCCCCAGCCAAAATTCAGCTTCCAAGCCTTCACCTGGGTGCCAGCTGGGGGTCCAGTGCATGGACCCACGTGCACGGTGGGGGTGGGGGCGCACATGTTCCTGCTGGGAGGTGCGGGGCTTGGTGCTCACACGTGTGCTTTCCGCATGTGTGTTGCTGTGCCAGCGGGGGCGAGCCAGCAGCACTTGGGAAAGGGGTCAGGGTGGCAGCACGGTGGGGAGCAGGGCCCCTGGCTGGAGGTGGCTGGGATAGTGACAGCATGAGCTTCTGCCTTCCCCAGCTTGTACTGTTTGGCAGAGACCCTGGGCTCTTGAGCCCCAGCCCCCTCCCCGCATAGCTCTGCCAAATTGCTTTTGTCCGCACCTCCCAGGCAGATCCTGCTCCACCAGGTTCCTTCCTAAGGATCAGGGCCCTCTGTCCCACACTAAAAGCTCAGAGTCTGCAGTAGTCCAGTCCCTGTGCTGTACTCCCCTTACCCCCAAGTCCAGGCTTTGAGCCCCCAGGACTACCTTTAGAGACCTGGTGCCCTCCCCCACCCTCAGAGTTGATTCCTGGCAGCTCCAGCGACTTCTGAGCCTCAGTTTCCTCAACTGGGGAACTGGTGTCTCCACTCAGAGTCAGGTTGGTTTCCAGGGTGGGGCAAGGGTCTCCCTTTTCTAATATTTGGTGTGGACCCTTCAGGTGCTCTCCTAGGCTGGCTGTTCACATATCTCTGATGGCCCTACTCTCCAGCCCCATGCCCTGGCCACCATTCACAGGCAGGCAAGCAGTCCTCTGCCCTGGGAGAAGGCCAGATTCCATGGTTTCCATTAGGGGAAACTGAGGCATGGGGAGGTGAAGGGCTGTGTGGTTATCCTGTTTCTGGGTTGCTTGTGGTGCCGTTTCTGGCACTCATGGCAGGATCTGCTGTTGGGGGTTGGTGAGAGGGGATTAAGCAGAGCTGTAAGAGGGGCTCTGGGGACCCAAAGCCTGGAAAGGATAGCAGATGGGGGAGGGGTTGGCTGGGAGGGTCTAAGTACAGCTGGGCCAACTGAGAAGAGGGACTATAAAGGGAAGCAGCCAGGCATCCGAGCCTCATTTCCATACCCCTATGCGTCTGCCTTCAACATGTTGGACCTGCTTTACCTAAGCTGCCGTGATGGCAGAGAGACGGGCTGGGAACTGTCCTGACTGGGGGGCTGCAGCAGCTGGCCTCTTCCCCACCAACATGCTCCAAGGAGCTGGCCTCCTTTTGGCTGTGCCTCCTACACCAAGTTCAGTGTATGTTTGGGGGATACAGGAGGGTGCAGTCTCGAAGGTCCCAGTACCATGGATAGCTCCTGGCCCAGGGATTTAGAGCACATCGCCATGGAGGCCTTAGGGCTCTGCTGGGCACCCATCCGCCCCCTTCAGAACTCCCGTCCACCTCCCCTTTCCTGCCCTTTGTGCCTGTGTCCCTTTTACTTTGTCATCTCCTTGCTCCTCTTCCATCACAGGTTCTGTCTTTGTCTGTGTCTCTGCCCCATTCTCTTTTTTCTAAATTCTCTCCATCTCCCCACCTCCCCTTTCTTGATGGGGACCTGGGTCACAGAACCTTGAAGAAGCAGCCAGGCTAAGGTCTCAGGAAATTCTTGAAGAAGGGACCTGACCAACACATCTCCCCTCCCCCTCCCCTTGTTTTAAAACTTCCATCACCATAGCAACCCTTTACTCTAGTGCCTTCCTCTGCATTTCCCCTCCTCCACCCACAGGGAAGCAGAGCCTCCAGTGGATTCTCCTTCAGGGGTTCAGAGATTTGGACCCCAAGTGCTTGGGAGGAGACAGCTGGCCTTTGGCTTTGCCTGCATGTTGACAGCTAAACTTTCGGGATGTAGCACTGGACTGCATGCCCACCCCCAAAACTGGAGAGACCTCCCCACAATACTCCCTCATTAGATGGGCAAAATTCAGCTGTAGGAACTTCTACCATGATTTAGCTCGAGCCGGAGGCTCAGTCAGGGCAGCCCCTTGACCGGTCCCCTGAAGCAATTGGATGGTGGTCTAGAAGCTTGGCCCTTGTTCTTAACAGACCTTGAGGGAGGTCTTCAGCTCCCCTGGTCCTGTGGGTGACACCTCAGCTGTGAGTTAAGCAGGGCTTGGGCTTCAGCATGTTCATTGCAGCAGGAAACCCAGCCCCAGCCCTTGAGAGAGTAGAGCAGCAGAGAGGAGGGGGTGCCTGCAGGCTGGTGTTCACAGCTGCCACTAAATTAGGAGGTGTTGCCTACAGTTGTTGGGAGGCAGCTGGAGGCCTCTTGGGCCCCTCCTGGCCTCCCTAGATTTACTGCAAGCTCTGGAGCCCCACGTGGCAGGGGACCAAGGTAGCAGGAAACTCTGTTTATGTCTATGAAAGGTAGGGCCTGAACCAGGATGATCTCAGCGGAGGAGGGGACAGGACCCCAATGTGGGGCCTCCGGACCTCTTGGCCTTTGTCCCGTTTGGGCTTTCCCTGGGCCAGACTTACCTAAAGATGCAGCAGAGTCCCTGGGGGACCATTTATCACCAGGGCACCAACAGAGGACCCCTCAGGATTGCTGGAGGCTCAATTCCCTGAGTCCAGTGGTCAGGCCCTGGGAGCAGGCCATAACTGGGGAGTGCTTGGCTCTCAGGCTCCATGAGAGCCAGCTGGAGGGCAATGGCCGCACCAGGGCCTGCACTCCCCACAAGCTCCCTCTGGGCAGCCGGTAGTGCATACTGTTCAGTTCCTCTGCAGAGAGTGGAGGGAGCCATGTCTCCAGGGAAATGGCTGTTGTGGAGCTCCCATGCCCTTCCATGGCCTAAGTGTACCTGAGGAAGAGCTCAGATCCTGTGTTGCTGAGAGGAGAGCTCTCCATTGTTGGGTGTTGGGTCTGGGCCATGGGGGTGAAAAATACAAACCCCTTCCACTTGGCCTCCTCTCTTTCTGAGAGCTGTCCCTTGGCTGTTCCTCCCAGGTCTCCTTTGTTGCAAGCAGGTGCCCAGGGCTTGGTGCACACACCCGAAACCTCCCAGGGAGCAACAGTGGATAGCAGATGGTGGAGTGGGTGTGGGCAGAGGGAACCAAGGTGCTAATTGAAAGCCAGGCCCCTCTTTCTCCTCTCTTTGCCCTGGGGCCAAGTCCAGGGCCCCAAGCCAGTATACTTAGACTGGTGAGGAGGAGGAGGAGGAGGAGTGACTGGCTGAAATTTGGGCAGCCATAGTAGGGGGCAGGGGAGACAGATCTGTTCCCATCTCAGCCTTGAGGCTTCAGGACATGGCTCCAGGCTGACATTACGGGGTGGAGGCCCAGTTTTCTGTGCCTTTCATGGGACAGACCCCCATGACCAGCCCTGGACCTCAGTGGGCACGAATGCATATGCAGAGCCGAAAGCTGGGGCCAGGATCAAGGACAGGCATGCACAAAACCTCCCACCCACGCCACACTGGCAAAGCTGGGAGCTGTTGGAGTGGGGTGGGGGGTGGGGCATGGAGGTTGTGGAAGGTATCTCAGAAAAGGGCCATTTTGAGTCTGGCCTTCGAGCATCAGGATTGTTTTGGACAATGTGTTGCACAAACCACCTTATAATGTCAGAAATCACAATGAAAGAAGAGATTCAGTTCTGCTCTCAGCACCTCGCTCATGTGGCAGCTGCTCCACAGGAAAGCCAAGGTGGGCAGAGCTCTTGCCAGTGCCCACACTTCCTACCATTGAGTGGACACAGTTGAGCTGGCGAGTCACCTGTTGTTGGACATTTAGGTAGTTGCTGAATTTTTTTTAATGTTATAAATAACTCTGCCGTGACAAATAGGAATCTGACGGGAGGCTTTTGGGGGAAGGGCACTCTTGCCAGAGGGAATGGTGTAAGCAAAGCAACAGAGCCAGGGCACAGGTCCCTCCCAGCCTTCTTGGGAGACTGCAGGCTAAGGTACCATCCTCCTGCCCAGTACACGGCCCTCAGACTGAGATGACTGTTGCAGGCCCCCTCCTGCAGCTGTTATGGTGTGAAAATGTGTAGCCGGCAATGGTAACTGGCTATGCCTCTGCTCTCAGCTGTGAGGATGGGATTCTGGCCACATGCTTCTCCCCAGTGGAGGAGTGCAGGGTTGTGCCCATGGTGGCAGACATGCAGTCAGTGACGATCTTCAAAGCCTCTCCTTTGTCTCTGCTGTGCCTCGCAAGATGGCTTAAACCCTGTCTGGAATAATGCTGATGAAATGCATTTGTATTCCCTGAGCCCAAGCAACCCAGATGAAGGAATGATAGAGTTTGTTCCCTAATGCTGAAGGCAAATCTGAGGGAGAATTTCCAGGGCTGTGACTCCTGGGAATCACAGCCTGGTGGCTGGCTTCTGCCTGGGAGGAAGCAAGTAGCAGCCAGGGTTGGCTATGGGGCTCGTTTGGGTCCTGGTCTTTGACTTTGGCTGGCAGAGTTCATCTTGCCAAGCTGCCTCCTTTGCCTCCTCCCTTCTCCACTACCTTGAGGCTGTGAGTGCCTTCAGGTCGGGGAGCATCTAGGTACCCCCAGGCCCTAGCTCAGGCCCTGCACACAGCAAGTGCTAATTGGCATGGAGGGAAAACATGCACAGTCAGCAGAGGCAGAGCAATTTCAGCGCAGCCTCAGTGCAGAGCTTGCTGTAGCCCCAGTGTCACACTGACCGGGTATTATGGAGGCACACCCTGGCGTCAGATCTGTGAAGGTCTAGTCAGTAACCCCCCACCCCCAGCTTTGAGCATGGGCTATGAGTGCCTTTTCCTTTGGACACTGGAGTCAGCCCCCCTAGCACTACAGATGAGGATTGGGCTGTAATTGGCAGGATTGCAGACCTGTGGGACACCGTGCCCCAGGTGGAAAGAGTGCCTAGCGCTCACTGAGCCAGCTATATCTGTTCTGTTTGGGGGCCTTGCACCTGGACCTGACAGCCCAGGTCCCCTGTGGGCCCCAGTGGGCATGAATGCATATGCAGAGCCGAAAGCTGGGACCAGGATCAGGCTTGTTTTGCTCTTCCTGACCAGTACACCTGCATACCTCCTGGCAAATCTTTTCCTACTGAGTCCTAATGCTGCCTCCAAAGCTTTACCTTGCCTCTCCACCCAGATTATCCCTCTGAGGAATCCCCCAAGCACTGTGCCTGAGTGCAGTATTTACTAAATTCATCGAAGTCATTATAGTAAAATAGTAAAAATTCGCACAGAAAATTAGTAAACAAAAGATATGTCTGCCTTTTTGACATCCAATTCTTTGCCCAGGAGAGAACTCTTATTTCCTTCAGTATTCTTCCAGAAAAGAGTTTGTGAGGGTACATCAGTATGTAAACTTTAAAAAATTTACCCAAGCCAGGTATGGTGGCTCATGCCTGTAATCCCAGCACTTTGGGAAGCTGAGGTGGGAGGATCACTTGAGCCCAGGAGTTCAAGAACAGCCTGGGCAACGTAATGAAATCCTGTATCTACAAAAAAATTTTTAAAAATTAGCCAGTTGTGGTGGTGTGCACCTATGGTCCAGTCCTAGCTACTCAGGAGGCTGAGGTGGGAGGATCGCTTGAGCCCAGGAGGTTGAGGCTGGAATGAGCTGTGATCATTCCACTGCATTCCAGCCTGGGTGCCACTGCATTCCAGCCTGGGTGACAGAACAGCTGGGCATGGTGCGGGTGCCTGTAATCCCAGCTGCGGTGGGAGGATCGTTTGAGTTCAGGAGCTCTGGGCTGCAGTGCGCTATGCCAGTTGGGTGTCTACACTAAGTTTGGCATTAGTATGGTGACTTCCTGGGAGCTAGAGCTCATCAGGTTGCCTAAAGGAGGGGTGAAGCAACCAAGGTCAGAGACGAAGCAGGTCAAAACTCCTGTGCTGATCAGTAGTGGGCTTGTGCCCATGAATAGCCACTGCACTCCAGCCTGGGCAACATAGTGAGACTTGTCTCTAAAAAAAGAAAGAAAGAAAGAAAAGAAAAGAAAAGAAATAGGTCTTCCAGAATCCCCCCATGTGTCCTGAATCAATCATAACCCCTCCTTTTCTCTTAGAAGGGACCATTATCTGACTCTGCTTATTTCCTAGCTTTTCTTTATAGCTCTACTGCTGTGTTTGTATCCCCCTTACGGGTTTGTTCTGCCTGTTTGAACTCTATCAATAGACTCATACTATATGTATTCTTTTGTGTCTTTTTGCACTTAACACTGTGTAAGAGTCACCAGGTGGTTGGGTATAGCTGTAGCTCCTTTGTTTCCATTGCTATATAATATTCCATTGTGTGACTCTACCACAATACATCCTGTTGGTGGTGGTATTTGGTCTGTTTTCAATTTTTGGCGATTATGTATATGGCTACTATGAGCATTGTATGACTGTCCTGATGCACGAATATGTGCACTTCTGTAGGCACGTATTTAGGAGTGCAATTGCTGGTTCATAGGGTATGTTTGTTTGACTTTAGTGGTTTTACCAAACTGCTTTACAAAGGGGAGTTTGCCCTCTCCTAGCAGTGCTCACGTTCTTCATATATCCACTAACACTTGTTAGCTCTAGACCTTCAGAGATGACTAGCAGGTGGGTGGGTGGTTATAGCCCCCTTCATCTGTAAAATAGCTGAAATTTAAATAAACTGTTTGATAAGCCTTTTTTTTGAATGTATAGAATACAAAACTATTCCCTTATATATCAGCTTAATACATTTTTTCATATGTAGGCTGTTGCACTTCAGGCAGCCAAGCTGAGTAGCTGGATGTCTAGCCAGAAAAGCAGGGGTAGGATCTAAGCCTGCCTATCCTCTAGCCCCTCCTGGTATGGTCTCTGCCCCTAGCTTGGCCTGAGCCAGGTTGGGGTCTCCCAAAAGCAGCCCCTATGTTGTGGGGAAGTGGAGAGTAGTACAGCTAAGCCAGACCCCATTGTGCCCGCAGGTTAGAGCCTGGCAATGCCGTTTGGGTGTGTGACTCTGGGCGACAAGAAGAACTATAACCAGCCATCGGAGGTGACTGACAGATATGATTTGGGACAGGTCATCAAGACGTGAGTGCCGGGCCTGTCAGGCAAGGCTGGGTGGGCTGGTGAGCAGGGGCTAGGGAAGTGGCAGTGGAGTGCAGCTGATGCTAAGGCCAGGCCTGAGTGGGTGCCTGTCGGCTGCAGTGAGGAGTTTTGTGAAATCTTCCGGGCCAAGGACAAGACGACAGGCAAGCTGCACACCTGCAAGAAGTTCCAGAAGCGGGACGGCCGCAAGGTGCGGAAAGCTGCCAAGAACGAGATAGGCATCCTCAAGATGTGAGTTTGAGGCCTGGGATTGGGGCGGGGTGGGAGGCAGCAGGGAAGGGCTTAGAGGGCAAGTGGCCTCAGGCAGTCCCAGCCTCTGGCCAATTAGTCTGCTGTGGCCACTGTGGTGACCACAGCCTCTCCCAGGGGTTCATCCAGCCCTAACTACTGGCTCCCCTCCCTGTCGCCAGGGTGAAGCATCCCAACATCCTACAGCTGGTGGATGTGTTTGTGACCCGCAAGGAGTACTTTATCTTCCTGGAGCTGTGAGTGTGGGTCTGGGGACCCAAGATTCCCCAGCGCCCAGGGCTTTCACCTGTCCCACCCTCTGCAGCTAAGGAAACCCCCTTTCTGGACCCTTGGCGTCCCAGGTCCCTGTGCCTTGCTCAGCCAGCTGCCTGGCGTAGGCAGCTCACCCAAGTGCTCCTGCCCTACCCCTGATTCTGCCCACGCCAGGCTCAGGGGCTGGTGTCCCTCAGGGCCACGGGGAGGGAGGTGTTTGACTGGATCCTGGACCAGGGCTACTACTCGGAGCGAGACACAAGCAACGTGGTACGGCAAGTCCTGGAGGCCGTGGCCTATTTGCACTCACTCAAGATCGTGCACAGGAATCTCAAGGTGAGGGCAGAGCCAGAGTCAAAGGGCCAGTTGGCAGCTGGGCTGGTGCTGGGGTGGGCAGCACCTCAGGGCCTTGGTCTAGCCTCCAAGGTCCTCATGGTGTCTTCTGCTCACCCACATGCTATTCTCACACCACAGCTGGAGAACCTGGTTTACTACAACCGGCTGAAGAACTCGAAGATTGTCATCAGTGACTTCCATCTGGCTAAGCTAGAAAATGGCCTCATCAAGGAGCCCTGTGGGACCCCCGAGTATCTGGGCAAGCAGGGGGTGGGGCAGGGGCAGGGGGATAATGGGGGGCAGCCTTCAGGGAGCTGCTCTGGGCAGGGGGAAAATGTGCTCATCTCAGGAAGCTGGTGTGGATGGTACTGGACCTGGCTAGGCCTGATACTGACCAGCAGATGGGCGCTGTGTTTGTAGCCCCAGAGGTGGTAGGCCGGCAGCGGTATGGACGCCCTGTGGACTGCTGGGCCATTGGAGTCATCATGTACATCCTGTGAGTGGACAGATGGACAAGCAGGCTTGCAGTCAGATGGGGTGGGGGCATGTGTCTGTGGCCTTTCTGTGTGACCCTTCCCCCATGCAGGCTTTCAGGCAATCCACCTTTCTATGAGGAGGTGGAAGAAGATGATTATGAGAACCATGATAAGAATCTCTTCCGCAAGATCCTGGCTGGTGACTATGAGTTTGACTCTCCATATTGGGATGATATTTCGCAGGCAGGTGAGGAGGTGCCTGCCCAGCACTTGGTAGAACGCAAGGGAGTGGGGAGGGTGTCCTGCTCTCATCTTCCTCTGTGGTATTCTGCTTCTGTCCCCCAGCCCATTTATCACCTCTAGACATTGAGATGGGGTGCCCATGACTATCCCCTTCTTGGTTTTGTCCACAGCCAAAGACCTGGTCACAAGGCTGATGGAGGTGGAGCAAGACCAGCGGATCACTGCAGAAGAGGCCATCTCCCATGAGTGGTGAGCAGGGTCCAGGGGAGGGTGGGAGAGGCCAGGGTCCCCCTCACACCCAGCAGCCCCATCTTTGAGGCCTGGAAGGGGTGCAGGTACCTAGAGCTCAGGGCAGCCCAGAGGCTCTGCCTGGTAGTCCCTGGATGCCACATAGAAGGGCTGAGCAGAGTCTCCACAAAGGCTCATTCTCTCAGATCCAGACACACTTGCACCCTTTCCAGGATTTCTGGCAATGCTGCTTCTGATAAGAACATCAAGGATGGTGTCTGTGCCCAGATTGAAAAGAACTTTGCCAGGGCCAAGTGGAAGGTAAGGCTTGGATAACTCCCTTCTTGGCTCTATCCCAAGTATTGCTTCTGGCACTCAGTTTCTTGCCTGCATCACACCCCTGCAGCCACACACAAGCTTTTCTCAGGCCATCAGGTGTGGGTGTAGCCACTGTGATTACCTTAAGTAGGAGTGCTGAGCAGCTGAGTACTTGGCCCTGGGGTGGATGGAGGTGGCCGGGGGTACTATGGAAGGAGTTTGGTTTGGTCACTGCCAAGCAATGGATCCAGCAAGCCTCACCCTTAGCCTTTCTCCACTGTGCTCCTTTCAGAAGGCTGTCCGAGTGACCACCCTCATGAAACGGCTCCGGGCACCAGAGCAGTCCAGCACGGCTGCAGCCCAGTCGGCCTCAGCCACAGACACTGCCACCCCCGGGGCTGCAGGTGGGGCCACAGCTGCAGCTGCGAGTGGAGCTACCTCAGCCCCTGAGGGTGATGCTGCTCGTGCTGCAAAGAGTGATAATGTGGCCCCCGCAGACCGTAGTGCCACCCCAGCCACAGATGGAAGTGCCACCCCAGCCACTGATGGCAGTGTCACCCCAGCCACCGATGGAAGCATCACTCCAGCCACTGATGGGAGTGTCACCCCAGCCACTGACAGGAGCGCTACTCCAGCCACTGATGGGAGAGCCACACCAGCCACAGAAGAGAGCACTGTGCCCACCACCCAAAGCAGTGCCATGCTGGCCACCAAGGCAGCTGCCACCCCTGAGCCGGCTATGGCCCAGCCGGACAGCACAGCCCCAGAGGGCGCCACAGGCCAGGCTCCACCCTCTAGTAAAGGGGAAGAGGCTGCTGGTTATGCCCAGGAGTCTCAAAGGGAGGAGGCCAGCTGAGTAGGCAGCCTGGTGAGGGGGGGCAGGGGATGGGCAGGAGGGTGGGAGAGTGGATGAGGGGCTTCTCACTGTACATAGAGTCACTGGCATGATGCCCTCGCTCCCCCATGCCCCCACATCCCAGTGGGGCATAACTAGGGGTCACGGGAGAGCAGTCTCGTCTCCTGTGTGTATGTGTGTGAGTGGTGGGCAGGCCAGTGGCAGGGCCGGCCCCAGCCCCTGCATGGATTCCTTGTGGCTTTTCTGTCTTTTGCTAGCTTCACCAGTTTCTGTTCCTTGTGGGATGCTGCTCTAGGGATACTCAGGGGGCTCCTGCTCTCCTTCCCCTTCCCTTCTTGCCTCACCATTCCCCTAGGCAGGCCCTGCAGGTCCCACACTCTCCCAGGCCCTAAACTTGGGCGGCCTTGCCCTGAGAGCTGGTCCTCCAGCGAGGCCCTGTCAGCGGTCTTAGGCTCCTGCACATGAAGGTGTGTGCCTGTGGTGTGTGGGCTGCTCTAGGAGCAGATACAGGCTGGTATAGAGGATGCAGAAAGGTAGGGCAGTATGTTTAAGTCCAGACTTGGCACATGGCTAGGGATACTGCTCACTAGCTGTGGAGGTCCTCAGGAGTGGAGAGAATGAGTAGGAGGGCAGAAGCTTCCATTTTTGTCCTTCCTAAGACCCTGTTATTTGTGTTATTTCCTGCCTTTCCGAGTCCTGCAGTGGGCTGCCCTGTACCCTGAACCTCATGAGCCTCTAAGGGAAAGGAGGAACAATTAGGACGTGGCAATGAGACCTGGCAGGGCAGAGTACAAGCCCAGCACCCAGTGTCCCAGCCTTACTGGGTCCTTACCCTGGGCCAAACAGGGAGGGCTGATACCTCCTTGCTCTTCCTAGATGCCCACCTCCTACAATCTCAGCCCACAAGTCCTCTCCACCCTAGGGGGCTTGCTGCATGGCAATAACTCATAATCTGATTTGGAGGTTTGCCCTTTACAGGGGCAGATTTTCTGCTCAGTTCAACAATGAAATGAAGAGGAACTCCCTCTTTCTACAGCTCACTTCTATCAGAGGCCCAGGTGCCTCAGAGCCACATTGAGTTGCTTTTTCTGGGATGAGGAAGTAGGGTTAAACTCCCCAGTTTCCTGAGGGAGGCTCCTGACAGGTGCCCTTTGTCAGACCCTACCACAGCCTGGATAGGCAGCCACATTGGTCCTCGCCCTTGCTCGGCACTCCGTGGTGGTCCTGCCCTTCTCCCTGCATGCCTGTGGGTCTGCTCTGGTGTGTGAAGGTCGGTGGGTTAACTGTGTGCCTACTGAACCTGGCAAATAAACATCACCCTGCAAAGCCTCTGGCCACCCTCTCGCCTTTGCTTCCTCTGTCCTACTGGGGAGGAGCCCCTGGAAGGCAGTGGGGAAGGGAGAGGCTGGGAGCAGGTTCACAAGTAGTGGCTGGGAGTAGTAGTGAACAGTGCCCTGTGGATTTCTTGGGCTGAGGGTGAAGATCATCCTCACCACAGTGTATTCCTCAATGGTGGTGGTGGTGGGGGTCCTCTGAACTCTAGAAATCCATGTGAGTAGTGGGTCTTGGGCTGCATTTGGACCAAGGAATACTCCCTGGGCTGAGAGCTCAAGTAAGGGCTGCTGTTTTTGACTCCTGTTGACCGAGGAGCCTTACTCTTGATTTAGGCATAGAGCTGGAATCTACCTGGGCCAGCCACCGCAAGGACAGACCCTGCTCATAGCCAAAGATAGCTTCCCTGAGCTAGGGAGAGGGTGTAGGGTGAGCAATGCACAAAGATTCTATGCTGCTCTGTGTTGATTCCTTCTTTCTGTGAACACCTGTGCTTTCCACCTATGCCCCAAATGAAATCTCACTCTGGGTCTATTTCAGCTGGAGCAGATCAGCTTTATATTATGGGACTATGCACAGGGTTTCTTCTGGGTAGAGGGAGTAACACTGCCACAGATACTAAGCCTAAAAACCCAAAAGTTGACTTACTCCAGCCCAGGTGGGCCTGGGTGAACTCACCAGGGATGCTGCTCTCTGGGAGGACCTCAAAGATAACCTCCTCAAAGATAACTTCTCTGATGTGGGAATAATAAAAAGGATTTGTTAGTCTCTAGTCTTTGAAGCATCTGGGCCTCCAAAATTCCAACCCTACTACAGTCTCAAGCATAACTGATCCTCCTGAGAGCTAAGAGCTAAAGTCAGGGTACTGGCCCTAGTGTCTCCAAACTCAAGGATAGTCATATCTTACTTGGATGAAGCCAAGGTTGGCCTGGGGTGACCTGAGGGACTGGGGCCTATGTGTCCATCTTTCTAGAATCGCCCGGAACTGAGGACTGAGAGGGTAGGGTATTGTGGTCTATGGGAACTACAGACCATAGCGCATGGTCCATCACTGTCCAGAGCCCAAGGGACCCATCGGGACCATTGTTCTATTCCCTTGCGGCTGCGGTTTTCTCTGCCTTGGCCCAGCCTGCCTCGCGCCAGCTCTGGCATGGGACCACAATGCGCTGCCTTGCCCTGGAAAAGGGTCCAGCTGGCAGCCTCGCTGCTCCCCGCCTTGATATAATGCTGCGCTCTCAAGTGGCAGGTCGAGTCTCCCCAGAGGACGCCTGAGAGCGACCGCGCTCCGCCCAGGATTCTCTACGGCCTCGGGGCCGCTAAGCCCCGCCCATAGTTCCGCCCATCCGAGAATTTGTCCAATCCAGGCGAAGTATTCACGCTCCGCCCAAAGTTTTGTGTTGTCACTTCCGGCCCGCTCCAGGAAGTCGTGCTGCGGAGCCAAATTTGAAGCAAGCGGAGGCGCGGGGGCGCGTCTACGAAGCCGGACCTGTAGCAGTTTCTTTGGCTGCCTGGGCCCCTTGAGTCCAGCCATCATGCCTATCCGTGCTCTGTGCACTATCTGCTCCGACTTCTTCGATCACTCCCGCGACGTGGCCGCCATCCACTGCGGCCACACCTTCCACTTGCAGTGGTGAGTGACTGCAGTGTTGGGGCCCGGTGTTTGCCCGGGTACCGCTTCAGGGCCTTGAGGTGTTGGGCCTCCAGGCGGTCCAACCCCGGAATCCAGACAAGTGATGAGAACCTTCCTCCTAGACGAGGCCCCACGGGAGCTTCCCAACCTGGGCAGAAGTGGGTCAGGACAGGCTTTCTGGTAGAGGTGATAGCTGAGCTAAGCCTGAGGGGGACTAAGATGGCTCAGTGAAGATAGATGCTTCCTTGATCACCTATACAAACAGATGTGATTTCAAAACCGTTAGCCTGGGCAAGGGTGAGCTTTCACCACATCAACAAGTCCTTTTATTTCTTCCAGATAGAAACCTGCTAGGCTTCTGGCTACCCAAGAGAGTTTGCTGTGCCTTACTTGATGGTTTGGAATTATTCTACCCAGAGTCATCTCACTGTCCAGACACCCCAATGTATTCGCCATGTCAGCAAACCCGTTTAACATGGGGAAGGCAAGGAGATGCTCCCCTATCCAGGGGTCCTGCTGACCGTGTAGGGCCATTCTGTTGAGTGTACAGCTAGTGGGGAAAGATTCCCCTAGCAGATGTGGACAGGCCGGTTTGGACCTCCTAGCAAAAGAGATAAGGCAGCGTTACCCCTGGGAATGGTGGGTGATAATAATCACAGGGTCTTGTGGGGCTAAAGGCCCTAGGAAGCAGAAAGGCAGGCATGACACTGATGGCTGCTGGCTTACTTGCAAAGCTTTGTTTAGGCCTGTGTTGCTGACAGCCTGAGCCCCATGCTGAGGGAGCCACTGCTGTTTGGTTAGACTAGAAATTAAGCTCGCCTCTAAGCGTACTCTATTTTCTGTTTGCCTACTCTATTTTCTTCTATCCTTTTACTTTATTTATTTATTTTTATTTTATTTTATTTTTGAGATGGAGTCTCGCTCCTGTCGTGTAGGCTGGAGTGCAGTGGCGTGATCTCGGCTCACTGCAACCTCCACCTCCTGAGTTCAAGTGATTCTCCTTCCTCAGCCTCCCAAGTAGCTGACATTACAGGCGTGCGCCACCACGCCCAGCTAATTTTTGTGTTTTTCATAGACAGGGTTTCTCCATGTTGGCCAGGCTGGTCTCGAACTCCTGACTTCAGGTGATCCACCCACCTTGGCCTCTCAAAGTGCTAGGGCCTATCCTTTTACTTTAAACTTTTCTGTGTCCTTGTGTTTTACATGTATCCCTTGAAACAGCATTTATTTCTTTTTTTGTATATTAAAAAGTACTTTAGCTTACTGCAAAGATCTTTATTTTATTTTATTTTGAGACAGGGTCTCACTCTGTTACACAGGCTGCAGTGCAGTGGTGCCATCTCGGCTCACTGCAGCCTCTACCTCCTGGGCTAAGGTGATTCTCCCATCTTAGCCTCCCAAGTAGCTGGGACTACAGGCGCCTGCCACCATGCTTGACTATTTTTTTTTTTTTGTATTTTTAGTAGAGATGGGGTCTTGCTATGTTGCCCAGGCTGGTCTTGAACCCCTGGACTCAAGTAATCCACCCACCTCTGCCTCCCAAAGTGCTAGGATTACAGGTGTGAACCACCGCACCCAGCCTTGGAAAACAACATTTAGTTGGACTTTTAAAAATCCAGTCTGATAATCTTTGTATTTAACTGGACCATTTAGTCTACTTAAAATTGTTGCAATTACTGATTAAATAAAGAGTAAACATATTGTCTTTAGTCGATTCTGTTTTGCCTTGCCTATTATATCTTATTGTCTCCTTTCTTGCCTTGGTAGGAATTGGTTAAATATTCTGTATTTCTCCATTTTTCCCTCAGTTAGTTGGGTCGTTATATACCCCATTTCCATTTATAAGTGGTTATCCTAGAAATTAAGGTATGTATCCTTAACTTACCAATTTCAAGGTTAATCAACACCTTTCTCATTTTCCCAGGCAACTCAAAGAGCTTAGAATACTAACATTCTTTTCCCACTTCTACGTTATTGTTGAATATTTTAATTGTGTGTATGTGTGGTATTTTTTTCGTTGGTGTTATTTTTGAGACAGAGTCCTGCTCTCTTGCCCAAGCTGGTCTGCAGTGGTACAATCTCTGCTCACTGCAGCCTTGACCTCCTGGACTCAAGCGATCCTCCTGCCTCAGCCTCACAACTAGCTGGGACTACAGGTGCATGTCACCATGCCCAGCTAATTTTTGTTTTTTGTAGAGACAGGATTTCGCCATGCTGCCCAGGCTGGTTTGAAACTCCTGTACTCAAGTGATCCACCCTCCTTGGCCTGCCAAAGTGCTGGGGTTTACAGGCATGAGCCACCACGACCGGCCAATTGTATGTTTTTAAGTAAAGTTTTTGTTTGGAATAATTTTTTTTTTTTTTTGAAACAGGATCGTGCTGTGTCGCCCAGGCTGGAGTTTATAATTGTTTCTTCTTGCAGGATTGAACTTTTTTTAAATGTTCTTCTTTGTCCTTCTTTGTCTCTTGTAACTTTAATTCAAAGTCTGTCTTGCCTAATTTTTTTTTTGAGATGGAGTCTCGTTCTGTGGCCCAGACTGGAGTGCAGTGGCGCAATCTTGGCTCACTGCAACCTCTGCCTCTTGGGTTCACGTGATTCTCCTACCTCAGCCTCCCGAGTAGCTGGGATTACAGGCACACACCACTGTGCCTGGCTAATTTTTTTTGTATTTTTAGTAGAGGCAGAGTTTCACTATGTTGGCCAGACTGGTCTCAAACTCCTGACCTCGTGATCCGCCCACCTCGGCCTCCCAAAGTGCTGGGATTACAGGCGTGAGCTACCGTGCCTGGCCTATCTTGTCTAATTTAAAGTCCATTTTATCTGCTATTAGTATAGCCACTTCAGCTGTCTTTTGGTGACTGCATGGTATATCTTTTTTCATCTGTTTTATTTTATTTTATTTTATTATTGTTTTTAGAGACAAGGTCTCGCTATGTTAGCCAGGCTGGTCTCAAACTCCTGGCCTAAAGCAATCCTCCTGCCTTGGCCTTCCAAAGTGCTGGGAATACAGGTGTGAGCCACCACACTCGGCCCTTATCCAACTTCTAGCTTCCGTTGTAGCTATTGAAGTCAGATTTTAGTTTATCAGTTACTCCTTTAAGCATACTTTGGAACTTTATCCTCAGACTCTCATTACCTTTAGAATTTTCTCTGATTTTGGCTTTCTGCAGTTTTGGTATAGTGTATCCAATATGAATTTCTTTTTACCTTTTTCTTTTCTTTTTTTTTTTTTTGAGACAGAGTCTTGCTCTGTTGCCCAGGCTGGAGCACAGTGGGACAATCTCAACTCACTGCAACCTCCACCTCCCTGGTTCAAGCAATTCTCCTGCCTCAGCCTCCCGAGTAGCTGGGACTAAAGGCACGTGTCATCATGCCCGGCTAAATTTTGTACTTGTAGCAGAGACAGGGTTTCACCATGTTGGCCAGGCTGGTCTCGAACTCCTGACCTCAGGTGATCTTCCCACCTTGGTCTCCCAAAGTGCCGGGATTACAGCCATGAGCCATTGTGCCTGGCCGAATTTCTTTTTACAAATTCTGCTCGGGATTCATTAGATTTCTTTAACGTGTAGAGCAATTTCTTTCTTTCTTTCTTTTTTTTTTGAGACGGAGTCTCGCTGTGTCACCCAGGCTGGAGTGCAGTGGCACGATCTTGGCTCACTGCAAGCTCTGCCTCCCGGGTTCACGCCATTCTCCTGCCTCAGCCTCCCGAGTAGCTGGGACTACAGGCGCCTGCCACCATGCCCAGCTAATTTTTTGTATTTTTAGTAGAGATGGGGTTTCACTGTGTTAGTCAGGATGGTCTTGATCTCCTGACCTCATGATCTGCCTGCCTCGGCCTCCCAAAGTGCTGGGATTACAGGCGTGAGCCACCGCGCCTGGCCGTGTGGAGCAATTTCTTTAATCAGTTCTGGAAAATTATCAGCCATTATCTCTTCATATATTGCCTCTATTCCATTAACTTTTTTATCCTGTGTTATTATTTATTTTTGAGGTAGAGTCTCGCTCTGTCACCCAGGCTGGAGTGCAATGGTCCGATCTCGGCTCACTGCAACCTCCACCTCCTGGGTTCAAGCAATTCTCCTGCGTCAACCTCCCGAGTAGCTGGGATTACAGGCGCTCGCCACCGTGCCTGGCTAATTTTTGTATTTTTAGTAGAGACGGGGTTTCACCATGTTGGCCAGGCTGGTCTTGAACTCCTGACCTCGTGATCTGCCCGCCTCGGCCTCCCAAAGTGCTGGGATTACAGGCGTGAGCCACTGCACCTGGCCTACCTAAAGTCTTTGTGGGCATTTCTTCTGGTTTGTTTTCATAGTGCTTTTTTTTCTTGTGTACCTGTTTACTTAAAAAAATGTTTTTTTGGCTGGGCGCGGTGGCTCACAACTGTAATCCCAGCACTTTGGGAGGCCGAGGCTGGTGGATCACGAGGTCAGGAGATCGAGACCATCCTGGCTAACATGGTGAAACCCCGTCTTTACTAAAAATACAAAAAAATTAGCCGGGCATGGTGGCGGGCGCCTCTAGTCCCAGCTACTTGGAAGGCTGAGGCAGGAGAATCGCTTGAACTCAGGAGGTGGAGGTTGCAGTGAGCCGAGATTGCACCACTGCACTCCCGCCTGGGTGACAGAGCGAGACTCAGTCTTAAAAAAAAAAAAAAGTGTTTTTTTGGCTAGGCATGATGGCTCACCCCTTTAATCCCAGCACTTTGGGAGGTGGCTGGATTGCTTGAGCCCAGGGGTCCAAGACCAGTCTGGGCAACACAGTGACACCCCATCTCTACAAAAAAGTGAAAAAAATATAAATTACCTGGGCATGATGGCCTGTGCCTGCAGTCCCAACTACTTGCAAGGCTGAGGCAGGAGGATCGCTTGAGCCTGGGAGGTTGAGGCTGCAGTGACTCATGATTGTGCTGCTGCACTCCAGCCTGGATGACAGAGTGAGACCCCATTTCAAAAAAAGAACATTTTAAAATTGAAGTATAATATAGTTCAGAAAAGTACACATATTCTAAGTATATGGCTTACAGAATGTTTACAAATTGAACATATCTATGCAGCCAGAATTCAGATCAAGAAACAGGGTATGGCTGGGCGTGTTGATTCACGCCTGTGATCCCAGCACTTTGGGAGGCTGAGGTAGGCAGATTGCTTGAGCCCAGAAGTTCTAGAACAGCCTGAGCAACATGATGAAATCTCTACTAAAAACACAGAAAATTAGCCGAGCATAGTGGCATGTGCCTGTGGTCCCAGCTACCCAGGATGCTGAGGTGATCATCACCTGAGCCTGGGAGGTAGAGTCAGCTGTGAGCCATGATTGCTTTACTGCATTCCAGCCTGGGTGACAGAGTGAGACCCTGTCTCGAAAGTCCCCCCACCAAAAAAAAAAAAGAAAACAGGAAAACGCAGGCTATTGGCCGGGCATGGTGGCTCATGCCTGTAATCCCAGCATTTTGGGAGTCCGAGGCGGGTGGATCAGGAGTTTGAGAGCAGCCTGGCCAACATGGTGAAACCCTGTCTCTACTAAAAAAATATAAAAATGAGCTGGGCATGGTGGCGTGCACCCGTAACCCCAGCTACTCGGGAGGCTGAGGCAGGAGAATTGCTTGAACCTGGGAGGTGGAGGTTGCAGTGAGCCGAGATCGTGCCACTGAACTCCAGCCTGGCTGACAGAGCAAGACTCTGTCTCAAAAAAAAAAAAAAAAAAAAAATGCAGACTATTATCAGCTCTAGAAACCTTCTAGAAACCTCCTTATATGCTCTTCCAACCCCTACCAACACCTCCCTCCACCTCCCCATATTAAGATAGCTACTGTCTTGACTTTGAGAGCATAGATGAATTTTGCCTACTTTTTTTTTTTTTGAGACAGAGTCTCACTATGTCCCTCACGCTGGAGTGCAGTGGCGTGATCTCGGCTCACTGCAACCTCCACCTCCCAGGTTCAAACGATTCTTCTGCCTTAGTCTCCCAAGTAGCTGGGATTACAGGCGTGCGCCACCACACCCGGCTAATTTTTCTATTTTTAGTAGAGACGGGGTTTCACCATGTTGGTCAGGCTGGTCTCAAACTTCTGACCTGATGATCCACCCGCCTCGACCTCCCAAAGTGCTGGGATTACAGACGTGAGCCACTGGGCCTGGCCTGCCTACTTTTAAACTGTGTAAATAGAATCATACAAAATATAACTTTTTGTATCTGGCTTCTCTTCCTCAGTGTTATGTTTTTGTGATTTATTCATAATATTGTTCTTAGCTGTAGACTCATTTATTCTTGCTGTGTAGTATTCCACTGCGCCTGGTTACTCTTGATTATATGTTGTACATGGTATTTGAAAACTTATGGGAATTTTAGCTGGGCATGGTGGTGCACGCCTGTGGTCCCAGCTACTCGGGAGGCTGAGGTGGGAGGATTGCTCGAGCCTGGGAGGCGAAGGTTGCAGTAAGCCAAGATCACACCACTGCGCTCCAGCCTGGGTGACAGATTGAGACCCCATCTCAAAAAAAAAAAAAAAAAAAAAAAAGAAAAGAAAAGAAAATGTACTTATAGGAATCTTTGAGGCCAGGATGATGGTATCATTTTCCAGAGAGGACTTAGTTTCTCCCTGGTCCCTAGGAGTAGGGGAGTCTACTAGTAGGAGACTAATTAAAGTTTAAGGCTTGAGCTTTGCTGGACCACCTGCATAGATGATGCAAAGCTCAGCTGTGTTTTGCTTTTACCACTACTTACTTTTTTTTTTGAGATGGAGTCTCGCTCTGTCGCCCAGGCTGGAGTGTAGTGGCACAATCTCAGCTCACTGCAATCTCCGCCTCCCAGGTTCACACCATTCTCCTGCCTCAGCCTCCCGAGTAGCTGGGACTACAGGTGCCTGCCACCACGTCCGGCTAATGTTTTGTATTTTTAGTAGAGATGGAGTTTCACCATGTTAGTCAGGATGGTCTCAATCTCCTGACCTTGTGATCTGCCCGCCTCGGCCTCCCAAAGTGCTGGGATTACAGGCGTGAGCCACTGCGCCCGGCCACTCTTTTTTTTTTTTAATTAAAAAAATTTTTTTGATTGGGCACAGTGGCTTATACCAATAGTTCCAGCACTTTGGGAGGCTGAGGTGGGAGGAGCACTTAAGCTCAGGAGTTGAGACCAGCTTGGGCAGCACAGTGAGACCCTGCCTCTATTCTGTAAAAAACAAAAAAACAAAAAATTTAATTTAAAAAAATTTTATGGCTGGGTATGGTGGCTCATACCTGTAATCCCAGCACTTTGGGAGGCTGAGGCAGGTGGATCACTTGAGGTCAGGAGTTCAAGACCAGCCTGGCCAACATGGTGAAACCCTGTCTCTACTAAAAACAAAAATTAGCTGGGCGTGGTCGCGCATGCCTGTAATCCCAGCTACCTGGGAGGCTGAGGTAGGAGAATCGTTTGAACCAAGGAGGCGGAGTTTGCAGTGAACCAAGATCGTGCCACTGCACTCCAGCCTGGGCGACAGAGCAAGACTCCACCTCAAAAAAAAAAAAAAAGTTATGAGTACATAGTAGGTATACATATTTATTGGGTTTATGAGATATTTTGATGCAGGGATACACTGTAATAATCACTTCAGGGTAAACAGAGTAGCCATCACCTCAAGCATTTATCATTTTTTTGTGTTACAAACATTCCTATTCTTTTAGTTACTTTAAAATGTACAGTAGATTATTGTTGACTGTAGTCACTCTGTTGTGCTATCAAATACTAGATTTTATTCCTTATATCTAACTTTATTTTTGTACCCTTACTTACTTTTATTTCTGGTTGATCCTTACCTTGAAAGTGTAGTCTTTGGGATTCCAGCTTAAAATGGGGGTGTTATCAGAGTCCTCATCTCTGAGGGCCCCTGAGCTTCGACTATCATCTCTCCCAACCCCAGTCAAAGCCCAGAATGTTGCCTAAAGGACAGCTTTTGGCCAAGCCAACAGGGCCAAAAAAAGGGCCAGCTGGTTGGAGTCCTGAGTACCCATCAGGCCTTGCGGGAGGTGCTGTAACTGCCTATGCTACTGTCCTCTTATTTGGGCAGGCATTGGGTCAAGGAGGAGCAGAACAGACCCTTTCGTGGTCAGAATGTTTGCCTGGCTTATGTCCCCAGACAAACCAGGGCTCATCAGTCTATTGTTCTGCTTTTCATTCCAGCCTAATTCAGTGGTTTGAGACAGCACCAAGTCGGACCTGCCCACAGTGCCGAATCCAGGTGAGAGTATTGGGGTGGGACCACCTCAACTGAAGAGATCTCCTTAGCAGAGAGCAGGAATGTGAAAAGAGCTCTGAAACTGCAATATCTCTGACCTTTTTTGGACCCTCCTGGTTTAAGGCCAGTTGAGCCTCACTTGTGCCCTTGAGTGTTTGGGAGGTCTGCTTACACCCACAGGTAGCTGGCAGATGGACTTGTTGCCTGGGCCAGTTTTCACTTGGGTAGATTTGGCTGGCCTCCTTCCCTGTCTTTTCATCAGTGACTCCGCACCTAGAGTTCAGGTATCTTTTGAGCACTTAACCGTGTAGGTCTGTAGTAATATGACTTCAGTGACCACGAAACCAGCAGCCCCAACTTGGGGTACCTGCAGGAGTAAAGAGGTCTTTTGACTCTAAAGGATGTACTTTGAAAAATTAGGTCTGAGAACAGGCCTGACATGCATGTCAGGCAGGTAGTCAGACCCATGTACAACACTCTCCTCCTTGCGCATGACCCAGCTACACAATCATACTCTTACCTTGTTCTCCCATCCAGGTTGGCAAAAGAACCATTATCAATAAGCTCTTCTTTGATCTTGCCCAGGAGGAGGAGAATGTCTTGGATGCAGAATTCTTAAAGGTACCCAGAATTTATCTGATTCTACTGAACTCCAAGCCTTGTGCGAGTTCACTTTTCTTTTTTCTTTTCTTTTCTTTTTTCTCTTCTCTTCTCTTCTCTTCTCTTTTCTCTTTTCTTTTCTTTTCTTTTCTTTTCTTTTTTTAGAGACAGGGTCTTACTTTGTTGCCCACACTGGAGTGCAGTGGTGCAATCATAGCTCACTATAACCTCAAACTCCTGAGTTCAAGGGATCTCCCCACCTCAGCCTACCTAGTAGCTAGGACTGTAGGGGTGCACCACCATGCTCGGTTAATTTTTTTATTTTATTTATTTATTTATTTATTTATTTATTTATTTATTTATTTTGAGATGAAGTCTCACTCTGTCACCCAGGCTGGAGTGTAGTGGCGTGATCTTGGCTCACTGCAACCTCTGCCTCCTAGGTTAAAACAATTCTCCTGCTTCAGCCTCCCGAGTAGCTGGGACTACAGGCACGTGCCACCATACCCGGCTAGTTTTGTGTTTTTAGTACAGACGGGGTTTCACCTTGTTGGCCAGGCTGGTCTCGAACTCCTGACCTGAAGTGATCCACCCACCTCGGCCTCCCAAAGTGCTGAGATTGCAGGCGTGGGCCACCGTGCCCAGCCCTAATTTATAAAAAAAAATTTTTATAGAGATAGGGCCTTGCTATGTTACCCAGGCTGGTCTTGAACTCTTGGGCTCGAGCAATCCTCCCACCTTGGCCTCCCAAAGGGCTGAGATTACAGGCATGAGCCACTGTGCCTGGCCTGGGAGTTCACTTTCTATTTCCACATAAGTGGAGGGTTCCTGGAATATGGAGATGAAGTTATAGAGGTGAGACTTGGTACAGTTTTCAAGGTGGGGACACAAAAATCAGAGGACAACTGATGAGACACAGTCATCAGAGAAATGCACTGTGAGGGAAGAGGGGAGCTGCTTGACTGTAAACCCTCCCTTTGGGATTTCAGGTCAATTCCAACCTGAATTCTCTCCTGCGGTCTTGTCTCCTCATCTTTTAAAGAACCTACAGCCATCCTGTACAGCCTACTTTGCTGCTTGGACAGTTAGTGACAGATTAGAAAACTCTTCTACTCCCCAGCCACGGGAGATTTTTGGATTCAGTGTTCCCTAGCCTGCCTGTGCCTCAAAATTGCCTGGGGAGGCTGGGCGTGATGGCTCACACCTGTAATCCCAGCACTTTGGGTGACCAAGGTGGGCAGATCACTTGAGCCCAGGAGTTCAAGACCAGCCTGAGCAACATGGGACCCCATCTCTATTAAATAAAAAAAGTTAAAAGAAAAAAAATTGCCTAGGGAGCTTGGTATAAAGTCAGATGCCTGGGCCTTCCCCAGACCAGAGCTCTTGGAATCAAGAGTTGCAGCTCAGGTGGGAATGGATATATTAGGGGAAAGTGGGTAGTTTCCCTCCTATACGTCTAACTGCTTCCCCTCCTAATCTAAAATTTAGCTTTTTTTGTGTGCAAGCAGGCTGCGTTGGCAGAGAACTCTTGAGGAAGTTGGATTTGGGTTCACAAATGATCCCTGGACTCTGAGGGTTAATTTGCTGGATATCTGTCAGATCAGAGTTCATTTGGCTCTGGCCCCAGGGTGTCATGATGTCCTTGGAACCTCACTGCTTCAGGAACATGGAGCTTTTGTGCTTAGAGCAAGCATGTTCATCGTCATGGTAACTGCTCCCAGTTTTAAGTAGTGTCTTCCCTGTGATGAAGGCAACAAAGGCAGTTTCATTTATTTCCAGCTTTCAAAGCCAGGTTTGTGAGACAGGTAGCAACATCTTGGGTAGTTTGGAGCAAGGGCTTGGAAGCCCCTGCTGGAGTGTGGAAGAAGTCAGGGGACTATGGGTAGTGGTGCAGCAGCCATGTCCTGGTATCTGTTCTCAGGCAGCCCTTGCGTGCTCTTCCTTACCCACCACCTCCACTCCCAGCTGTTCAGCCTATGCTAACCAGCCCAGCCACCAGAAGCTCTTGCCCCCAGAGTCCTAGGTGGAGAGTTTGACAGTAGGGGCTTGTTTACCCACTGGGCCTGGGCCATACTATTGGTCACATGTGAAATTCTGAGTCTTCTGTTGATCTTAGACAAGTGATCTACAGTAAGGTTTGCCTGGATTCCATCTAGCTACCACCATGGACCCTTGGTCAAGCGTTTCAGTTTTGTAAAACCTTGGATTTCTTTGTTATGGAGCAGGCACCTCTCTTGCTCATGGGGATGTTGAGTTCTGTGGCATCCTGAACAGGAACTGGGTTCAATTCTGCCACAGCTTCTCAATGATTCTGTGGCATGGCTGTGAAACATTTGCAGGGGCTTTGAGAGGCTCACTTGATCCTCACAATAGTCTAGTTAGAGACTAGACACATGGGAGGTTTCATCCAGGGGTACAAAGCTGTCCTGGCATAGCTACCTCCATTGGATACTAGGTCTGGAAGGTTTGTGGTACACAGAGCCAGTTCAGAGCTTGGAGGAAAGTCGACTATGAATCAGGAAGACCCAGGGTGGAGAGGAGGAGTAGTCGCCCAAGGTCCTTGGCCATTCCTATTGTGTGTCCCTGGTGAGTCAGCTGATGCCCAGAGGGAATGAGACCAACATAGAGCGATGAGGCCAAGGAAGTGATAGAAACTTCTGCTATGGAGACTGATCACAGGGGCCCTACTTTAACTTCCCTTCCACTATTCTACCTCTTTACCTGTCCTGGGGCCTTGCCCCTGAGATTGTTTTCCTCCATCTTACCTACTTTTCAAAAGGGCACATAGAGCTACAGCAGTGCTTATCTTTCCATTGTTAGCTTAGCTTGGCCTTGAGGCACTGCAGGATTCATGCCCTAGAAGGCCTCATTGTTCAATCCTGGGGCTCCCCACAGCCTTATGGGAGACCACGTGGAGGTCAGCTATGATGCTTTCCTGCTGCTTATTGTGGGTATTGCCTTTCAGAATGAACTGGACAATGTCAGAGCCCAGCTTTCCCAGAAAGGTGAGTTAGCAAGAGACGAGGGGTGCTGGGAAGCCCCTGACTTGGATGCTGGAGGAAGGGGGCCCTAGGAGGAAGGTTTCAAACCGTTTGGGAGAGCCAGGGCCTTTCCCTGCTTTGTATGTCCAAGAGTCCTGCTAGCTGTTGTGGTGGGCAGAAAAAGAGAGGGAAGGGAGGTGACTGAAGCTGTTCACCTAGACCAGGTGAGCCTCTTGTCTCTGAGTGCAGCTTCTTGCCCAGGAACCAAGATGGGAGGGGGTTACCTGATGGGACTGAATATCTTCGGGAGAGGGCTCAGCTGCTGAGTTTGGCTGGAACCTGCTTGAGTCCTGGGTTGATGAACTAACTGGACCCATGGCAGGTAGGGAATGGGCAGTAAAATATTTTCCTAAGTAGTTCAAGCAGCAGAAGGTGGGCTTTTCCCTGAATGAAGGCTCTGGCTCAGCTTCTCTGGTTTGGCACATCCCAGAGAAAGAAGCGGGCCACCCAGCTTTCAGGCCTGAGCCTTGTTTCTCACCTGCCTAAGGGATGAGGCACTGAATCCAAGGGCCCAAGTTCTTCTGCTGATGGATGGACAGGCCTTTCCCTTTCCTCCGCCCTCTACCCCTGCTCCAGACAAGGAGAAACGAGACAGCCAGGTCATCATCGACACTCTGCGGGATACGCTGGAAGAACGCAATGCTACTGTGGTATCTCTGCAGCAGGCCTTGGGCAAGGCCGAGATGCTGTGCTCCACACTGAAAGTAGGTCCTCAGGTTTTATGGGTACAGAATTCATAGGGAGGTATTGCCCCAGAACTGGACTCCCCATTCTGGGCTTATCTTCTGGTTCTGCTCCAGTCATCACCTTGGTTTGGGGAGTTGTAAAATAGAGGCAAATCACTTCTTCCCCTTGCCCTTCCATACTGTACCCATCCATCCCATAAGAAAAGGGCCATATTGGCTATACTTGTGGGTTTTGTACTAGGTAGTTTGAAGAGTCAAGGCCTTCCCAGTACCTCACAGAGGGGATGCTCAACTAAGACCTCAGTGAGGCTGGGCCATATTTCCGAAAGTGGTTCATACTCTACTGATGAGGCCAGCCTGAAGAACCTTCCATTAGCACTCTAGTCCTTGGCTGGGCTGCTCTCCTGAGCCAGATCAAACAGCATCCTAGGGAGGAGCAAGGGCCTTTGAAGTCAGCTGTGCTGAGCTGACCAACCAGATCAAAGTCTGCAGAGTGAACAGCCTTAGACCCAGATGAATTTTGCATCAGCCTGGGTTGGTGAGCCTCTTGCTCTCCAAGGGGCATGAGAGGCGATTGATCTGAACCCACGATTGATATTCTGGCCTTGTAGGCAGGAGCAGTCCTTGCTGGATGCCATTTGAAAGGGAAAGGGAGCCATCCTTGTGAACAGACAAGGCCCCAGGATATTCATTGTCTCTGTTCCTGCTTGGGGGCTGGGCTGGATCACATGGTCTGGCTGGTGGGAGGGAGCAAACTGGCACCTGGCTGCAGAGCAGGAGTCTCTCATGGTATTCTCAGGTCAGAGACAAGTGGTCTTAGGCTGAAGGCAGCCTGGCCAGCTTCCCCTGGCTCAATTATTCATTCTTGGCAACTGTCCATGGGTCTGGGTGTTGGATGGTGAGGCCTGGGTTTGTGCTCTGGACTTCTTCAGCCACCTGCACAACATGTACCATGAGGCCCAGACCACTGGACCTTGGCAGCCCACAGTGGGCCTGTAAATGCTGGCAGTGGGCTGTGTCTACTGTAAGATACCTTTCAGGAGGAAGCAGGCAGGGAGGTGAAGAAGCAGCTGGCTTAGAGCCTTTTAGAAGAAGAAGCACAAGCGAGAGTGGGACCCAGGAGCTTTACCTCCTGGGGTTTGGGAGTACATGGTTATCAGCATTTTCAAAACATAAGCTGCAGAGAGTTCTGGAGCAGAGTTTTCCTAGTGACTTTAGCAATGGCTCCTGAGGGCCTCCAAGCATCAGGTATGGGTGTATTTGCTCTTCAGAAGCAGATGAAGTACTTAGAGCAGCAGCAGGATGAGACCAAACAAGCACAAGAGGAGGCCCGCCGGCTCAGGAGCAAGATGAAGACCATGGAGCAGTGAGTTTGGAGCTGGGTCCTGCACTGTGCCTTTGCCCCCAGGGCCTGCAAGTGGTACAGTTCTTAGGACTGCAGCAGGGAGTGGGATTGGGTCATGTCCGAGGCTCAAATCTCCATAGGCCATGGAGGGCTCAGGTCAGCTGGGTGTGGGCACAGATCTTAGCCTCTATGAACTCTTCCCCCATTCCAAGGAATGGGAGCCCTTGCCACATTCCTCCCTGTCTCTGCTGCCTGTGGCCAGATGACCTGGTGGGTCTTTCCTTCCAGAAACCTCTCTCCAGGAAATCCCTGACCTTGAGACCCTCTTTCAGCACCTCTTCTTTCTCAGCAGCATCCTTGGAGCTATGCTCATCTCTGCCACAGGGCCTTTCCTTGGGCACACCCACCTACTAAAGCATCCTGGCAGCCTAGCCTGTTACCTTAGCAACGGCAGCAAAGGAAGGCAGAGCGGCACTGGGTACCTACCCATCAGCCTCCAGATTGCAAATGCCGTGGGCTGGGTGTATTTTTCAGGATTGAGCTTCTACTCCAGAGCCAGCGCCCTGAGGTGGAGGAGATGATCCGAGACATGGGTGTGGGACAGTCAGCGGTGGAACAGCTGGCTGTGTACTGTGTGTCTCTCAAGAAGTGCGTACTGTGGCCCCTCTCAGCAAACACAGGAGATAGGCCATGGGGCCCCAGCCGTGTCATTGCTCCCCATCTCTTGTAAAGCAGATGGAACTAAGGGGCAAACTCTGGAGCCATGCTGCCTTTGTTTGAACCCTGATTCCACCTTTCAGCAACTATGTGGCCTGCTGCCAGTTTCTTGGCCTCTTTGACCCTCAACTTCCTGAATGGAAATAGTAGTAGACCTGCCTCATAGGATTGTTGAGGATTTAGTGTGAATCTTAAGTGCTGTTTCTAAGGGAGTTGACCTAGCTCTCTGGGCTATAAGCCCCATTGTGATTGATATGTAGAGCCTGTTCCCCATTAGCACTATGATCCTGCCTGGCTGGGATCAAACTCTACTCATATTCTTCACTCTGGTGGGTGTAAGGTTGGCAGGAAGGGTGGAGGGCCACTTAGCTGAGAGGCATAGAGGGTCCAAGATGCCTCCTTTAAGACCAGGTGGTTTAGGGAGCCCCCTAGTGAGACTGGGGCTTTCTGCATGCCCTCTCAAGTCACCAGTGCCTGCAGGACAGGCAGGAGGAAATAGTCACTTCCTTGCATTCTCTGCAGGACCCTCCACAGTGCCACCTGGTACTTGTTGGGCTCAGGTGTCAAAGTAGGAATGAGAGTGAGTTGAGGGGTTGGGCAGTGCTTTGTGTTAGATTAGTGCTGTGGCTCAGTCTGACCTGCAGGTGTTCTTTTCTGGCATCTCTTTCCATGGCCACATTGCAGAGAGTACGAGAATCTAAAAGAGGCACGGAAGGCCTCAGGGGAGGTGGCTGACAAGCTGAGGAAGGATTTGTTTTCCTCCAGAAGCAAGGTAACTTAGCAGTGAACAGAGGTTGAAGGAGAAGTGGCTCTCCTTTTGTCATGTTCACTCTGGTCTCCTGAGCAAGGCCATGGGACCTGATGGCACAGCTGACTCCCTGGGGCAGCTGGAGGACTTACAGAAATTTGTTACCAGTCCTTACTGGGCATTGGCCTGAATATGTGGCTTGTCCACTAGGGGTGGACAGATCACAGAGGTATCCCCCAACATGTGGACACTGATGCTCCCCTCTGCTCTTCCTGGCTCCTGGGTACCTCTCAGCTGGCTGGAGAGCACAGGCCTCAAATGTGACAGCATCAGAGGCCTATTTTTGTACCACATCTGGAGTAGAAGGGCTCCTGGAACCTGATTCGGTCAGCACAGCTGCTTTTACTTCTGGCATGGTGCATCCACAGGCTGCAGGATGTAGGAAGCAGCCTTTGCTTCTAGGCAGCTCCGGATGTGCATTGCCAGACTGAGGCCTAGCCTCAGAGAGCTGGGATCTCTGCCCATATCTCTAGTCTCTTCTGGGCTACCTTGATCACTCCCTGGGGAGCAGCAGGAGGGGGCAGGGCACAAGGCTACCACTTGGCTTGTCTTTCATTCCCTACACTTTCTTATAGTTGCAGACAGTCTACTCTGAATTGGATCAGGCCAAGTTAGAACTGAAGTCAGCCCAGAAGGACTTACAGAGTGCTGACAAGGAAATCATGGTGAGGGACATCCCTGGCTTGACAGGAATGAGGGGTGGTTTGTGTGCCCTCCCAGAGCAGGGCTGGGCTATCTCTGCCCAGGACCCTTGCACCAGTCAGTGGTGGTTCTGGGCCCCTGCATCCTCCTGGGTCAGGGTGTGCCCCTTGGCCCTGGTCCGGACTGGAGCCTGGGCCTCCTCAACAGAGGGCAGACAGAACCATGAGTCTTCCCTCATAGTCTGTCCTGCACTTACATCCCTGAGGTCCCTTATCAGAGGAGGGGCTCTACCTGGGGCTTGGCCTCCTGAGCCTAATGATGAGGTATCAGGCCTTGCTCTGTTCCCAGTGGGCTGGCCTTTCATGCATGCTGCTCATGTCCTCTGCATTATCTCCGGACTTGATGCCTCAGCCTTTCTCTCACACACTTTTCTTTCCCTCCCCAAGAGCCTGAAAAAGAAGCTAACGATGCTGCAGGAAACCTTGAACCTGCCACCAGTGGCCAGTGAGACTGTCGACCGCCTGGTTTTAGAGAGGTTTGTTGAGCCTTGGGCGGTACAGGGGTCACAAGGTGGGAGAGCTTTCTGGTAACAGTCTTTACTCCTCCTGGCTTTGGTGGGGTGGGTGACCTCTGTGGACCTGATGTCTGCAGACAGCCTGCCCTGGGAGCCAGCCAAGATTTAGCTGGCAAGCAGCCTTGAAGCAAATTAGGCTCTGACACGGAGAGGCCAGAGAAGGCCAGAGGACCTAGAAGTGGTCTGAGAATAGGGCAGAAGCACTGACTGTCTTGGGGCATCCTGTTTATGGAGTAGCTCCCCACATTTATCTGTCCACCCCAGATTTTGAAACAAATATGAAACCACTGTAAAATAATTCCCTTAGTGCCAGGAGTGCGTGCTTTAAAGCTGCCAGCAGAGGGAGCCACGAGGCAGAAGGATTGGTGTCCCTGCAAGCATGGGCATCCATTTCTGCTCCTGAGAGTTTCACAGAAGCAGACTAGCTGAGAGCATCCTCAAGGCTACCTCCTGCCTGCCAAAAGTCCCCAGCAAGGACCCAGACAGAAAGCACACAACTCCTGTCAGTGGCCCCAGTCTTTTTTTTTTTTTTCCTTTTTCTTTTTTTAATGGAGTCTTACTCTGTTGCCAGGCTGGAGTGCAGTGGCACTATCTCGGCTCACTGCAATCTCTGCCTCCTGGATTCAAACAATTCTCCTGCCTCAGCCTCCTGAGTAGCTGGGATTACAGGCGCGCACCACCACGCCTGGCTAATTTTTTGTATTTTAGTAGAGACGGGGTTTCACCATGTTGGCCAGGATGGTCTCGATCTCCTGACCTCGTGAGCCACCTGCCTCGGCCTCCCAATGTGCTGGGATTACAGGCGTGAGCCACTGCGCCCAGCCCAGTCTTTAATCTTTTTTTTTTTTAGATGGAGTCTCACTCTGTTTCCCAGACTGGAGTACAGTGGTGCGATCTCGGCTCACTGCAACCTCCGCCTCCCAGGTTCAAGCGATTCTCCTGCCTCAACCTCCTGAGTAGCTGGGATTACAGGCATGTGTCACCATGCCCAGCTAATTTTTGTATGTTTTGGCAGAGACGGGTTTCACCATGTTGGCCAGGCTGGTCTTGAACTCCTGACCTCAAGCAATCTGCCCACTTGGGCCTCCCAAAGTGCTGGGATTACAGGTGTGAGCCACCGTGCCTGGTTGCTTTTGTTTACTTTCTTTACCTCTTCAGGGTGCTGGAAGGCCTGGACTCCTACAGCAGGTCCTTGATGAGTGCCCACTGCATGGCAGACCTTCTCTGTTCTCTTGGAGCTTATGTTCCAGTGGGATAGATGAGCTTGGAGCTTAGATGGCTAAGCCCACAGCCAACCAGCTATATACTACATTATAGAATCTGGTCTGTAGCTCCCAGTTGGGGACGGGCCCACCTCATTCTGAGTAAGCTTCATGCCAGGGCCTGCAGCCCATCTTGGTACAGGGAGGACAGCAATGGTCTCCCTTGGCTTTCAGGCCAGCAGGACACTAAACTTGACAAGCCTTCTTCTGTAAGCTGGGCTGGGCTTCTCATCAAGCCACATGAGGATGACTTCATTCATTTTTGTCTCCAGTATTTTTCTGGGCATAAATATTGAAGTGGTTGGCTGGGTGCATTGACTCATACCTGTAATCTCAGTGCTTTGGGAGGCCAAGGTGGGAGGATTGCTTGAGTCCAGGAGTTCAAGACCAGCCTGGGCAACATAGTGAGACCCTGTATCAAAAAACTTAAAACTTAGCCAAGCATGGTGGCACACACTTGTAGTTCTAGTTACTCAGGAGGCCAAGGCAGGAGGATCACTTGAGCCCAAGAGTCGAGCTATGATTGTGCCACTGCACTCCAGCCTGGGAGACAGAGTAAGACCCCGTCTCTCTTGGAAAAAAAAAAAAAGTCCGGGCGTGGTGGCTCACACCTGTAGCCCCAGCACTTTGGGAGGCTGAGGTGAGTGGATCACCTGAGGTCAGGAGTTCGAGACCAGCCTGACCAATATGGTGAAACCCCGTCTCTACTAAAAATAGAAAAATTAGCTGGGTGTGGTGGCAGGCGCCTGTAATCCCAGTTACTTGAGAGGTTGAGGCAGGACAATCGCTTGACCCTGGGAGGTAGAGGTTGCAGTGAGCCGAGATCGTGCCACTGCACTCCAGCCTGGGTGACAGAGAGACTCCGTCTCAAGCAAAAACAAAAAAAAATTACGGTGGCAGGTCTGTTTGTTTTTAGCAAAAGCCCTTCTTTTAACTAGGCATTAGGCAGCACCAGCACAGTCTATTCTTGTGTTTGTTTGTTGGTTTGTTTGTTGGTTTGTTTGTTTTGAGATAGGGCCTCATTCTGTTGCCCAGGCTGGAGTGCAGTGGTGTGATCACAGCTCACTGCAGCCTCAACCTCCTGGGCTCAGGTGATGTGATCCTGCCTCAGCCTCCTGGGTAGCTGGGACTAAAGTGCTGGGATTACGAGCGTGAGCCACCATGCCCAGCCTAGGCACAGCCTCTTCTAAACTCATAGCCTCAAACTCTCAAAAATAGTTGTTGAATCCTCAGCAACGGCATTGCCCTGTCTTCTTTGTGTTCTGATGGCAAGACCCTCAGAACTACAAGTGACCTCAAAGACTCTGCCTCTACCTTTCTCCTGTGACTGCTAATGTGTTACTACAGAGGTCTGGAAGAAGTCTTAAGTTTTCTTGGGCCACCTACTCGGGAGGCTGAGGTGAGAGGATCACTTGAGCCTGGGAGGTCAAGACTGCAGTAAGTGATGATCACGCCACTGCACTCTAGTCTGGGCGACAGAGTGAGACCTGTCTCAAAAAAAAAAAAAAAAAAAAAAAAGTCATGTCAAGGAAGATGGAAGAGTAGAAAGCTCCAGGAATCCATCTCTCCATGGCAACAGTTGATCTGGTTGAAACCATCTGAAGCAACCACTTTGGAAATCTGGTCTAGTAGAACATTTCCAGTATCCAGGGGAGAGGGTGATGAAGAAGCTGGTAAACTTCAGTAAATTTTCACTGTTCTCATAGCAGCTCCACCTCCTGGGCTCAAGTGGTCCTCCTGCCTCAATCTCCTGAGTGGCTGGGATTGACTACAGGCATGCACCACCACGCCCAACTAATTTTTTGTAGAGGCAGGGTCTCACTTATTGTCCAGGCTGGTCTTGAACTCCTGGCCTCAAGCGATCCTCCTGCCTGGGCTTCCCAAAGTGCTGGGTTACAGGCGTGAGCCACCGCTTTGCTTTGCTTTGCTTTGCTTTGCTTTTTCTTTTTCTTTTTCCTTTTCTTTTCTTTTCTTTTTTTTGAAACAGTGTCTTGCTCTGTTGCCTAGGCTGGAGTACAGTGGTGCAATCTTGGCTCGCTGCAACCTCCGCTTCCCGGTTGAAGAGATTCTCCTGCCTCAACCTCCCCAGTAGCTGGGATTATAGGCACGCACCACCATGCCCAGCTAGTTTTTTGTATTTTTAGTAGAGATGGGGCTTCACCATGTTGGCCAGGCTGGTCTTTAATTCCTGATCTCAAGTGATCTTCCCACCTCGGCCTCCCAAAGTGCTGGGATTATAGGTGTGAGCCACCACACCCAGCCACCACCATTTCTTAATTTAAAATTAGGAAAATTAATAAATCTCTGGCTGGATATGGTGGCTGTACTAAAAATACAAAAATTAGCCAGGTGTGGTGGTACACGCCTATAATCCCAGCTACTTGGGAGGCTGATGCACAAGAATGGCTTGAATCTGGGAGGTGGAGGTTGCAGTGAGCCAGAATCGTGCTACTGTACTCCAGCCTGGATGACAGAGCGAGACTGTCGCAAAAACAAAAACAAAAAAAAATTAAGAATTTTTTTTTTTTTTTTGAGATGGAGTCTTGCTCTGTAGCCCAGGCTGGAGTGCAGTGGCACGATCTCGGCTCACTTCAAGCTCCGCCTCCCCGGTTCACGCTATTCTCCTGCCTCAGCCTCCCGAGTAGCTGGGACTACAGGTGCCCGCCACCACGCCCGGCTAATTTTTTGTATTTTTAGTAGAGACAGGGTTTCACCGTGTTAGCCAGGATGGTCTCCATCTCCTGACCTTGTGATCCACCCACCTCGGCCTCCCAAAGTGCTGGGATTACAGGTGTGCGCCACCGTGCCCGGCCAAGAAGTTTCTTAAGTTTTTTAAGAAGCTTCTTAATTTTTATAACTTTTTACTGCAGCAGTATTTTTTATTGTAGTAAAATATAAACAAAACTCACCATTGTAACCATTTTTAAGTACATTTCTGTGGCATCAAGTACATTTAATTGCTGTGCAACCATCACCACCATCCCACTCCAGAATGTTTTCATCTTCCCAAAGTGAAATTCTATACCCATTAAACAATAACTCCCCTTTCCCCTTTCTCCTCAGCTCCTTCACTTACCATTCTTTCTGTCTCTATCAATTTGACTACTTTAGGAGCCTCATATAAGTGGACTCATACAATATTTGTCCTTTTATTACTGGCTTATTTCACTTAGCATAATGTCTTCAAGGTTTATCCATGTAGCATGTATTAGAATTTTCTTCCTTTTTAGGGCTGAATCAGTAATCATATTTAATTTTTTTTTGAGACAGGGTCTTGCTCTGTTGCCCAGGCTGGAGTGCAGTGGCACGATCTCGGCTCACTGCAACCTCCACCCCCTGGGTTCAAGGGATCCTCCCACCTCAGCCTTCCAAGTAGCTGAGATTACAGGCATGTGCCACAATGCCCAGTTAATTTATTTAATTTTATTTTTTGTAGAGATAGAGTCTTAATATGTTGCCCAGGTCAGTATTGAACTCCTGGCCTCAAGCCATCCTCCCACCTCAGCCTCCCAAATTGTTGGTATTACAGGCGTGAGCTACTGTGCCTGGCAGTATTCATGTTTTAAATTTGCAAGCATTCTTTCTTGCTCTTTGAGTATGTCTGTTTTGCAAAGCATCATGTTCTTGTTTTATGGTCTCATATTTCTGTTTGTCTCAGAGTCAGTATTTGTGCACCATGGACTTTTTCCTGGGCTCCCCTCCCATACCTGGTGGTCCTTGGCTACTTTGGAGGCCAACCTATGTGGGTAGGGTTTGGGGGGGATGTGCAGACTGCTGGCATCATGTTGAGTCTTACCTGAACCCAGGATGCAGAAGGCTTTACTGTTGGGTCCAATAATATTGGCTGCCCTAGGTCATTGTACATAGTTTGTTTAGTGTCTTTGAGAAAAGCTCTTCTATTTATTGGCCCAGGGCAGCAGCCTAACTGCCTAGTGTTCTACCAATGCAGATTAGGATGGGGTGGAGCCAAGCTCACAATTTCATCAGTGTTCCAGTTTTCAGGCCTGTTTAATGCTTTTGCAAGGCCCTCCCTTTCCTTCATGGACCCCCTCCTTGTGGGTTCTGGCTGCTGTGTCAGTCTCTTGTCCCCTGGCCATGCTTTGTCTCCCAGAATTTTTTGGAAATCTCTGGGGGCTGATGGTGGTTGCCCCTTCTACTTGTTGCAGTAGGATTACCCTTCATACCTGTCATTTTAGGGAGGCATCAGCATGTAGCCACCACCCCCAACTACAGAGTCAATGTTAGGAAGATCTCTCTCATGGGCCCCAAGGGCCCCTGAACTCCAGGCTAGAGACAGCCAGGGAGACCTTTCCTTAGGGTAGGGTAAGGCCGCCAGGAGCCATGAGTTCATGGAGGAGATGTTGACTAATCCCATGCCACGCAGGCAATGGGCTGCTCAAGGCCTTAGCTCTGTTCTGGAAAGGGGAGCTTTGAGTGTCTTGCCTGGCTCCCTGAGGCCTCTGGCATGAAGCCCTGTAACTTGACCATGGGTGGGTGTCCCAAGGGTGATAGTGTCACTCAGGAGGGCCTCAAGCCAGCCTCAACCAGTGAGGGAAGGACTACTAAGCCCTAGGTTCTTTCTCCTTGTAGGACAAACAGAAAGTGGGAAGGAAAGAAAGTGGACCCCTGGCAGAAAGGGAAATAGGCTTCAAGCTCATGAAGGAAGAAGAATATAGAAACAGTCTAAGACAAGGCCGGGCGCGGTGGCTCATGCCTGTAATACCAGCACTTTGGGAGGCCGAGGTGGGCAGATCACGAGGTCAGGAGAGCGAGACCATCCTGGCTAACACGGTGTAACCCCATCTCTACTAAAAATACAAAAAATTAGCTGGGCGTGGTGGCGGGCGCCTGTAGCCCCAGCTACTCAGGAGGCTGAGGCAGGAGAATGGCTTGAACCCGGAAGGCGGAGCTTGCAGTGAGCCGAGATCGCACCACTGCACTCCAGCCTGGGTGACAGAGCAAGATTCCGTCTCAAAAAAAAAAAAAAGAAACAGTCTAAGAGAGGAAGAAATGTGTCCATATGATCCAGATGTGGATATGGGGAGTGAGGGAGGCACCGTGAGAACCTCCTGAGTCTTGAGTTTAGTGTTGTGGATGACCAGGAGGTGCAAGTGAATAAGCCTGGCTTGCCTTGAGCTTGGGCACCACTAGGCAACGCCTTAGGGGATGGCTGGGAGTAGAAAGTCCTGCCTTGAGCCACCTGGAGGGTAAAATTTACAGGACCCAGCGAGATCCTGCCTTCCTCTTGAGTTTACCTTTCCTAACCTGAGCCTCAACTTGCTGGGGTTGGTAAATGGTGGCAGAATATGGATACTGCAAAAAAGTTGGCATGAGTGGTCCTGGCTGCTGTGGTTCCCAGAGGAGGAAGCAAAGCAGCCAGCCTAGAGTTGGTTTGAGGTGGGTTTGTGCAGTCTTCATTTTAACTTGCAGGCGGGGACAGAGGTAGAGCTTCTAGGGTCCTGGACAGGGAAAGGAAGAAATAGTCCAGGCTGCCTGGATTGCTTAGCCACCCAAATCAATGCAGGTAGGCTTCCTCCCTCTGATGTGTACACCCCAGTGGAAGTGGGATTGTGGTGCAGCTCTGAAAAGTTCCTGAGGAAGGAAAGAGAGAAGGCATCTTTGGAGCTACCCTTGCCATTCCCCAGGGTTCTCCTTGTATGACAGGAGGTGGGGAGCCCTGCCAGGTCTGGGTGGGCTGGAAGAATCCTGTCGGCTGTAGTTTTAATAGAATAAAACTTCACTCCCCACCCCCCACCCCCCCCCCCCCCCCGTGTTATAAAAGTAAAAA
This sequence comes from Homo sapiens, assembly GCF_000001405.40. Lineage (NCBI taxonomy): Eukaryota > Metazoa > Chordata > Mammalia > Primates > Hominidae > Homo > Homo sapiens. The sequence continues at coordinate 49,832,682 of NC_000003.12, read as the reverse complement.
CACACTCATTGAGAATTTGGAAAATAGGGAGTTATCATAGAGGTACTTATGGTTGACATGTGGAATATTTCCTTCTCCTTTTTCTGCATGTGGGAGTGGTGGGGGGGTGCCAAATCATGTAATTGCACTATACATGGAGTTTTGTGTGCTTTTTAAATTAAATTAAATTTAAACTTTTTTTTTTTTTTTTCCTGAGACGGAGTCTTGCTCTGTCGCCCAGGCTGGAGTGCAGTGGCGCGATCTCGGCTCACCGCAAGCTCTGCCTCCCGAGTTCAAGCAATTCTCCTGCCTCAGCCTCCCGAGTAGCTGGGACTACAGACACAAGCCACCACACCCAGCTAATTTTTGTATTTTTAGTAGGATGGGGTTTCACCATGTTAGCCCGGGTGGTCTTGATCTCTTGACCGCTTGATCCACCCGCCTTGGCCTCCCAAAGTGCTGGGATTACAGGCGTGAGCCACTGTGCCTGGCCGAGAGTAGGGCTCTCTTGAGGGGTGGCCTTGAGTCAGGAGTGGGCTCCAGGTCCCTGGAGCTGAGTTATCTCTGATGCTTCAGGAGCTGTTGTCCTGGGTTACCACTGTGGCCCCAAGTAACCAGGTCATCTCTGCCTTCAGCCCAGCCCCTGTGGAGGTGAATCTGAAGCTCCGCCGGCCATCCTTCCGTGATGATATTGATCTCAATGCTACCTTTGATGTGGATACTCCCCCAGCCCGGCCCTCCAGCTCCCAGCATGGTTACTACGAAAAACTTTGCCTAGAGAAGTCACAGTGAGTGATAGTCGCTGGCACTGTCCATGGGCTGGTAGGGGGATAGCTAAGACAGCTCTGCAGGCCCTGTGCTGTTAGCTCTGAGTGGCTGATGGGGCAGTGAGGGTTGCCTAGGCTTGGCCATGGCTTTGGTTCCAGCTACCTCTTGTTCCCTCACCTGAGCACTCAATCTGTGCAAACCCCTTCTCTTTTCTCATTATTCCTCACCATCACCTTTCAAGGCAAACGTATTGGAATGCAAGTTAGAGAGAATGCAGTGATGCCAGAAGGGGTGGGTCTGGGCTGGAGAGGGTGCTCCCAATACCTTGAAGGCCTGCCCACCAGAGTCCTGAGCGAGGGACTCTGAACTTCCTCTTCTATGTTTGCCTCTGAGGCTCATGCCTGAGGGAGGATCATCTCAAACCACAGAGCCCAAGGCCTTACCACCCAAGGGGGTGACCCACAGGGGCAAGCATGAGAAGCTGTCTGGAATTCCAGTGGGGCAGGTGGAACCTGCTCTGGGGTACGGTGGGACCAGAAAAAGGGAGGCTGTCTCCTTGGCCAGCTTTGCCAAGTGTAATTCACTGTGGAGACAAGGACTATACTCATTCATACAGGTACTGTTCAGGTGAGGCTGGTCAAGGGCTGGGCAGGTTTCCTCTTTTTCAAAGACTTTGTACAGAGAGAAAGAAGAGAAAGAGAAAGAAACTGAGATGCTAGACAGTGGAGGTGGAAGGGAGCAAGAGGGCAAGCCAGCTGGGCTGTCCTACCTCCCAAACCTCAGGGGGCATGGGCACCCCTGTTGTAGAGGGCGAGGCCTGGTAGCAATGAGAAACAAACCTAGGACCCGTGGGCTGTAGTCCTCAGGGATCCTGTCAGTGTCTGCTGTGTACTCTGGCTTCCTCCCATTGCCCTTCTTCCGCTGTAAAGGTTGAAGGTGGACACCTGGGGTCTTCAGGCTGCCAGGCCTTTCAGAGACATTTCCACCACCTTCATGGCCTGTGGAGGTAGTGAAGGAGGTAGTGAAGTTCTGAGTCCCTAACTCAGCTCGTCCTTCCTGGAGCCTTGGTTGTCATGTAGCCTTACCACAGGCCGTTAGGGCAGGAGCAGAGGAGTCAGTCATCAGGCCCTGATCCCACTCTTGTCCTTATGGCTTGAGAAGCCACAGGGCCAGCCTTAGATCACCATCTTCTCACCCACCAGGGAAAATGCCAGGAGAGGGTATCCAGCTGCTGGGTTCCCCAGGAATTGGATGGAAATACAGTTTCTGGCTCTGGGGCTGGGATTGGGAGACCAGGGCCTGGGGCCATGCGCTATTCTGCCCCAGGCCCTTCTTAGACACACTCTCTAGGGAGATGGCTTGGCCCTGTGTTCTGAGAGGATTTTGTGGGCTACTTTACTGAAAGGCTAACTTACTGAGGCTCTCGTGGAGGTAGTGTCCCCTCTCTGGGAAGACAGGACTAGGCCTGAGCTCATTAAATTTCTTTTGCTCGTATCAGGGCATGACTGGCTTTCCTCCCGTGGGTGGTGAGTTGATTGGGCTCTTCAGCCCCATATAGAGCCTGGGACATGGTGAGGTGCCCGAGGACTTGAGGAGCGTTGGAATTTGGCCTTGAGTGGAAGCCACAGGATTGGGACATGGTCCAGTCATCCCCAGTCATCCCTGTCTCTGCCACCCTACTGGCTGTGGCTGTCCAGCTGTTAACAGACCTGCACTTGGGGTGGGATCACTGAGGTGCCTTGCCCAGAATGCAGGCATGGCAGCAGCAGTGCCACATGGTAACTCCCCAAGGGGCGTGTGCTGAGCCTGGTTCACCTGCCCCCATGTCTTGCTTACCTACCCCTTGCCTTCTCTCTCATTCTTGTAGCTCCCCAATTCAGGATGTCCCCAAGAAGATATGCAAAGGCCCCAGGAAGGTAAGAGCTTTCTAGAAGAAGCACAGTCTAACCTTTGGCAGGACTGGACTTTTGGGAGGGCACGGTCTTGCCAGAGCCTTGTCACTCCTGGTCCAGGACTGAGGTACTTCGGAGCCACCCTTGGGATTCTACTCATTATCCCTCCTGCCTCCTAGTGAGGCATCAGAGATCCTGATCTTGTTCCACCACCACTACCCTCCCTCCTTTGCTGACATCCAGCTCATCAAGTCTGGCCCTGGGGTCTTCCCTGCAGGAGTCCCAGCTCTCACTGGGTGGCCAGAGCTGTGCAGGAGAGCCAGATGAGGAACTGGTTGGTGCCTTCCCTATTTTTGTCCGGAATGCCATCCTAGGCCAGAAACAGCCCAAGAGGCCCAGGTCAGAGTCCTCTTGCAGCAAAGATGTGGTGAGTGTGGCTTCCCACAGTGGCAGGAGCCAGCCCTCTTGGGTAGAAATGGGTGGCCAGCCCCCCAGCCCATTAGCCTGGCCCACTCATCTCTTCCTTCCACCCTAGGTAAGGACAGGCTTCGATGGGCTCGGTGGCCGGACAAAATTCATCCAGCCTGTATCCTTTTCCTGTGATGTTGAGCTGAGCTGAACTGTGGAGCCCATACTATGCCTCACCTATACCCCCAGCCTGCCAGTGCCAACAGCCTCAGGTGTGCAGTGCTGGGCCTCATTCTGTGTATCAGCGCCGCCCACCCCCGGCTCTGAGCCTTTCTTGCCCTGCATTGCAGTCCTTTCTCGCCCTGCATTGCAGTCCTTTCTCCATGCCTCTTCCTTGACAGCTCCTCCAGACTGACACAGTCATGATCCGCCCATTGCCTGTTAAGCCCAAGACCAAGGTTAAGCAGAGGGTGAGGGTGAAGACAGTGCCTTCTCTCTTCCAGGCCAAGCTGGACACCTTCCTGTGGTCGTGAGAACAGTGAGTCTGACCAATGGCCAGACACATGCCTGCAACTTGTAGGTCAAGGACTGTCCAGGCAGGGGTTTTGTGGACAGAGCCCCACTTTCGGGACCAGCCTGAGGTGTAAGGGCAGACAAACAGGTGAGGGTGAGTGTGGCACCCAGAGACTGCTCTTCCTGCCCTCACCCTGCCCCACTCCTACGACTGGGAGCTGACATGACCAGCCCACTGATCCTGTCAGCAGGTCCTGCTCCTGTTGCCAGGCTCCTGTTTATAGCCATGATCAGATGTGGTCAGACTCTTTCTGGGCCTGGAGACCACGGTCACTTGTTGACTGTCTCTGTGGACCAGAGTGCTTGAGGCATCTCAGGCAGCCTCAGCCCAAGCTTCTACCTGCCTTTGACTTGCTTCTAGGCATAGCCTGGGCCAAGCAGGGTGGGGAATGGAGGATAGCATGGGATGTATGGAGAGGATGGAAGATTTTCATGTAAAATAAAATTAAAAAAAAAAAACAATCTCTTCTTCCTGGTTCTGAGAGTGTAAATTTGCACCAACACTTTAGAAAACTGTTTGGCATGACTTTCTAAAGCAGGAACATCGCCAAGCCTCAGATCCAGCAGTTCCTTCCCTAGGCATATGCCTTCTCATGGGGCACAGGAAGACTCTAGAAAGAATGAGATCACTGCAGCTTTTCTCACAGTCTCTAACCTGGGCACAGCCTAAAGGCCATAAGTAGGAAAGTGAACGAGTAAATGGAAATCTATCTATACAGTGTACTCACAGCAAATAACCAGCGACCACTACCTTCCGTTCCTACCCACGTTTAAACGCTACCAGCCAAATTGCTAGCTTTTGACTTTTGGCTGCAAAGGCACTTTCTTTCTTTTCTTTCTTTTTCTTTCTTTCTTTTTTTTTTTTTTCTTTTTGCAACAGGGTCTCCCTCTGTCTCCCAGGCTGGAGTGCAGTGGCACAATCACAGTTCACTGCAGCCTCAACCTCCCAGGCTCAGGTGATCCTCCCACCTCAGCCTCCTGAGTAGCTGGGACTGCAGGTACATGCCACCACGCCTGGCTAATTTTTTTATTTTTATTTTTTGTAGAGACAAGGTCCTGCTATGTTGCCCAGGCTGGTCTCAAACTCCTGAGCTCAAGCGATCCTCCTGCCTTGGCCTCCCAAAGTGCTGGAATTATAGGTGTGAGCCACCACGCGCAGCCAACGGCACTTTCTTCTAAAGTGCTTCCCTTCTTGACCCCCAGCCTGGGTGAAGTCCCCTAAATTTCCCTCTCCCACTATTAGGTAGGAGTTCACCTGTTTTTCCAGGACCCAGCATGGGCCTGGCACGGGGAGTAAGAGGCACAGGGAGTGAGTGAGTGCTGCAGTGGAGGTTGCCCAGCTGATCTCTAGCATATCTGGAGGAGTATGGGGCTTTGTGGCAAGGAGGTGCCATTCTTGGTTATGAGTTTTGGCCCCTCTGCAGCTGACTTGAGCCAAGGAAGTTTAGTGATGCAAAGCGAAGCATCAGGTTAAGAGTGTAGGGGCTGGCTGCTAGCACCATCCTTACCAGCTGAGTGATCTTAGGTAAATTACCTGGCCTCTCTGTGCTCAGCTTCTTTTTTTTTTTTTTGAGACATAGTCTCAGTCTGTTACCCAGGCTGGAGTGCAGTGGCATGATCTCAGCTCACTGCAACCTCCACTTCCTGGGTTCAAGTGATTCTCCTGCCTCAGTCTCCTGAGTAGCTGGGACTACAGGCACGTGCCACCGTGCCCAGCTAATTTTTGTATTTGTAGTAGAGATGGGGTTTCACCATGTTGGCCAGGCTGATCTCGAACTCCTGACCTCAGGTGATCCACCCACCTTGGCCTCCCAAAGTGGTGGGATTACAGGCATGAGCCACCGTGCCTGGCCCCTGTGCTCAGCTTCTTTATCTGTAAAGTGGGGATCTGGGCCAGGCATGGTGGCTCACACCCATAATCCCAGCACTTTGGGAGGCCAAGGCAGGTAGATTGCTTGAGCCCAGGAGTTCAAGACCAGCCTGGCCAACGTGGTGAAACCCCATCTCTCCAAAAATTCAAAAATTAGCTGGGCATGGTGGTGTGCACCTGTAGTCCCAGCTACTTGGGAGGCTGAGATGGGAAGGTCACATGACCCTAGGAGGCAAAGGTTGCAGTGAGCCGAGATCATTCCACTGCACTCCAGCCTGGGCGACAGAGCAAGACTCCCAAAAATAAAAATAAAGTGGGGATCTGTGTTGCGTATAGGTTAAGAACTTATGGCAGCTAGGTGAAATAAGCCAGACACAAAAAGACAACTATTGTATGATTCCACGTACATGAGGTGTCTAGAACAGGCAAGTTCACAGAGACAGAATAGAAGTTAGCATGGGATAGAGGGAGGGGGCAGGGGAATTATTGCTTGATGGTCACAGAGTTTCTGTCTAGGGTGATGCAAAAGTTTTGGAAATAGATAGGTGTGATGATTACCAAAAAATGAACTTGTGACCTGAATACATGGATATCTTGTGTTCATGGATTGGAAGACTTTAAAGATGGCAATAACCCCCAAAGCATTCTACAATTCAATACAATCCCTATCAAAATTCCAATGGCCTTTTTTTTTTTTTGCAGAAATTTGAAAACTGATTCTCAAATTTATATGGAATTGCAAGAGGCTCTGAATAGCCAAAACATTTTTTAAAATTGTTTTAAAGAAAAGATAAAAGTTGTTCCCAATTTAAAAACTTAACTACAAAGCTATAGTAATCAAAAGAGTGTGGAGCGAAGGCATGCATAATGGTGGAATTGGAAGCTCTAGGGGTTGGTTCCTGAATCAAAGCAACCATTGAGCTGAAAAGAGCAGTGATTGTAATCAACTGTTTCAGAACCCGGAAATTTAACAAGGGGGTTGCTTGATGAAGAGAGTAGTGTGAATCAAGCAGCTACTTCTCCCATTCCTCAGCCCCATCCGGCTGTGGGGATAGCAGCACCAGTTCTGAAAGCAGCTGACTGGTGCCAGAACAGGCACGGGAACCTTGCCCTCCAAAAATGCTGGGGTTGTGCGCTTTGACGGACCTGGAGGTACTCTGAGATGCTTGCCTTGGTTTCATTCAGCCTCTTAGATGCAATTCCTGCATTAATACCCCACCCAACCCCACCTTGGCAACATATCAGAAGATTTAAAGGACTCGTGCCTTTTTTTGTTTGTTTTTTAAGCCAGAAAATCTTTGTCAGCTCACTCACTGGCTGACTACAGAGATAATAGAGGCCCGGCACAGTGGCTCACACTGTGGGAGGCTGAGGCAGGAGGAATACTTGAACCTAGGAGTTTGAGACCAGCTTGAGCAAAATAGTGGGACCCTGGCTCCACAGAAAATTTTAAAAATTAGCCAGGTGTGGTGGTGCATGCCTGCAGACTCCCAGCTACTAGGGAGTCTGAGGTAGGAGAATTGCTTGATTCCAGGAGTTGGAGACTGCAGTAAGCAGTGATTACACCACTGCAGTTCAGCCGGGGCAACAGAGTGAGACCCTGTCTCATAAATAAATAAAAAATTAGGTTGCTGCAAAATAAAATATTAGATTGGTGCAAAAGTAATTGTGGTTTTTACCATTACTTTATAAGAGATAACAAACTTCAGTGACCACACACACACAAGAGACACACACTTTGCATAAATAGTTTGGAAAAAATCACAGATGGCTCCAGCCCTCAACAAGCAAAAATTTAGGTCAGGCACAGTGGCTCACACCTGTAATCTCAGCACTTTGGGAGCCCGAGGCAGGCAGATCACCTGAGGTCAGGAGTTCTAGACCGTCTGAGCCAACATGGTGAAACCCCGTCTCTACCAAAAATACAAAAAATTAGCCGGGCGTGGTGGCACATGCCTGTAATCCCATCTACTCAGGAGGCTGAGGCAGGAGAATCACTTGAACCCGGGAGGCAGAGGTTGTAGTGAGCCGAGATAGCACCACTGCACTCCAGCCTGGGCAACAGAGTTGCCAGTGTCAAAAAAAAAAAAAAAATTAACAATCCCTGAGGAGTCGGAGAATAAGATTTCCAGAGTTACCACAAAAAAATACTCAGAATATTCAGTTTGGGGTGGTTTTTTGTTGTTCTATTTTTATTGTTTTTTTTTGTTTGTTTGTTTTTTGAGACAGGGTCTGTGTCATCCAGGCTACAGTTTCCCTAGTAGCTGGGACTACAGGCATGTGCCACCACATCTGGCAATTTTTTTTTTTTGAAACGGAGTTTCACTCTTGTTGTCCAGGCTGGAGTGCAATTGGTGCAATCTCAGCTCACTGCAACCTCTGCCTCCCAGGTTCAAGCAATTCTCCTGCCTCAGCCTCCTGAGTAGCTGGGATTACAGGCATGCACCACCACGCCCGGCTAATTGTTGTTGTTGTTGAGACGGAGTCTCGCTCTGTCGCCCAGGCTGGAGTGCAGTGGCGCAATCTCGGCTCACTGCAACCTTTGCCTCCCGGGTTCAAGCAATTCCCTGCTTCAGCCTCCCAAGTAGCTGGTATTACAGATGCCTGCCACCACACCTGGCTAATTTTTGTATTTTTTTTAGTAGAGATGGGGTTTCGCCATCTTGGCCAGGCTGGTCTTGAACTCCTGACCTCGTCATCCACCTGACTCAGCCTCCCAAAGTGCTGGGATTACAAGCGTGAGCCACTGCACCTGGCCTAATTTTGTATTTTTAGTAGAGATGGGGTTTCTCCATGTTGGTCAGGCTGGTCTTGAACTCCCAACCTTAGGTAATCCGCCTGCCTCGGCCTCCCAAAGTGCTGGAAGTGTGAGCCGCTGCGCCTGGCCTAATTTTTTTTGTAGTTTTAGTAGATATGGAGTTTCACCATATTGCCCAGACTGTTCTCAAACTTCTGGTCTCAAGGGATCCGCCAGCCTCAGCCTCTCAAAGTGCTAGGATTACAGGTGTTAGCTACTATGCCTGGCCAGAATATTCAGTTCTCAAAAAAATCATAAAGCGTATGAAGAACCAGGGAAGTATGGCCCACTCACAGGAAGAATTTTTTTTTTTTTGAGATAGAGTTTTGCTCTTGTTGTCCAGGCTGGAGTGCAATGGCACGTCCTCTGCTCACCGCAACCTCTGCCTCCTGGGTTCAAGCAATTCTCCTGCCTCAGCCTCCCGAGTAGCTGGGATTACAGGCATGCGCCACTATGCCCGGCTAATTTTGTATTTTTAGTAGAGACAGGGTTTCTCCATGTTGGTCAGGCTGGTCTTGAACTCCCAACCTCAGGTGATCCGCCCGCCTCGGCCTCCCAAAGTGCTGGGATTACAGGCGTGAGCCACCACGCCTGGCCACAGGAAGAATTTTTTTGACAAACTATCCCTGACAAACTCTGGAGCTGAAAAGTAAATAGGTTTTCAGTGAGCCAAGATCGCGCCACTGCACTCCAGCCTGGGTGACAGAGCAAGACTCTGTCTCCAAAAAAAAAAAAAGAAGAAGAAGAAGAAGAAGAAGAAAAAAGTCATCACCAAACCATGGTCACCTAGATTTTCCCCTATGTTATCTTTTAGGAGTTTGATAAGTTTTGTATTTTACATTTAGGTCTATGAGCCATTTTGAGTTAATTTTTGTGAAAGGTCTAAGATATGTCTAGATTTTTATTTTGATTTTTGCATATGGATGGCCAATTGTTCCAGGACTATTTGTGAAAAGACTACTCTTTATTGGATTACCTTTGCTCCTTTGTCAAAGATCAGTTGACTATATTTGTGTGGGTCTGTTTCTGGGCTCTATTCTGTTTCATTGGTCTATTTTTGCTGACACCATACTATCTTGATTTTCTTTCCTTCTTTTTTTTTTTTTTGAGATGAAGTCTCACTCTGTTGCCCAGGCTGGAGTGCAGTGGCGCAATCTCAGCTCACTGCAACCTCCACCTCCCGGGTTCAAGCAATTCTCCTGCCTAAGCCTCCCAAGTAGCTGGGATTACAGGCAGCATGCCACCACGCCCAGCTAATTTTTGTATTTTTAGTAGAAACAGGGTTTCACCATGTTGGCCAGGCTGGTCTCGAACTCCTGACCTCAGGTGATTTGCCTGCCTCAGCCTTCCAAAGTGCTGGGATTACAGACATGAGCTGCCACACCTGGCTCCCCCTCCTTTTTTTTTCTTTTTAAATAGAGACCAGGTCTCACGTGTAGACAGGTTGGTCTCAAACTCCTGGGTTCAAGTGATCCTCCTGCCTCAGCCCCCCAAAGTGTTGGGATTACAGGTGTGAGCCACCATGTCCAGTCCTTACTGTCTTGATTACTGTAGCTTTATAGTAAGTCTTGAAGTCAGGAAGTGTCACTCCTCTAACTTTGCTCTTCTTCAGTATTGTGTTGGCTATTCTTGGTCTTTTGCTTTTCCATATAAACTTTGGAATTAGACCGGGTGCAGTGGTTCACATCTGTAATCCCGGCACTTTTAGAGGCCGAGGCAGGAGGATCGCCTGAACCAAGGAGTTTGAAACCAGCCTGGGCAACATGGCGAAACCCCATCTCTAAGAAAAAATACAGGCTGGGCGCTGTGGCTCACGCCTGTAATTCCAGCACTTTGGGAGGCCAAGGCAGGCGGATCACGAGGTCAGGAGTTCGAGACCAGCCTGACCAACATGGTGAAACCCCATCTCTAATAAAAATACAAAAATTAGCTGGGTTTGGTGGCGGGCGCCTGTAATCCCAGCTGCTGAGGAGGCTGAGGCAGGAGAATTGCTTGAACCCGGGAGGCGGAGGTTGCAGTGAGCCGAGATAGCGCCATTTTACTCCAACCTGGCCAACAAAGTGAGACTTTGTTTCAAAAAAAAAAAAAAGGAAAACAAATAAATTTTATTTTTATTTATTTATTCATTTTGAGACAGGGTCTCTCTATGTCACCCAGGCTGGAGTGCAGTGGCGTGATCTTGGCTCACTGCAACCTCCACCTCCCAGGTTCAAGCAATTCTTGTGCCTCAGCCCCCTGGGTAACTGGGATTATAGGTGTGCTCCACCACACCCATCTAATTTTTGGCATTTTTAGTAGAGATGGGGTTTCGTCATGTTGGCCAAGTTGGTCTCAAACTCCTGGCCTCAAGTAAGTCTCCCACGTTGGCCTCCCAAAGTGCTGGGATTACAGGTGTGAGCCACTGCATCTGGCCATATCACCCAATTTTTTAAATGGTCAAAGATCTGAATACACATCTCACCAAAGAAGATATACAGATGGCAAGTAGGGATATGAAAAGATGTTCAACATTATATGTCATCAGAGAACTGCAAACTAAAACAGTAAGATAGCACTGCCTACCTATTAGAATGGCTAAAATCCAAAACACTGACACCACCAAATGCTGACAAGATGTGGAGCAATAGGAATTCTCATTCATTGCTGGTAGGAATCCAAAGTGGTATATGGCCATTTTGGAAGACACTTTGGCAGTTGTTTGTTTGTTTGTTTGGAGACCGAGTCTTGCTCTGTAGCCCAGGCTGGAGTGCAGTGGGGTGATCTCACCTTACTGCAACCTCCACCTCCTGGGCTCAAGTGATTCTCCTGCCTCAGCCTCCTGAGTAGCTGGGATTACAGATGCTTGCCACCACACCTGAACAATTTTTGTATTTTTATTTATTTATTTGAGAGGGAGTCTCGCTTTTGTCACCCAGGCTTGAGTGCAGTGGCATGATCTCGGTTCACTGCAACCTCCATCTCCCAAGTTCAAGTGATTCTCCTGCTTTAGCCTCTCGAGTAGCTGGGATTACAGGCGCCTGCCACCACACCTGGCTAAATTTTGTATGTTTAGTAGAGACAGGGTTTCACCGTGTTGGCCAGGCTGGTCTCGAACTCCTGACCTCAGGTGATCTCCCTTCTTCCACCTCCCAAAGTGCTGGGATTACACTGCGCTCGGCCCTGTATTTTTTATTATTATTATTATTATTAGAGACAGAGTCTCACTCTGTCACCCAGGCTGGAGTGCAGTGGCCCGATTTAGGCTCACTGCAACCTCTGCCTCCCGGGTTCAAGTGATTCTCCCGTCTTAGCCTCCCGAGTAGCTGGGACTATAGGCGCACACCACCATGCCCGGCTAATTTTTTTGTATTTTTAGAAGAGATGGGGTTTTCACCATGCTGCCCAGGCTGGTCTCAAACTCCTGAGCTCAGACAATCCGCCCACTTAGGCATCCCAAAGTGCTGGAATGACAGGTGTGAGCCACCGTGCCCAACATAGCCACTACATCCGCGGCATTTTTACAAAGCTAAACGTAGTCTTAATCCCGGCATAGCCACCACACCCACGGCATTCTTACAAAGCTAAATGTAGTCTTAATGCAGCAATTGTGCTTTTCATTATTTTCCAAAGACCAAATGAGTGTTTGTTTGTTTGTTTTTGAGACAGAGTCTTGCTCTGTTGCCCAGGCTGGAGTGCACTGGCGTGATTTCAGCTCACTGCAACCTCCGCCTCTTGGGTTCAAGCAATTCTCCCTGCCTCAGCCTCCCGAATTACAGGCACTTGCTACCATGCCCGGCTAATTTTTGTATTTTTAGTAGAGATGGGGTTTCGCCATGTTGGCTAGGCTGGTCTCGAACTCCTGACCTCAGGTGATCTGCCCACCTCAGCCTCCCAAAGTGCTGGGATTACAGGCGTGAGCCACTGCACCGGGCCCCAAATGAGTTTTTAAAAACCCAAAGCTAGCAAATGAGTTTTAAAAAATGATGTTCACACAACACTCAGTACATAAATATTTATGGCAGCTATATTTATAATTGCCAAAACTTGGGAGCAACTTCAATAGGGGAAACTATGTGTGTGTAGAGGAAGGGGTCTATAGGAGCTCTCCACGTAGATGCTTATCACTGGACTGGAGGCAGCAGCTGCTATGAGAAAAGTGAAAATTTACTGAAGTTTACCAGTCTCTTCATCAACCTCTCCCGTGGATGCTGAAAATGTTCTACTAGACCAAATTTCCAAAATGGTTGCTTCAGATAATTTCAACCAGCTCAATTTTTGCTGTGGAGAGATGGATTCCTGGAACTCTCTGCTCCTTCATCCTCCTTGGTAAGACTTTATTTTGTTTTTGAGACAAGGTCTCACTCTGTCACACAGGCTGGAGTGCAGTGGCATGATCATGGCTTACTGCAATCTTGACCTCCCGGGCTCAAGCGATCCTCCCACCTCAACCTCCTGAATAGCTGGGACTAGTGGTGCACACCACCACACCTGGCTAGAGGTTTTTTTTGGTGTTTGTTTGTAGGGACAGGTTCCCACTATATTGCACAGAGTGGTCTTGGACTCCTGGGTTCAAGTCACCTTCCTGCCTCATCCTCCCATGGTGCTGGGATTACAGGTGTGAGCCAGCACGCCCAGCTCACATGACTTTCAAACAATACATCCTTAATCAATAGGTCAAAGAAGAAATCAAAAGGGAAATTAATAACACTTTGAGATGAATAAAAATGAAAATACACCAAAATTTGTGGGATGCTGTAAAAGATGAACTGAGAGGGAAATTTATAACTGTAAAGACCTGTATTTTAAGAAAAGATCTGGCTGGGTGCAGTGGCTCATGCCTGTAATCCTAGCACTTTGGGAGGCCAAGGTGAGAGGATCACTTGTGCCCAGGAGTTTGAGACTAGCCTGGGCAACATGGTGAACCCCCCATCTCTACCAAAATAAATATACAAAAATTATCCCGGTGTGGTGGTGCAGGCCTATAGTCCCAGCTACTTGGGAGGCTGAGGTGGGAGGATCACTTGAGCCCGGGACACAGAATTTGCAGTGAGCAGTGATCATGCCACTGCACTCCAGCCTGGGCTACAAAGTGAGGCCCTGTCTCAAAAAGCAAACAACAAAAAGATCTAAAATCAGTAATCTCACTGTATACCTGAAAGAACTAGAAGAAGAACAAACTAGTCTAGGCAAGGTGGTTCACACCTATAATGCCAACACTTTAGGAGGCCGAGGCAGGCGGATTACTTGAGTCCAGGAGTTGGAGACTAGCCTGGCCAACATGGTGAAACCCCAACTCTACTAAAAATACTAAAATTAGCTGGGCATGGTGGCACGGGCCTGTAGTCCCAGCTACTCAAGAGGCTGGGGTGGGAGGGTTGCTTGAGCCCAGGAGGTTGAGGCTGCAGTAAGCTGTGATCGTGCCACTGCACTCCAGCCTGAGTGACAGAGCGAGACCCTGTCTCAAAAAAAAGAATTATAAGAGGGTATGATGAACAATTCTATGCCAACAAATTATATAACATAGTTGAAATGGATAAATTCCTAGAGACACAAAAACTAAACAAACTGTCTCAAAGAAGAAATAGAATACCTTACTATAACTAGTAAGGGTATTGAATCAGTCATACAAAATCTCAGCCGGGCACAGTGGCTCACACCTGTAATCCCAGCATTTTGGGAGGCCGAGGCAGGCAGATCACTGGAGGTCAGGAGTTCGAGACCAGCCTAGCCAACATGGTAAAACCCCCGTCTCTACTAAAAATACAAAAATATTAACCAGGCTTGGTGGCACATGCCCATAATCCCAGCTACTTGGGAGGCTGAGGCAGGAGAACCACTTGAACCAGGGAGGTGGAAGTTTCAGTGAGCCGAGATTGCGCCACTATACTCCAGCCTGGGCAACAGACCGAGACTCTGTCTCAAAACAAAAAAAAAGAAAAAAAAAATCTCGGCTGAGCATGGTGGCTCACGCCTGTAATCCCAGCACTTTGGAAGGCCAAGATGGGAGGATCACTTGCTTTCAAGAATTTGAGGCCGCCTGGACAACATGGTAAGACCCCACCTCTATAAAATTTTTAAAAATTAGCTGGGCGTGGTGGTGCACGCCTGTGGTCTCAGCTACTTGGGAGGCTGAAGTAGGAGAATTCCTTGAGCCCAGGAAGCTGCAGTGAGCCACGTTTGTACCATTGCACTCCAGCTTGGGAGATAGAGTGAGACCCTGTCTCAAAAAAAAAAAAAAAAAAAAAAAGAAAAATTTATTTGGCTTACAGATGTCTGGGCTGTACAAGAAGTGTGGCAGCAGCATCTGCTTCCAGTGAAGGCATTAGGCTCCTTCTACTCAGCAGAAGACAACATGCAGCTGGCATGTGCAGAGACCACATGGTAAGAGAAGAAGCCAATGGGGGAATGCAATGGGGGGACGGGGAGACACACACTTTTTTTTTTTTTTTTTGAGATGGAGTCTCGCTCTGTCACCCAGGCTGGAGTGCAGTGGCGCGATCTCGGCTCACTGCAAGCTCTGCCTCCCGGGTTCACGCCATTCTCCTGCCTCAGCCGCCCGAGTAGCTGGGACTACAGGTGCCCACCACCACGCCCCGCTGATTTTTTGTATTTTTAGTAGAGATGGGGTTTCACCATGTTAGCCAGGATGGTCTCGATCTCCTGACCTCGTGATCTGCCTGCCTTGGCTTCCCAAAGTGCTGGGATTACAGGCATGAGCCACCATGCCTGTCCCTTTTTTTTTTTTTTTTTTTGAGACAGGGGCTGTCACCCAGGCTGGAGTGCACTGGCGTGGTCATGGCTCATTGCACCTTTCACCTCAGGCTCAAGAGACCCTCCTACCTCAGCCTCCTCAGTAGCTGGGACTAAGGAAGTACACCACCATGCCCAGCTAATTATTTTTTTTAAGATGCAATCTCACTCTGTTGCCCAGGCTGCACTGCAGTGGTACAATCTCAGCTCACTGCAACCTCCGCCTCCTGGGTTCAAGCGATTCTCTTGCTTCAGCCTCCTGAGTAGCTGGGATTACAGATGCCTGCCACCAGGCCCGGCTAATTTTTGTATTTTTAGTAGATACAGGGTTTCGCCATGTTGGCCAGGCTGGTCTCGAACTCCTAACCTAAGGTGATCCGCCCATCTCGGCCTCCCAAAGTGCTGGGATTACAGGCATGAGCCACCGTGCCTGGCCCATGCCCAGCTAAGTTAAAAAAATTTTTGGCTGGGCAAGGTGATTCATACCTGTAATTCCAACAATTTGGGAAGCTAAGGCAGGCAGATCCCATTTGAGCTCAGGAATTGGAGACCATCTTGGACAATATGGCGAAATCCTGTCTCTACAAAATATACAAAAATTAGCTGGGTGTGGTGGCGCTGTGCCTGTAGTCCCAGCTACTCCAGAGGCTGAGGTGGGAGGATGGCTTGAGCCCGGGAGGCAGAGGTTGCAGTGAGCCAAAATGGTGACATTGCACTCCAGCCTGGGCAACAGAGCCAGACTCTGTCTCAAAAAAAAAAAAAAAAAGCTCTAAAAATAGATAGTGGTGATAGTTAGTTACACAACATTGTGAATGTACTTAAATGTCACTGAATTATACACTTAAATGTTTAAATGGTAAATTCTATCTTATGTATATTTTACCACAATTTAAAAATTTTATCTATTTCTATTTTAATGAGAGTTTTAAAAAGCAGGAATGGATATTGAATTTCCTTAAATACTCTTTGGAGTCTATTAAAGATAGCATTTTACTTCAAAATCCAGCCCTGGTTTCTGTACCTAGTACTTCTGTCACACCAGTAAATGTTATTGAATGAAAACAAACAAAAGACCATAAAGACATACCTCTTCACGTTCACTAGGATTGGTGTCATTTTTTTAAAAAAAGGAAAGAAAAATAACCAGTATTGGCAACAGTGTGGATATATAGAAATTTTTGTATATTGCTGGTAGGAATATAAAATAGGGAAAACGGTTTGGTGGTTCCTCAAAAAGTTCAACATAAACCCAGGCGCGGTGGCTCATGCCTGTAATCCTAGCACTTTGGGAGGCTGAGGTGGGAGAACTGTTTGATCCCAGGAGTTTGAGACCAGCCTAGGCAATATGGTGAGACCTCATCTCTACAAAAAATTAGCTAGGCATGGTGGCGCATGCCTGTAGTCCCAGCTACCTGGGAGGCTAAGACAGAAAGATCACTTGAGCCTGGAAGGGAGTTTGAGGCTGCAGTGAGCCCAGATTGCGCCACTGCACTCCAGCCTGGGTGACAGAGTGATATCCTGTCTCAAAATAAATAAATAAATAATAAACAAACACAGAATTACCATATGACCCAGCAACTCTACTCCTGTGTATATGCCCAAAAAAGCTGAAAGCCCAGGCGCTGTGGCTTACACCTGTAATCCCAGCACTTTAGGAGGCCGAGGCACTTGACCCCAGGATTTTGAGACCAGCCTGGGCAACATAGTACTTGTTCAAGAATCAGGCTGGGCATGGTGGCTCACACCTGTAATCCCAGCACTTTGGGAGGGCAAGGTGGGAGGATCACTTGAGGCCAGGCATTCGAGACCAGCCTGGGCAAGATAGCAATACCCACCCCCAATCTCTACAAAAGCAAGTAATTAATTAGGAAATTAGCCAAAGCCAGGTGCGGTGGCTCACGCCTGTAGTCCCAGCACTTTGGGAGGCTGAGGTGGGCAGATTGCTTGAGTCCAGAGATTCGAGACCAGCCTAGGCAACATATCAAAACCCCGTCTCTACTAAAAGTAAAAAAAGAAAAATTGCACTCTGGGAGGCCAAGGCGGGGGGATCACCTGATGTCAGGAGTTCAAGACCAGCCTGGCCAACATGGTGAAACCCCATCTCTACAAAAATACAAAAGTTAGCCGGGCATGATGGCAGTGTCTGTAATCCCAGCTACTCAGGAGGCTGGGTCGGAAGAATCATTTGAATCCAGGAGGCGGAGGTTGCAGTGAACCAAGATTGTGCCATTGCATTCCAGCCTGGGTGACAGAGCAAGCCTCCGTCTCAAAAAAAAAAAAAAAAGAAAAATTAGCCAGATGTGGTGGTGCATGCCTGTGGTCCCAGCTACTCAGGAGGCTGTGGTGGGAGGATTGCTTGAGCCCAAGACACTGAGGCTGCAGTGAGCCATGATCACACCACTGCACTCCAGCCTAGGCAACCAGAGTGAGACCCTGTCTCAAAAACAAACAAACAAACAAAAACCACTTTAACAGGGTATGGTGGTGCACACCTCTAGTCCCAGCTACTTGGGAGGTTGAGGCAGCCGGATCACTTGACCCCAGGAGATCGAGGCTGCAGTGAGCTGTGATTGTGCCACTGCAGTCCAGCCTGGGCAACCGAGTGAGACTGTCTCAAAAAGAAAAAAAAAAAAAAAAGGACATAGCAGCACTATTCACAAATCCAAAAGTTAGAAATAACCCAGATGTCCATCAACAGATGAATGGATAAACGAATTGTGGTATATACATATAATGGACTATTATTCAGCCATTAAAAGGAATGAAATATTGATACAGGCTATAAACTCTATGAACATTGAAAACATTCTAAGTGAAAGGAAATAGACATAAGAGGTCACATTTTGCAATTCTTTTTTTTTTTTTTTTTTTTTTTGAGACTGAGTCTCACTCTGTTGCCCAGGCTGGAGCGCAGTGGCTCGATCTCAGCTCACTGCAACCTCCATCTCCCGAATTCAAGCAATTCTTCTGCCTCAGCCTCCCGAGTAGCTGGGATTACATGTAGGCATGCACCACCATGCCTGGCTAATTTTTGTACTTTTAGTAGAGATGGGGTTTCACCATGTTGGTCAGGCTGGTCTTGAACTCCAGACCTCAGGTGGTCCACCCGCCTTGGCCTCCCAAAGTGCTAGGATTACAGGTGTGAGCCACCATGCCCGGCCACATGTATGGTAATTATTGAATGTGTTTGGTATGTTCGTTGTGGGTGATGAAATATTTTGGAACTAGATAGACGTGATGGTTGAACAACACTGTGGATGCACTAAATGCCACTGAATTGTACACTTTAAAATTGTTAACTTTATGTTACATGAATTTCACCTAAATTAACAACAACAACAAAAAAGAACTTAAGACAGCACTTGGTTTGGCTATTACGTAGTTTCGTGACAAACAGTGGTCCATCTCCCAGAGAACTGGCCCCAGGTTCCTAAGAAGGCAAAAGGAGACACAGGACCTCTCTGCACTATTTTTTTTGCAACTTCTTATGAGTCTATAATTATTTCAAAATAAAAGTCTAAAAGGAAAATAAGAACATGTGTGAATGTGGCTGCCCCATGCCTCCCACCCTCAGGTCTGACACTCAGAGACTGATCACCTCTTGAGAGTCCTGGAACTCATCCCAGGTTTTAGACCCTGAATGGCCTGTCTGGGGCTGGCGTCTGGAGGCAGGATCAGGAGCCAGCTCAGAGCATAGTTTAACTTTCACTTTTCTTTTCTCCAGGAAGAGAGCTGTGACCAGCAGCGTCCCTTATTCGCTTGGCCTTGGTTCCTGTTTGCACTGGCTACAGCAGGGCACTGGCCCCTACTGTCACCGCCACCTACACAAAGACCCTATCTCTGAGCGCTGCAGCCTACTGTTCAGCCCCAGGTTTGAGGATGGATGCCCTGGACGCTTCGAAGCTACTGGATGAGGAGCTGTATTCAAGACAGCTGTGAGGCCCGAGGTGGGGGGTGGAGAGTGGGATGGTCTTCAGACCTTGATCTACAACTGCTTGCCTTCTGCTTCCCATCCACAGGTATGTGCTGGGCTCACCTGCCATGCAGAGGATTCAGGGAGCCAGGGTCCTGGTGTCAGGCCTGCAGGGCCTGGGGGCCGAGGTGGCCAAGAACTTGGTTCTGATGGGTGTGGGCAGCCTCACTCTGCATGATCCCCACCCCACCTGCTGGTCCGACCTGGCTGCCCAGGTAAGTGTCCTGGGGGGCTATGGGCTGCCAGACCAAGGTGGGGGCACGGCCCAAGAGGAGTGTCTTTGCTCAGGCTGCACTGGCTCTCTCCCTAGTTTCTCCTCTCAGAGCAGGACTTGGAAAGGAGCAGAGCCGAGGCCTCTCAAGAGCTCTTGGCTCAGCTCAACAGAGCTGTCCAGGTCGTCGTGCACACGGGTGACATCACTGAGGACCTGCTGTTGGACTTCCAGGTCAGCTCAGGCCTGCAGCCCTCAAGAGCAGGAAGGGCTGGGCAATGGTTTTGGCCCTGCTGATCACTGTGTCCACCCAGGTGGTGGTGCTGACTGCTGCAAAGCTGGAGGAGCAGCTGAAGGTGGGCACCTTGTGTCATAAGCATGGAGTTTGCTTTCTGGCGGCTGACACCCGGGGCCTCGTGGGGTGAGTAAGACTGCCTGCCCAGCCTACCATATTACAGCCAGCAACTGGCCTCATGCTGTCCTCAGCTCCAGGCTTGCTCCAGTGCCCCTCCAACCAGCCTCAGGTCTATCCCAGCATGCCTTTCTGATTCTGGTCCCCAGTCCTGCCCTCTGGTTCCTCCAACCTAGCCTCCAGACCTGCTCCAGTAACCCTCTCAAATTCTAGTTCCCAAGCCTCTCCTTGCATTCCTTTCCCAATTCTGGCCCTCTGGCCCTGCCCTAGTATCCCCTATCCTTAAGTACAATCTGTAAGCCACCTCAGTGACCCCTACCACCCCATCTCAGGCAGTTGTTCTGTGACTTTGGTGAGGACTTCACTGTGCAGGACCCCACAGAGGCAGAACCCCTGACAGCTGCCATCCAGCACATCTCCCAGGTGGGTGCTGAGCTGTAGGCATTCACCTGCTGACCAAGGAGAGGCTGCCAGGGCCTGTGGAAGGCAGGTCCAGGCAACCCTGAGCCAAGCCTCCTCCTACCCAGGGCTCCCCTGGCATTCTCACTCTGAGGAAAGGGGCCAATACCCACTACTTCCGTGATGGAGACTTGGTGACTTTCTCGGGAATTGAGGGAATGGTTGAGCTCAACGACTGTGATCCCCGGTCTATCCACGTGCGGGGTAAGCCAATCCCATTCCAATTCCAGGTGCAGGGCCCAAGCCTCCACTGGAAGTGAGCACAGCCTGGCCCTTGGGATGGGTTTTTCTCCCTCCACCTTCTACAAGGTGCAGCAAGGTCTGGGACACAGATGCAAGATAGGATGGGGTGTGGGAACTACTCAGGCTCAAGGATCATTACTGACTAGACTGGAACTCCCTCAGAGGATGGGTCCCTGGAGATTGGAGACACAACAACTTTCTCTCGGTACTTGCGTGGTGGGGCTATCACTGAAGTCAAGAGACCCAAGACTGTGAGACATGTGAGTGCAAGTGCATCTGAGGTAGGGGAGCTTGGTCGCCTTGAGGGGCCCATAGCATTCTGGACTAGACCCTGAGCCAGGTGCCCTTGCAGAAGTCCCTGGACACAGCCCTGCTCCAGCCCCATGTGGTGGCCCAGAGCTCCCAGGAAGTTCACCATGCCCACTGCCTGCATCAGGCCTTCTGTGCACTGCACAAGTTCCAGCACCTCCATGGCCGGCCACCCCAGCCCTGGGATCCTGTGAGTAGTCCTGTTGCTCCCACCCCCAGCCTCTGTCATTTATTGGGGTCCCACCTGCCAGAGGCAACAATGACCATTCACAAATCCAAGTCTGATCTCCCAACACTGCAGCCTTTAGAGTAGAGACTGGTTCCATGGAAGTGCCAGGCACACATCCTGGGGACTCCTGCTACACCCCGACCCCTCAGATCTGTGCTGGAAGCTGCACTCAGATTAGTGAAGCCTCCTGGACTGCTGTCTGGTACTGGGCATCCTCTGGTGGTGCTGTGCAGGCTGGCAGCAGGGCCAGGCCTTCCCACCCAGGCTTCTGCTTCCTCTTCTGTGGAACAGGGTGGATGGAGGGTGGCTGGAAGGATTTGAGTCAGGAGTAGAGCTCAGGCTGGGGCTACTATGCCCACAGAGTCCTACCAACAGGTTGATGCAGAGACTGTGGTGGGCCTGGCCCGGGACCTGGAACCACTGAAGCGGACAGAGGAAGAGCCACTGGAAGAGCCACTGGATGAGGCCCTAGTGCGGACAGTCGCCCTAAGCAGTGCAGGTGTCTTGAGCCCTATGGTGGCCATGCTGGGTGCAGTAGCTGCCCAGGAAGTGCTGAAGGTGGGCAGAGGCATAGGTGTGGGGGGTACTGGGAAGATGTGGAGATCAGTGTGTGTGTCAGAGGGCACCCAGCGCTAGAGAGCAGCCCTGGAGCCTTCACCAACCTGGGTGAAGCCTCCAGCCAGGATCTGAGGGGGGTCAGGAGGTGGCAGGAGTGCCCAGCCTGAAGTGCTGCCCCTAGGCAATCTCCAGGAAGTTCATGCCTCTGGACCAGTGGCTTTACTTTGATGCCCTCGATTGTCTTCCGGAAGATGGGGAGCTCCTTCCCAGTCCTGAGGACTGTGCCCTGGTGAGAGCCTGGGATAGGGGTGCAAGCCTTGTCCAAAATCAGGACTAGGGGAGAAGCATGAGGAATGCCCTCCAGGTCCTGATTCAGAAAACTCAGTATAAGAAGGAGATGCAGGCCAGTAGCCATCACTGACCCCGTCTCTGTCCCCTAGAGAGGCAGCCGCTATGATGGGCAAATTGCAGTGTTTGGGGCTGGTTTTCAGGAGAAACTGAGACGCCAGCACTACCTCCTGGTGAGCTGTGGGGTGAGACTGGGGGTGCCTTTGGGAGAGCCAGCCCAGCCCCTCTGGCTAAGGCTGTTCCTGCCAACAGGTGGGCGCTGGTGCCATTGGTTGTGAGCTGCTCAAAGTCTTTGCCCTAGTGGGACTGGGGGCCGGGAACAGCGGGGGCTTGACTGTTGTTGACATGGACCACATAGAGCGCTCCAATCTCAGCCGTCAGTTCCTCTTCAGGTCCCAGGACGTTGGTGTGAGTGCTGACCCCTCTCCACACTCCTGCATCCCAGACCGTCCTCCCATACAGCTTCCCACCCAACATCTTCCTGCCTTCTTCCCAGAGACCCAAGGCAGAGGTGGCTGCAGCAGCTGCCCGGGGCCTGAACCCAGACTTACAGGTGATCCCGCTCACCTACCCACTGGATCCCACCACAGAGCACATCTATGGGGATAACTTTTTCTCCCGTGTGGATGGTGTGGCTGCTGCCCTGGACAGTTTCCAGGCCCGTGAGTGCTTGACTTCGGAGGTCAGTCCCTTGCCCACAGCTGTGCCAGTCCCACTTCTGACCCACTGCTCCCTTGCCAGGGCGCTATGTGGCTGCTCGTTGCACCCACTATCTGAAGCCACTGCTGGAGGCAGGCACATCGGGCACCTGGGGCAGTGCTACAGTATTCATGCCACATGTGACTGAGGCCTACAGAGCCCCTGCCTCAGCTGCAGCTTCTGAGGATGCCCCCTACCCTGTCTGTACCGTGCGGTACTTCCCTAGCACAGCCGAGCACACCCTGCAGGTAGGAAGCACCCTGGAGACTCCCACCCCACCCAGCTCAGCCCTCAGCTGCAGACCTGTTCTCCACCTGATACCTCATTCTTCCTCCCTCCTCCACAGTGGGCCCGGCATGAGTTTGAAGAACTCTTCCGACTGTCTGCAGAGACCATCAACCACCACCAACAGTAAGGCCACCAACAGAGGCAGATGGGAGTCCAGGGCTCCAAGCATGAGTCTGCAGGACTCAGTCTCACACTTCCTCCTCTCTCTGCAGGGCACACACTTCCCTGGCAGACATGGATGAGCCACAGACACTCACCTTACTGAAGCCAGTGCTTGGGGTCCTGAGAGTGCGTCCACAGAACTGGCAAGACTGTGTGGCGTGGGCTCTTGGCCACTGGAAACTCTGCTTTCATTATGGCATCAAACAGCTGCTGAGGCACTTCCCACCTAATAAAGTGTGTGGCTAGGGGTTGGGACGCTGGGGGCTCAGGGGGACCAGACTGAGCCCAGCAGCTTCTACTTACCTACCTAGGTGCTTGAGGATGGAACTCCCTTCTGGTCAGGTCCCAAACAGTGTCCCCAGCCCTTGGAGTTTGACACCAACCAAGTGAGTGGGATTCTGTAGGGAGCTCCAAGATAGAGATGTGGCCCCTCAGAGCAGAGGTAGGCATTTCTGCATTCTGCAGAGATGCACAGATGCCCAGAGAGAGCCATGCTTGTGCATATATGGGTGTCTACATGTGAGGCAAAGGCAGGCACTCAAACAGATCCACAAATGGACAGTGACCCCCACCCCATGCACCCATGCCTCTGTTCCTGCTCTTGGTCTGGCTGCAGGACACACACCTCCTCTACGTACTGGCAGCTGCCAACCTGTATGCCCAGATGCATGGGCTGCCTGGCTCACAGGACTGGACTGCACTCAGGGAGCTGCTGAAGCTGCTGCCACAGCCTGACCCCCAACAGATGGCCCCCATCTTTGCTAGTAATCTAGAGCTGGCTTCGGCTTCTGCTGAGTTTGGTGAGGCTCCTGGCCCTGGCCCCTCATGCTGTCTTTCAAAGGCCTGAACCTGTCCTGTCCTCAGCCTGTGCTGCAGAAGGAAGATAGGGCCTAGGGGATCTACAGCCAATTTGCTACCTCTCAGGCCTCCTAACCTCACTCCTCCATAGTTTCAGGCTTATCCTCTGGTCCCTCAGTAGGTCTTCTCCCTGCTGCCTACCCCACATCCCAGTTCTTGTGGCAGATTCTTGGCAAAATAAATAAGTAAATAAATAAAGTCCATTGGTTCCTGGGGAGTGTCTAGCTATGGCCTGCAGGTGAGGACAGGGTCACAGAGGTCATGAGCACACATGGGTGAAGACTGGGGCTTCTAGAGGGGAGATTGTAGCATTAATTAAGGGGGCTTCTTGATTTGATCAGGGAATAGTAAGTGACAGGCTTGGCAAAGACCAAGAATAGGCACAGGGCTCCAAGAAGAGTGCAGGAGACAGGGGCTAAGGACTGCCTCAACATCCCCTCCCCTGACAGGCCCTGAGCAGCAGAAGGAACTGAACAAAGCCCTGGAAGTCTGGAGTGTGGGCCCTCCCCTGAAGCCTCTGATGTTTGAGAAGGTGGGTGCCCAAGTGGCAGTGAGGAGTGGGGCTGGGGAGTTTGTGGAGAAAGGTCAGGAGCTAATAAGGTAGTTTTGGAGCCCCTTGGCCTGAATTCTCCCAGCAAGACCCTGGAAGCAGCTCACATTCCCTGAACCTCAGCCTGTCTGATCAAGAGGAGATGTGGGGCAACCCCCCGACAGAACTGTGTGGAGACTTGTGCAGTGACACGCAGTGGGCCACGGTGAGGGGCACAGCTGCAGTGTTAACACTACTTTGACTTGGGCCTTACAGGATGATGACAGCAACTTCCATGTGGACTTTGTGGTAGCGGCAGCTAGCCTGAGATGTCAGAACTACGGGATTCCACCGGTCAACCGTGCCCAGGTAACCCCACCCCTTGAGGCTTGGGCCTGGAGGTGGAGGGCAAACCCTGGCCCTACGCCTTGGGCCCAGACCAAATCTCTTGTCCTTGGCAGAGCAAGCGAATTGTGGGCCAGATTATCCCAGCCATTGCCACCACTACAGCAGCTGTGGCAGGCCTGTTGGGCCTGGAGCTGTATAAGGTGGTGAGTGGGCCACGGCCTCGTAGTGCCTTTCGCCACAGCTACCTACATCTGGCTGAAAACTACCTCATCCGCTATATGCCTTTTGCCCCAGCCATCCAGACGGTGAGCCCATGATACCCCACCCTTAGCCCTACTAGGCCTGGGTTTCCCCTGCACCTGCCCATACAGGCCCCAATCTAGCTGCCGGCTCTCACTGAAACTCAGACTGTGCAGAAGTCCTGAAGACTCCCTCCAGCCCTCTTCCTGCTATGAAGCCAGGCTGGGACCTGTCAGACACAGGAAGCAGCCGTCAGCCATCCCCACCCCCAATCCTCCAAAGCCCAGGATCTGGGGGAGCTGCAGCTTTAACTCATTAGTGGAGCCAGACATCCCCCACAGTCCCCTCCTTCCTTGGAGTACCCCTGAGGGGTAGGTAGTGGGGAGGGGACCAGGGCATCAGCCCCAGAAAGAGTCTAGCTTCCCCCTGCATGGTACGGGGGCCCTGGCCTACCTCCTACAAGCTGAGTTAAAAGGTAATAGGCTTGCCACTAGAGGTGTGGGGTCTGCAGCCCTGAGTGTATTTGTGTCACAGTTGTGAGTGCAACTGGGGTCTGGGCATCCCCGGAGTGTGGGTATGGAAGGAGCAAGTTTGCACATCTGTGCATCAGATGGGAGTGCAGGGCTCCCATCTTCCTGTGTCCTCAATGTGGGCATGCATGGAGATGCATGTGGGCACACATGTGTGTGTTCCTGGGCTTGTGGGCATTTGTGTTCCTGTGACTGCAGCGCTGTGAATGCCTCCAGCCTTGTGCCCAGGCTCTGCAGTTGGCATTTCCTTGGGGCAAGGATGAGGGTAGAAGGAATGCCCTCATGAGGGGAGAGGGCAGAGGTCATGGGCCAGCACTGGGTTTCTGCTGAGCAGCCTGGGGTCCCTCTGGACTAGCACACAGAGCCCCTTTGTGAGGCACCCTGCCTCTAACCAGCATACAGGCTGCCTTTGTCCACAGAGTGAAGCAGGTGAAGGAGAAGCCCCCATCTCACCTCTAGCCTAGTCTCAGCTTGACCCCAGTGTGTTTTCTCAGGGGCTGATAAGCACCCCCTGTCCTGGTCTCTAGATACCTGCCAGCCATCCTTCTGTCCTTAGCTCTAGGTCCCAGAACCCCAAGACTCTTGGAAGGAAGGAAGGGACAGGAGGAGGAAGCCTCTATGCATTGTATCCCTGCTGGGGTCTCTGGGACAGTGGGGCCCTGGTGGTCACTGTGCCCTTTGCCCCTGTGTCCCAATGAGTAGCCCAAGGCACTGGCAGTACATACAAGATTGGGGGACAGGATGTGCCCCCCAGCTCCCAGCCTTGTCTTTGAGGAACAAGCAGCTTTATCAGAGGCTGCAGGGGCCCTGCTCTGGGTTTCCTCAGGAAGCACCACCCCCTCATCCCCCACTCTCACAACTGGCCCATGTGATGGATCGTCTGTTTCCCTGTGCGGGCCCCATAGCCCCATTTCCTGTGCTGGCCCCGGCCTGGACGGGGAGGGGGCTGAGACTCTGGGCCCAGATCCCACCTCCCCCCCACCCCCCACCCCCTGGCTCCTGTTTCCTGCTAGTCCAGCTCTTCCCCTAGGAAAGGCTGCTGGTAACTGGGATGGGGGTTGGGGGGAGGTAAGAAGTCTCTGACTCCTCCTCTACCTCATCCCAGTTCCATCACCTGAAGTGGACCTCTTGGGACCGTCTGAAGGTACCAGCTGGGCAGCCTGAGAGGACCCTGGAGTCGCTGCTGGCTCATCTTCAGGTGTGCCCTGTTGCTACCCCAACCCCCAGGCTCAGCCCAGCCCGGCCCAGCTGGTGTCTGACCTTTCTCCTCTAGGAGCAGCACGGGTTGAGGGTGAGGATCCTGCTGCACGGCTCAGCCCTGCTCTATGCGGCCGGATGGTCACCTGAAAAGCAGGCCCAGCACCTGCCCCTCAGGTGAGCCCACTTGGGGCTTTAGACAGGCCCCACCAGTCCCTGGAGGCTGGGGCTAGGGACCACACTGCCTTTTGTCTTCCCAGCCCCATTCTGGGCCCCTCACACCTTCCCAAGCATTCTTTCCCCAAATGGAGCCAGCAAACAGGCTGGAGGTGGGGTGAGGGCCGAGAGCCTGAGGAGGAGTCTTCAGGAGCTGCCTATTTGGCCAGCCCCATGGGCTCCCCACATGCTGCACAGCCCCCCTTTCACAGCCCACTCCCAAGGGACCCATAGCTTCCTGCCTCCTGCTTGCCTCATCAGCTGCTCCTAAAATAGTTTCAGATGTTTCCTGTCTTGAGCAGCTCCTGCTCCTGGCTTGGGCTCCTGACGGCCTGCCAGCACCCTCTCTAGTCCATGCCAGGCTGCCTTCTGCTTGCCATGGCTCACCTCTCCAATCTCCCCTAAACCCACCCCTACCAGGGTGACAGAACTGGTTCAGCAGCTGACAGGCCAGGCACCTGCTCCTGGGCAGCGGGTGTTGGTGCTAGAGCTGAGCTGTGAGGGTGACGACGAGGACACTGCCTTCCCACCTCTGCACTATGAGCTGTGACAAGGCAGCCACCCTGTCACCTAGCTCAATGGAGCCCCGGATCCCAAGCCCTGCATTGTAAGCCCACAGTAGGCACTCAATAAATGCTTGTTAAAGGAAGGCATTGCAGAGAGGATGGACGATAGAAAACAGTGCACTAATGCACACGGGTGTGACATGGGCATGACAGGGACCTTCACACAGAGAAAAAAAGCTCTTCAGAAGATTTGTCTCCCTGGGCAGTGCCTCACAGGGCTGGGGCTGCCTCTTAGTGCCTCAGGGGTATGGAGCCAGGACAGTCTAGAAAAAAGGCTTTTATTGTCCCAGGCTGGAGGGCAGGGTCAGAGGTAGCTGACATCATTGCAGATGATGGGCTGGCGGCTACGACAGCTCATGAGAGCTGCAAAGCGTGAGACATCCGCAGGCAGTTCAGGTTCTGGGCGAGGTGGGCATGACAGCCGCTTTCCTGCCATAGCTGTCCGCCGAGCCCTGGCCAGCCGGCGCCGAAGCTGCTCAGAGAGGCCAAGCAGGAACTGAGGGGGCCGAGCACGGGCACGGTGCCCACCTCCGTCACCCCCTTCACTCCCTGTCTCAGGCAGCTCCATCCAGTTGTGCACCAAGTCAGCAAAGCAATTGTCCCCTAGTACCAGGGGCTGGCGACTGCGACCCCTGTTCAGTAGGGCTGCTGTCCAGTCCTCTGCTTCCAGTCCCTGCCAGTGCTCCAGGCAGGCGTCTGGGGTGGACTTGGGCCGTGGATGGTGGACAGGTGGTACACTGGCTACAGGGGCCCTGCTGGGCATGGGGAGGCCACTGACTGAGAGGCACTGCCTACGAAGGGGCTGTGCTGAGGGTGCTGGGCGCTGGGATACAGGCAGTTCTTCCTCTCGCCATGTGCTGCCTGACACCTCCGAGAAGCCAGAGTCCCAGTCCAGGGCATGCTCCCTGGGGCCTCCCAAGGCTGCATCCCTGTCTTCTGTCACCACTGCTTCCTCCTCCTCCTCTTCCTCCTCCTCCACACAGCAGACTGAGTCCTCTTCCAAGGCACCCGAGGCCCTAAGCTGGTGGCTGGGCTGCACATCTGGGCCAGTTTGGGAGGTTGGCTGCAGGGGACCAGGCATTGAGGGTGAGCCTGTGTCCCGACCACACAACTGAGGGGAAGAGAGGGCAGAAGTCGGAGAGGTATCACTTGTCACCAGGCCAGCCCAGAGAACAGAGGGTCCAGGAAGGTTAGATAGGCCTGCTGGCCTGGGCAGCAGGGTGTTAGTGAGCACAGGGCAGGCATAGGGGTGCTGGCACTCGAAGCTGGTGTGGTTCTCATCCACCGACCTGGTGGCAGTCTGGCAGGCTGCAGCATGCAGGGCCGGGCAAGTCGGCACCCGCCACCAGGGCGGGCGGGCAGGCAGGCAGGGTTGCGGGCCTGAACGGGGAAGTAGGTCCTGCCCAGGACTGGAGGGGCATCCCGTGCCTATTGGGGGATTCAGCTCCCAAAGCCCAAAGCGTCTTTCACAGAAAGAGCGCTTGCTAGGTGAGGGGTAGAGAAGGGAGGCATAGGCCAGCCTGAAGTAGGGGGCGTTCACAGCAGCGCCAGCACCTCGTTAGTCCCTTGCCGCCCCATGCCCCGCCCCCAAAGAAGTCCCCCTTCCACTCTCTCCTCCCGCGCCGTTCCAGCAGCACGGCCAGCTGGATGCTGTTATCTGATGCTCAGCTCAGTTCCCAACCGTCCGAAACCCGACGCGGGCCATCTGAGCCATATGCGCCACGCCGCCCCCACCCCGCCTCGGACCGGCACGCTGGAGCCACCCCGCACCCGTCTGTTGTTCCGGCCGGGCGGCAGCCTGGCATCCCGCACGCGTCCTCACTAACCACACCCGCTCCCGAGCCTCACCAGTTCCCAGCGGAGCTGGCTAAGGAAGCTGTCAAGCCGAGCGCTGTGCATGTCCATGCCAGGGCCCCCACCGAACCTACTAGCTCCTCTTGGAACCCCGGCGGAGCCGCGCGGAGAGGGCTGGGAGGGCCGGCCAGCGGCGCCCTCAGCCTCCGCCTGCCTGCGCGACTCCTCGCTCTCCGTAGCTCCCGCCGCCGCCGCCCCGACATCTGGCAGCCGCGCCCCGCCCCGGCCCCGCGGCCAAAGGGGGCGGGGCTAAAGCCCGGCGTCCCTCCCGACTCCGCCGCGGTTCTGGGTGGGAAGGGCGGGGTCATAACTGGAAGCCGGACGGGGCCGGTACGGGGACCCCCCGAGCCCCCAGACTGTTGAGTGGACCCTGCGTTTGCTGCGTGACGCAGGACAGGTCGCCTCCGTGCGGGGGCCTCATCCTCCCCGTTTGTTCAATGGTGAAATAGCGGTCCCTCTCACGGGGCGCCGTGCTGCGTCCGCACATAGGCAGAGCACCCCGGATGGTCGGACCCAGAGAGGTTGTGGACCCTCGGGGCCTGACCCACGGGACCCATTCGTGAGGCTGGCCTTGGCACTCCCTGAACGGGATGGAAGTGGGGTTCAGCCCGTCTGAGGACTCAAGAGAGGGCGGGACTTTGTGGCAGCGCACCGGCGGGGCCTCAGCCGCGTCCCAACCGAGCTAGACGGGACTGCCCTCTAGTGGGGAGTGCTTGGCTAGTCGCGAGTCCAGCGGCGACGCGCGACCGTCGGCATTCCCTTTGCCGGTACCAGGTGCAGACTGAGGGTCGGTGCTGAGGCTGCTCTATCAACACAGGCTAGGCTCAAGGGTAGTGTAGCTGCAGACAGACTGGACATACCAGCAACAGGAAAATACCAGGGAATGAGGGCCGTGGGCTAGCTTGGGGAAAGTCAGTCTCACAGGAGGTGACATCAAGATGCAATCAAGAAGAGGGGCATTCTGGCCGGGCGCGGTGGCTCACGCCTGTAATCCCAGCAGTTTGGGAGGCCGAGGCGGGCGGATCACGAGGTCAGGAGATCGAGACCATCCTGGCTAACATGGTGAAACCCCGTCTCTACTAAAAATACAAAAAAAATTAGCCGGGCGTGGTGGCGGGCGCCTGTAGTCCCAGCTACTCCTGAGGCTGAGGCAGGAGAATGGCGTGAACCCGGGAGGCGGAGCTTGCAGTGAGCGGAGATCGCGCCACTGCACTCCAGCCTGGGCGACAGAGTGAGACTCCGTCTCAAAAAAAAAAGAAAGGAAGAAGAAGCAGGAGGAGGAGAAGGAGAAGAAGGAGAAGGAGAAGAAGGAGAAGAAGAACATTCTAGGCAGAAGGAGCAGCCAGGGAAGAGACCCCGACGGACAGGAGCTGGACAGGGCCAAACATAAAGAAGGCCCAGGTGTCTGTGATTGGTGGTGGTGGCAGGAGGGAAAAGGTCAGCAAAACCAGGCTCTAACGGCCTTAGAGCAGAATGTGGGTTTTGTTCTTGGTGTGATGAGGAGCAATGGGGGCCTTTGAGCAGGAATGACCTGGGCTAGCCCTTGTTTAGATAATCCCAGCTGCTTTCAGAAAAGGATTCTGCAATAAGAGTGGAAGTCCCTGCCCTCATCCAGGCAACGAAGGGGAGGGCCTAGGCCTGGGCAGGGCAGGTGCACTGAAGGGGGTCACTTTGGGGTATGTTTTGGAACTAAAATCAAGTCTTGCTGATGCATGGATGTGGGCAGGAAAAGAGGCATCAAGCATGACTCCTACATTTCTGGCATTAACAGCTGGTTGGATGAAATTGCCATAAACTGATCTGGGAAAGACTGGAGAAGAGTGGGTTTGGAGAGGAAAATCCAATGATCATTTATGGACACGTAACCCTTGAGATGCCTGTTAGACATCCAAGAGGAGTTGCAGAGTCAGCTGCTAGGTGTATGACTCTGGACTTCAGGAGAGAGATCAGCACTGGAGCCTTGGATCTGGGAGGCATAGTGAGTGAATGGATGGTATGTAAGGCCATAGGCCTGGATAAGGTGGGGTGGGAGGAAATCAGTGTAGTCAGAGGGAGACAGCAATCGGGACTGTGCCCTGGGACATTCCATGAGGTGGAGGTAGGGGAGATATGAAGCAGAGCTATCAAAGAAGCTGAGCAGGAACAGCCAGGAGAAATCTGAGAATGTGGGGACTCAGGACCCAAGGGGAGCAAGCATTGAATGCTGCCTAGGCAGTGAGGGTGAAGAACAAACCACTGGATTCGGCAGTGCATAGGTCACTGGGAACCCTGACAAGGGCAGTTTTGTGTAGAGAGGGACAAGCCTGATTAGAGTGTGTGGAGAAGAGAGTGAGGACTGAAGAACTGGAGATGGCAAATAAAGACAACCGTTTTTGTTTTTTTTTTTGAGACAGGGCCTCACTCTGTCACCCAGGCTGGAGTGCAGTGGCATGATCTTGGCTCACTGCAGCCTCCATCTCTGGGGCTCAAGTGACCCTCCTATCTCAGCCTCTCAAGTAACTGGGACTACAGGCATGTGCCACCACACTCAGCTAATTTTTTTTTTTTTTTTTTTTGTAGAGACAGGGTTTCACCATGTTGTCCAGGCTGGTCTCGAACTCCTGATCTCAAACGATCCTCCTGCCTCAGCCTCCCATACAGGCATAAGCCACCGTGCCTGGCCAGAAAACTTAAAAAAACTGACATATAAATACAATAAATAGACAGATCTCAAAGTTACAGCCCAGTAAATGTTAAAATCTGTAGACACTTGTGCAGCTGCCACCCAGATATAGAACATCCTCAGCAACTCCTGGATGCCACCTGGTGCCCTATCCAACTGATATTCCCAACGGTAACCAGTATTTGTATTTCTATCATAAAGGATTCCTTTTGCTTGTTGGATGTAGACAACTTTTTTTTTCTTTTTTCTTTTTTTTTGAGACAGGGTCTTGCTCTGTCACTCAGGTTGGAGTACAGTGGCACAATCATGACTCACTGCAGCCTCGATCTCTTGGGGTTCAAGCAATCCTCCTACCTCAGCCTCCAGAGTAGCTGGGACTACAGGCCTGGATCACCACACCCAACTAATTTTTTGTAGAGATGGGGTCTCACTTTGTTGCCCAGGCTGATATTGAACTCCTGAGCTCAAGTGATCCTCCCACCTCAGCCTCCCAAAGTGCTGGGATTACAGATGTAAGCCGCCACACCCAGCAAGTTTTGAGAGATTTTGTTGACGGTTGGGCTCATTTTTTATAGGCAGATAATGTTCTAATGGAGGGGGTCCAGCTGGAGTTGAGACTCTGTGGGGTAGCAGGTCCTGGGCCAAATTTTCCTGGGTGCTGTGCTTGCTCTATCTCCACGGATTGCATGACCAGTTTCCTCATCTGAACCTTAATCCTCCTCCCCTTCCATGCCCTTAGAGTTGTAATGAATGGGGGCAATGGAAAATGGGATATTCTGAGCCTCTGGAAGCCTGCCAGAGGTCTAGAACTCAGTCACCAGGGATGGGTGGGGATAGAATCTGGGAGGCCCAGGAGTCCCGCCTGCCCAGCTATGTTTGAGCAACTGACCTGGCAACAGGGTGAGTCAGACAAACAGCCTAGCTTTCTGAAGCCTCCTCTGCTGTCTGTGTCTTCAGGTCATCATGGTGCTGCTCAGGCTCCTCGTGTTCCTCTTTGCTCCGGTGGTCTCTGGTGAGGAGGTGGTGGGTGGGGGAACCGTAGTTTTCCCTTGGAGTCCTGACCCTTCCCAGATAAGCTACCATGGAGGACAGGGATTGGGGGAGAGGTAGGAAAGTGTAAGAATCTGAACCCCTGGCCCTCACCCCTTCTCTTGGCCACTTCCTCAGTCAAGTTCTCACTCCCCATCTGTGAAATGCTGGATGCTGGATACAAGGAAAGGCCTTAGCTGCTTGGCCCCATGGCATGGCCAGGCCCTGTGGCAAAAGGACAGGACTATGCTAGTATGTGTGGTTCCATCAGCCTGGGGGCCTCCAGCCTGAATTCTCTGCTCTTCACAGACCTCTGCAGCCTGCCCTGCTTTATAAATGTCTCTGAGAGCCAGGGCCCTGGCACAGTCCTTCAGTTTTTATCCTTCAACTGCTCCTCCTACACGCCCACACCCACCCTGGAGTTGCTCAATGTCCAGCCACCCACCACCTTCTTCAACCCACCCAGCTTGGCCAGGTGGCAAGGGACCTATGTGGGCAAGGTAGGGTCATGTGTACAGCTGGGGACTGTGGGGGCACAAGGGCAGACCTAAAATTTCCAAGCCCCACATGGCACTGTCCACCCACCCCAGTTGACCTTGAGCAGCTCTGCTCAGTTGGATGCCCTGATGGTGAACCACTACAAGGTGCAGCTGAAGTTCACATGTGGCAACCATGTGATGGAGGGCTCACTCTCTGTGGATGTGCAGCGGGACCTTAGCCATATCCAGTGTGCTGGTCAATTTGCCAGCCCAGGTGAGGCCAGGGGCAGCCGGCAGGGTGGGGGCAGGCATGGCCTGAGCAGATCCTCCCTGACCTCCACTCTGGCCAGCTGGGGAAATGATTCAGGTGCCAGAGACAGTCACACCTGGGGCTCGGCTGTACACTCTGCTCCTCCCAGGCCTAGAACTCCACGGAGCGCAGGTAAGCCCAGAACATGGGACGGTGGGTGACAGGATGGGGGTGGGGGGATGGAGAGAATAAATTAACCCCCACCTGGCCAGGCACAGCCTGAAGAGGAACCTTGCAGCAGAGGCATAGATGAGCCTCTACATGATGTATGTTCTTGGAGAGAGCTGCTGAGGGCTGCTCACTCCCCAGTGACCATGGCTGTTCCCACAGGGACATCTCAGGGGCTGAGTTCTTTTTTTTTTTTTTTTTTGAGACGGAGTCTTGCTCTGTCGTCCAGGCTGGAGTGCAGTGGCGCGATCTCGGCTCACTGCAAGCTCCACCTCCCAGGTTCATGCCATTCTCCTGCCTCAGCCTCCCGAGTAGCTGGGACTACAGGCACCCGCCACCACGCCCGGCTAATTTTTTTGTATTTTGTAGTGGAGACAGGGTTTCACCGTGTTAGCCAGGATGGTCTCGATCTCCTGACCTCGTGATCTCCCCACCTCGGCCTCCCAAAGTGCTGGGATTACAGGCATGAGCCACCGCTCCCAGCCAGGGGCTGAGTTCTTTCAAGATCTGCTATGTGTTCTCAGTTCTTTATGACAATTCTGTATCATTTCTGTAATCAAAAAAAAAAAAAAAACAAACATGTAGGTAATGGCCAGGCACGGTGGCTCACACCTGTAATCCCAGCACTTTGAGGGGGCTGAGGCAGGTGGCCTCAGGAGTTCGAGACTAGCCTGGCCATCATGGTGAGACTCTGTCTTTACTAAAAATACAAAAATTAGCCAGGTGTGGTGGCGTGTGCCTGTAATCCCAGCTACTTGGGAAGCTGAGGCAGGAGCATCGCTTGAACCCAGGAGGTGGAGGTTGCAGTGAGCCAAGATTGTGCCACTGCTCCAGGCTGGGTGACAGAACAAGACTCTGTCTCAAAAAAAAAAAAAAAAAAAGTATTTAAAAACAGTAACTGGCTTGAAAGCAAAAAGGATTGAGGACTGCGGCCAGGGCTTGGGCTAGAAGTCAGGGAGCCCAGGCTGGGATAAGGGTCAGTGGTGAAGCATGAGAAAACTGGGTGTCAGGCTGGGCACAGTGGCTCACACCTGTAATCCCGCATTTTGGGAGGCCGAGGCGGGTGGATCACTGGAGGTCAGGAGTTCGTGACCAGCCTGGCCAACATGGCGAAACCCTATCTCTACTACAAATACCAAAATTAGCCAGGCGTGGTGGCGGGCACCTGTAATCTCAGCTATTCGGGAGGCTGAGACTGAAGAATCACTTGAACCCAGGAGGTGGAGGCTGCAGTGAGCCAAGACTGAGCCATTGCACTCCAGCCTGGGCAACAAGAGTGAAACTTTGTCAGAAACAGGAAGGAAGGAAGGAAGGAAAGAAGGAAAGGGAAGGGAGGGAAGGAAATTAGCCGGGTGTGGTGGCACAGGCATGTAATCCCAGCTATTCAGGAGGTTGAGGCCGGAGAATCACTTGAACCCAGTAAGTGGAGGTTGCAGTGAGCTGAGATCGCACCACTGCACTCCAGCCTGGGCGACAGAGAGAGACTCTGTCTCAAAAAAAAGAAAGAAGGAAGGAAGGGAGGGAGGGAGGAAGAGAGAAGGAAAGAAAGAGAGAAAGGAAGGAAGGAGAGAGCGAGAAGGAAAGAAAGAAAGGAAGGAAGGAGAGAGAAGGAAAGAAAGGAAAGAAGGAAGGAAGGAAAATAAATTGGGTGTAGGCAGGTGCCTGCTGGGTTGCTGGAGGGTTGCTGCTGGGTTGTCGATGGGGGTGCTCAGGGCACTGGGGGCTGAATGTGGTTGCCAGCATCTCTGTTCTGTCAGATGAGCATTATCAGTGCCCAGGACCTGCCACACTTCCCTGGACCTTTCTCCATCAATGAGCAAGGTTGGCTGCAGGCACCATCCCAGGGCCTCCTAGGCCAGGCTCAAAAGGTGAGCATGACCTGGAATCTGAGGGTGTTTATGGATTGGGTAGAGTGCCTACCTTTTAGAAATTTGTTTATTCTTGGCCTCCTTGGCCTCCTTGACTAATACTGACTCTCTCAGACCTGGACCTGCTGCTGCATGCTGTCTGTCCTCCCACCTTAGCTTGGTTCTGTGCTGGGCTCTGGAGTTCTAGAAAGAAGAGGAATCCCTCTCTCTGGGAATTCACAAGCCCTCTAATAGAAAGAAAAGTGTTTAGGGCAATCACACAGTAAGAGAAAGTCCTGGGTAATGGCCAGGCACAGTGGCTCACCCACATAATCCTAGCACTTTGGGAGGCCAAGGTGGGCGTTGTCACCTGAGTTCAGGGGTTCAAGACCAGCCTGGCCAACATGGAGAAACCCCGTCTCTACTAAAAATACAAAAATTAGCTGAGCATGGTGGCGCATGCCTGTAATCCCAGCTACTCGGGAGGCTGAGGCAGGAGAATTGCTTGAACCCAGGGGGTGGAGGTTGCAGTGAGCCAAGATCATACCACTGTGCTCCAACATGGGCAAAAAAAAAAAAAGTTCTGAGTAAAATGGTCAGTGCAGTCTGGAGGTGGCTTTCAGCAATTCTAAGATGATAATTCACATTGTCAATGATTCAGATATCACTCTGGGGCTGTTTGTATCCTAATGGAATAATTTATGGCCCAAAGGTATGGGGCTCAAAGGAATACTTGTCAGCAGAGTGACAGGTCATGGGGATCATGGGGAAGAGTGGAAGTTGAAGATCCTTTTGGAGATCCTAAGTGAGGTTGCCTATTTAAGGGGAGGACTGGGCATAGACAAAGAGGTGGACACACACAATCTGGCTCCTTTTCTGTTCTGGGTGCACCACAGGTCTTCCAGCTGCAAATCTCAGTGTCCTTTGGACAAAGGCAAAGCTGCCAAGGGATGGTGATAGTGAAGGTTTTGCCTGTTCCCTCCAGCCAGGTCTCCTTCCTGTAAGGCTCCCCTACCCTGGAACAGTGAGGGAGGAAGGGCCTAGCCCCAGGGAATCAGGTAGGGTGAGGCTGCTGGAGCTGAGTCCCAGCCCTGACAGGAGGGGGCCCAGGGAAGGAAGCTGTGGACCCACAGGTTGAGCAGGAATGGGCAGGAACCAGTGCCCCCCTTTTGGTCCAGCGAGCAGGCTCAGAATATCACCATCCCTGAGAATCTGGCCCCCGGTAGTGAGGTGGTTCAGGTCCAGGCCCGGGGTGTCGACCTGCGCTATGAAATCCTGTCTCCGGTGCCCAGCCCACTCTTCTCCATTGGTCGTGGTGAGAGGTGTTGGGGGGTGGGGGCAGGTACTGGGATGCCTCTGTGGCTGGTCCAGAGGTGACCCATAGTACCTCTTCACCTTCCTGTTTGGGGGCCTGGTCTTGGAGAAGGCAGCAGGAGGGCCAGGCTCAGCGGCCTCCTTTGCCTATGGATCTGGTGGGCTGGCAGGAGTGGGACTGAGCTGGGAGGCGGGGCTGATCTCTGTGTTCCCTGACCCCTGACCTCTGTGTTCTCTCACCCCATGCAGCAGACGGTGTGGTCCGGACCACCACGCCCCTAGAGTTAGCTCGCACCTCAGGCACCGCGGTCTCCAGGCTGCAGGTGAAGGCCTTTGAGCAGGGCCAGCTGTGGGCCAGTGCCAAGCTCAATCTCACCATGAATGTGCAGCTGGTCAACCTCTGGCCTCCACGCTGCCTCCCAGCGCTTCTGGTGTGAGTACCCGGGAACCATACTTGGGCTGCTGGGGTCAGAGCCATGACTCAGGGTACTGCCAGACTCCTGCCTTGCTGCCACTGCATACTCTCAGGTCCCAAATCCCGGAGACTGCACCCGTGGGCACCGTGCTGAATACTCTCACTTGCGAAGATCCGGACTCTGTTGGTGCCACCCTGGACTACAAGCTGTGGTTCCGCAGCTCTTCCAACCCTGCCAGCCTCTGCCTTTATGACAGAGTCCTTGAGGTGCCCAGCCCCAGCTCCCAGACCCACTTGCAGGGTGCTTGCAGTGGGAAGGGGTGGGTGGGCCAAGGGTCTCTGAGACCACGGGAGTGGGGGTGGAGGGATGGCTGTCGAGCCAACCTGTGTTGCAGTCTGGAAAACAGGATCCAGGCAAGATATTTGTGGATGCCCTGGCCTACAGCAGCCCCGTGTGGCTCAGGGCTCTCTCAGGCCCTGGCTGGACCTCACTTTCTAGCCCCTTTGGCTAGGTGAATGCCACACTGGACTGTGACACTCCTGGAGCCTGCTTCCAGCATGCAGCCTCCATCCTGGTGCTCGATGGTGGCCAGCCCCAGATGACCAGTGAGTGACCACACCCGGCCTGGACACCCAGGACAAGGCTGTTCTGTCCTCCCGCTTCCCATGCTCAGGACAGGGTCATCTCTCCTCCTTCAGAATCCAGTAGGGCAGGGTTGTCACCATTTCAGACCCTGAAGATATATCTCTTAGACCCCCAGCAGGGGAAGGCTTCTGCCCTCCCTTTAGACCCTCTCACTCTCTTTTTTTTTTTTTGAGACGGAGTTTTGCTCTGTCACCCAGGCTGGAGTGCAGTGGCACGATCCTGGCTCACTGCAAGCTCTGCCTCCCGGGTTCACGCCATTCTCCTGCCTCAGCCTCCAGAGTAGCTGGGACTACAGGTGCCGGCCACCACGCCCGGCTAATTTTTTGTATTTTCAGTAGAGACGGGGTTTCACTGTGTTAGCCAGGATAGTCTCAATCTCCTGACCTCGTGATCTGCCCGCCTCGGCCTCCCAAAGTGCTGGGATTACAGGCGTGAGCCACCACGCCCAGCAGACCCTCTCACTCTTTAGACCCCCAGGGCAGGGCCCTGTCTCCCTCCTCAGACCCCCAGTTCAGGGATAGTTACCCCAGGCCAGCTCCTTGACTGCCAAATGACTTCCAGCTGAGGTGCCGGTACTGGTGATGGTGACACCCATCAACGAGTTCTCCCCAGCCTGTGCCCCTCGCACGTTCCGGGTTCAGGAGGATGCGGCGCCCCACACTCTACTGGGCTCCGTGGTGGGCACGGATATGGATTACCCTCATGACAACATTGAGTACTACACCTCTGGTGGTCCTACCACCTTTGCTGTGGACCGTCTCAGCGGTACATCCACCCCAGGGCTGGGATGGAAACAGGGAGCCAGAGTTGGCCCTGCAGGCTGAAGCTGTGGTCTCCCCCTCTAGGGGAAGTTCACCTCCTGGGACCTTTGGACTATGAGCAGCAGAGGCTGTACAGGCTCACTGTCCTTGTGATTGACCATGGCCAAGACCAGAACCCCAACCATCACCTCTCAGGCTCCTGTACCATTACCATCGAGGTTGAGGTAATTGCGTCCTAAGGCTTTGGAAATAAATACTTGGAAAGACAGGAGTTCAGATTGCCCTGTGGTGTTCTGCTTTTCCACTCTGTGCCTTGGTTTCTTCCACGAGTTGGCTGGAGAAGAGTGGGGCCTAATTGAAAGCTCTGGAGCCTGTTGTGTGATGACTTCATCACTTGATGCCTAGGCTACGGCTGTGGTGAGAAGAAGTTGAGGGGCTGGCTCAGAGGTTTAGGGGGTGGGTTCCACCCACTCCTAACCTGGTTCCTTTCTGCAGGATGTGAATGACCATGCCCCCGAGTGTGAGCCCCCATTTCAGGAACTCACCATCTATGCTCCTCTGGGCCGTAGCGTGGAGGTGACCAAGATGTCATGCCAGATCCCTCAGGAGCCACAGCGCCTGATCTACTCCTATAGCATCGTGGGAGGTAGGGGACATGGGCACCACCAGGTTGTGAGTGAGGGGCAGGCCAAGGCCAGCAATGGTCTCTTCCTCCTGTCATTCTGCTTTCAGGGAATAGCCAGAACCGATTCATCCTGCAAGGGGCCATCCTGGTGCACAGTGACCTTGTGTTGGGGCCGTTCTGGCCAGAGCAGCCCCGTACCTATGAGCTACTGATCTGTGTGGCCGATGCAGGCCCCTCCACCCCCCACCTCAGCACCACAGCCACCATTATTGTGCATCTAGTTCCCCGGAGGGCCAGCACAGTGGCCACCAGCACCCACAGAACCACAGTGAGGAGGCTCCTTGGGCCCTCAGCAGGGTGGGAAGGGTGGACCTTGGAGAGTGAGGAGACCCAGTTTTTCAGGTGGAACTATGGGGAAGGCAGTTCAGAGGGAAGCGCAGAGTGCGGAGAGCCCAGCAGTGTTGAAGAGCAAATCATGGGTGTGGGGTGGCTTAGCCCGGGGAAGGGTTGGAAGGCTGGATGGTCAGGGCATTTTGGCAAGGCAGTGGTGAGGCTGTGGCCTCCTTTTCAGGTGCCCTCAACGATGACACCCATGCTCGTGACAGACACAGAGGCTTTCTGGCAGCCACAGCCCTGGTTTGTGGTGGTGTTGACAGCAA
The DNA here is from genome assembly GCF_000001405.40 of Homo sapiens. Lineage (NCBI taxonomy): Eukaryota > Metazoa > Chordata > Mammalia > Primates > Hominidae > Homo > Homo sapiens. Next base: position 49,792,522 of record NC_000003.12, on the reverse strand, counting down.
CTGGTGCTCTTCTCCTCTTGGCCCTAGGCTGGCTTCTTGGCAGGCTCCTCCAGGGGTAGGGATCCTATCCTTGTGCTCCCTACTTGCCCCCAACCCACCTATGGACCCCAGTTGTGATGGGTGGTTTCACCCAAGATTAGATGACAATGCCCAAGTAGGTGGGTGACGAACTGATATTGAGGAGGGCTACTCTCCCTCCAGAGGTCTTTAGATTAGGGTCAGAGAGACACTGGGAGGAAGCAACTTCCATCACCGGCAGAATCCAGTCTTGGAATGGGAGGAGGGTAGATAAGCTCAGGGCTTGAAACTGTGAGTCTGTCATACATTGGGCATTTACCCCTATTCCTGACTTCTGCCCTCCACTGGAAAGCTTTCCTGCTCCTGTAGACTCTGAAGTTCCTTGTGGACATAGGACTGAGCCCAGGGAAAGGGGATGTAACAATGTGGGCACTGCATACAGACATTGGTTGTTCCCAATATAAAGGAATGGGTGAATGGTGCTGATTCCTGGAGCCAGTAGGCCTGCTGCCCTCACTGCTTCGTTACTCCTCCTGGCATTTTAGGTTGGCCCAGCTGCTGCAAGCACCCAGCAAACCAGCCCAGGCTTTGCTGCTAAACAGGTCAGTCTCCTTTGCATACTTCTATGCCTGGGATCCCATCTCTTAAACTCAGGTTAGGGCCCAGAGCCTTGCCCTGTACTCTTGCTCGTACTTTGCCCCAGCATCCAGGGAACTGAGGGATCCATCGAGGGTTTCCTGGAGGCACCGAAGATGGAGATGTCCCAGGCACCCAGCAGTGTCATGAGTCTGGTATGTCAGCTCACCATCTCAAGTAGTGGACACCAAGGGTGCTTCAGAGTACTCCCCTGCCCCCTCCAAGCCTTTTTTCCCATGCCCCTTTTCCGATGAATGGGTATCCTTGTGGAAATGCCCACACTAGCACCATCAGAATGGAGGAGGCAGGTGGGCTTCTGGCCCCCTAGGGGCAGGCCTTCATCTGCTCCCCTGTGGGCAGGGTTCAATTCATTGCATCTTTTTTTTTTTTCCCTCAGCAGCATTTTGATGGCAGAGCACAGGACTCCCGTGAGTCCCCCTCTTCCTAAGCTATTCTCTGCCTGGGCCCTCACCCCATCTGAGTATCTCCTCCTCTCTTTACCCCATCTCAATATCTCCTCCTACTCCCAGGAACCCACCATCTATCTGCTTTTTTCCTGAATGGGGTCTGCTCTCATCCCCGCTCACTCTTCATCCATCCTTTGTCAAACGTCTAGGGGGTCAGGAGATGACTCATATCTGGTCTGGTCTCTGCCCACAACGGGAGGAGGGATGATGGTGAGGGGAGAGGCCTCCAGATAGTCCAATGTCACCAGTGATTTATGGGAGAGTAATCTGGTATTGCCTTAGGGAAGCTGGTGTCCAGTGTTGGAGAATCAAGGAGGCTTCCTGTGCATTTGAGTCAGAGTTGAGAGAATTTGCTGAGAAGGGAGGGAGGGGACAGGTTAGATTCCAGCGAAGGTGGGATGTCACACTGAGGGTCCTGGAGGAATAATCTCCTACCCTTAAGTAAGGGGGAGGGAGGCAGTTCTTCTGGGGCCAGCAGCACCCCCTGCTCTCCTCTCTCTCCTACCGGTTTTAGGTACCGGAAGAGACTACCTGTTTAACACACACACAGGAGCCCGGCGCTGGCTCTGAGGCCAAGTAGCTGTCTTACTATGTGTGGAATTTCTTTTTCACACCATCATGGGCTGTATTTTCAAGTTGATTCATAATAAACAAAATTACAAAAAGAAAAGTTCTAGCCTTGTAGCCAACGTGTGGGAGAAGCTCTGAAATCTGTGCCTCCTTGTTCTCACTTGGACAACTCCCTACCTTGTGAGCAGACTCTAGGGAGCAGTAAGGTTTTCCTTTTCTCTTTCAGGGTTTTTTTTTTTTAGACAGGGTCTCACTATGGTGCCCAGGTTGGAATGCAGAGGCTATTCATAGGTGTTATCATAGCACACTATAGCGTCTAACTCCTGGCTTCAAGAGAGCCTCTCATCTCAGCCTCCTGGGTAGCTGGGACGATGGGCGCACCACTGCACCTGGCTTTATTTTTCTTTTAAGAAGGTATTGTGTGATGCTCAGACTGACAGTGTGACTGATGCTCTATAGAAGTAATAGGCTATCATCCTTGTCAGTGACTGAGGGGCCTCCAATCAGCATGTCTCCTCAGGGCCACCTGCTTCCTTTTCCTATCCAGAAGAGAGAGAACAATGCTGCGTGTGTGTGTGTGTGTGTGTGTGTGTGTGTGTGTGTGCGCGCGCGCGCGCGCATGTGTGTGAAGGAGAGAGGGGGCGGGGAGAGGGAGAGAGGGGGAGAGAGAGAGAGAGAGAGAGAGAGAGAGAGAGAGAGAGAGAGAGAGAGAGAGAGAGAAAGATAGGGTCTGGCTGTCTGGCTTTGTTGCCCAGGCTGGAGTGCAACGGTGTGATTGTGGCTCACTGTAGCCTTGACCTCCCAGGCTCAATCGATCCTCCTACTCAGAATCCCAAGTAGGTGGGACTACAGGCATGGACCACCATGCCTGGCTAATTTTTAATTTTTTTGTAGAGATGGGATCTCTCTATGTTGACCAGGCTGGTCTTGAATTCCTGGGTCCAAGCCATCCTCCCCCTTCAGCCTCCCAAAGTGCTGGGATTATAGGTGTGAGCCACCGTGCCTAGCTCACTGTTGCTTTTGTTGTTGTTGTTGTTGAGATGTTTCTCTTTTTAATTTTTTTCTTAATTTTTAATTTTTGTGGGTACATAGGTGTATAAATTTGGAGGTACATGAGATGTTTTAATAAGGCATGTAATGGTTAATAATCACCTCATCGAAAATGGGGCATCCATCCCCTAAAGCATTTATCCTTTGTGTTACAAATAATCCAATTATACTCTTTCAGTTATTTTAAACTGTACAATTAAGTTATTATTGACTACAGTCACTCTGTTGTGCTATCAAACACTAGGTCTTATTCATTTTTCTTTTTTTTTGGTACCCATTAACCGTCCCACCTCCCCACCCCTTCCAGACTCTGGTAACTATCCTTCTACTCACTATCTCCATGAATTCAATTGTTTTGTTTAAATCTTTTTCCTTTTTTTTTTTTTTGAGATGTAGTCTTACTTTGTCACCCAGGCTGGAGTACAGTGGCACGATCTTGGCTCACTGCAACCTCCGCCTCTCATGATCAAGCAATTCTCGTGCCTCAGTCTCCTGAGTAGCTGGGACCACAGGTGTGCACCACCATGCCGGCTAATTTTTTTATTTTTTATTTTTAGTAGAGATGGAGTTTTCCTATGTTGGCCAGGCTGGTCTTGAACTCCTGACCTCAGGTGATCCTCCTGCCTCAGCCTCCCAAAGTGCTGGGATTACAGGCATGAGCCTCCGCACCAGCCAATCTCACAATCTCATTCTTTTTAATGGCTGAATAATATTCCATTCTGCATATGTACCATATTTTCTTTTCTTTTTTTTTTTTTTGAGATGGAGTCTCGCTCTGTTGCCCAGGCTGGAGCACAGTGGCGTGATCTCGGCTCACTGCAAGTTCCGCCTTCTGGGTTCACGCCATTCTCCTGCCTCAGCCTCCTGAGTAGCTGGGACTACAGGCGCTTGCCACCACGCCCGGCTAATTTTTTGTATTTTTAGTAGAGATGGGGTTTCACCGTGTTAGCCAGGATGGTCTCCATCTCCTGACCTCATGATCCGCCCGCCTCGGCCTCCCAAAGTGCTGGGATTACAGGCGTGAGCCACCGCACCCGGCCCATATGTACCATATTTTCTTTATCCATTCACCTGTTGATGGACACTTAGGTTGCTTCCAAATCTTGGCTATTGTGAATGGCACTGCAGCAAACATGGAAGTGCAGATATCTTTTTGATATACTGATTTCCTTTCCTTTGGGTACATACCCAGCAGTGGGATTGCTGGATCATGTGGTAGCTGTATTTTTAGTTTTCTGAGGAACCTCCGAACTGTTATCCACAGTAGTTATACCACTGTTGCTTTTTGAGGGTCCCATCAAACTTCAGGGCAATTTGCCAACTGTATGTGGAGGTTTTCTTGGGAAGGATCTGGAGCTTTTGCACTGCGGTGAGGGGTGATGCAGACTTGAGAATCCTGTGGCATGGCTGGTCCTGGAGGATTAGCAGAATCCCCCTTTTGAGGGTTGTTGGCTTTTCTTCCTGATCTGTTTCTTCTGGTTCCTCTGCTCTCACATCTCCCTGTGTTGACCTGAGCTATTGCATGTAGCCAAGTGGCCTGCAGCAATCTGCTGGTGGGCAGGTCTTGCTGGATGCAGTGTTGGCCCACTCTCCATGCCCAACCTGACATCAGGTCTCAGGCTTCTGCCAGCTCTCCAAGAGGACCTTACTGTGGTAAATCCAAGTTATCACAGTCTTTACTCGTCTGTTGAGTCTGTGGGCCTGAACCCCCTCAGGGTACTGGAGAACCTCCCTTTTTTTTTTTTGAGACAGAATTTTGCTCTGTCACCCAGGCTAGAGTGTGGTGGCGTGATCTCAGCTCACTGAACCTCTGCCTCCCAGGTTCAAGTGATCCTCCTGCCTCAACCTCCTGAGTAGCTGGGATTACAGGCACCTGCCATCACGTCCAGCTAATTTTTGTATTTTTAGTAGGGACAGGGTTTCACCATTTTGGCCAGGCTGGTCTCGAACCTCTGACCTCAAGTGATCCACCTTCTTTGGCCTCCCAAAGTGCTGGATTACAGGCATGAGCCACTGCGCCTAGCTAGGAGGACCTCCCCTTCTGAACCAGTTATGGTATCCCAGGGCCAGGAAGAAGCTGAAAGCCTTCTGTGGGAACAAAACAAAGCAAAACAAAAACGCTTCATGGGGCTTCCACCAAAGTTAGTGTTTTAAGGCACGCCTCAGGAACAGCAACTTGGAAGCAGGTTGTTCCAGGAAGTGGTTGTAGGCAGATTTTTCCTGAGTTCTTCCCCTGCTCTGAGGGCTCATTAAATCTTCCTCTGAGAAGCTCCACTTTTATCTTCATTTTACAGATGGGACAACCAAAGCTAAAGAGAGGCTAAGGCTCAAAAGTCAGAGTTAGCTAGTTGGGGCATTTGGGTGTGGGCCCAGGCCACGTAACTTCATCTGTTGTTCTAAGCCTGAAGCCAAGCCCAGAGTTAGGTGTTCTGTATGGGGAGCAAGGTGTGACCATCTTCCTGGGACCATTAGTCTGCTTGGGAGGCCGGTCATGACAGTCCAGGGCAAAAGATGCTGTCACAGGATCTCAAGACAAGATGCTCTAGGGAAGAGAAAAGGGAGTGCCCGCTGTGTGTCAGGACTTGTGCTAGGCTCTAAACCTCAGGCAGGAAAGCATGGGCAATGAGCCAGAGGCTGCTGTGGCAGCACAGACTGCGGTACCTCGAGGCTAGTAAGGGACAAAGCGTGGGAAGCTGGGATAGAGGCTCCTCACACTCTGAAACCAGCAGGAGGAGGTGCGAGACCCAGCACCTCCATTTCTAGAGGTGGCGTGACCTTGGCTCGGCCTCCCCTCTCTGAGCCTCAGTTTCCTCTCCAGAGTGAACTGGGGGCTGCACCCCCCTTCTCCCAGAGTGGGGGACAAAAAAACGAATAGCACACCGCTGAGATTCCCTGTGTGTGCGCAAGTGTATGACAAGACGCCGCCGGTACCGCACGAGGGCCAGGGACGCAGAGAGGCCAAGGGCGCTCCGGCCTCGTAGTAGCCAGCGAAAACTCCGCCGCCAGCCACTCCGGGAACGAAGCGCATGCGCCAACCCATGCCGTCACAGTCACGTGCCCCACGCTTTCGGCAGAGGCCCTGAGAGGCAGACTCTGACTGACACGTGAGCTGACCTGTCAGCAGGAAGCACTTCCCCTGGCGACGAGCAAAAAGACTGTTGATTGGGGATAGCACCCCCTCGGGGGCGGGTTCTTTGCAGTCCTGGTTACTATGACGCCCGGCCCCCGCCCCCTCGGCTAGCCGCCATCTTGTTGTTGATCCGTACCCAGTGGGCAGCGCCGGGAGCTGGACCAAGCGGCCGGTGAGAGGCCGCTGTAGCGGTGCTCAGCCACCTGTGCTGCCTGCCAGGGGGCGGGCCGAAACCTGGAGGCCCGGGGGGCCCAGCTCCCGTAGGGAGCCGTGGGCGCTCGGTGCCCGGGCCGGGCAGGTGAGTGACAGGAGCCGGGCCGATAGACCGGCCTGACGCCCGCGGGGAGGGCGGTGGCGGGCGCGGGGTTGGAGTGGGCGCGTGTGGGGTCGGGGCTCCGGTGGGGCCATCACTGGAACATCGCTCGAGCGTCCTGACCGGCCGCCCGCCGAGCCTCCCAGATGCTGGCACCGAAGCCGGGGGGACAGCCGGTGTGGAGGACGGAGAGCGCCAGTGCCTGAGGGTTGGCCGGCTAGTAGCGGGAAACCAGCTTCTCTGACCGAAGCTCTGGACTCCGCTGATCCGGAGCGCTAAAGTGTGTCCGGTGCCACCCTGATGCTCTCCTGGGAGTTATGTTGCTCCTGGCTGAGAAATAGACTTACCTCTTTCTTAGATAGCGTTCCTGCGAGTGATTTTCAGGACGCTGGATGCTAAGACTAGACGAAGCAAGCCAAAGCCCCCGCGAGCCAGGCAGGCCGGTGTCACGGCCCTATGATTATGGCAAGGGGGACCCTCTGCCTGGCTGCTGCTTCCTGAGACCCGTTCGGAACCTCACGTGTACCTCGAAGCTCACCGTTTTCCTCGCAAAGAACCTGGTTAAATGTCCATAATGGCTGAGTTTTATTTTGGAACATAATTTCTTTGGTTCTTCACCACCACTTTTTGGAGAGTGGTAATGTCTTCCTCTTTTTGCTTTAGGAGAAAGTGAGTATTATGGTGATGACTTGATTTTATCTCCTAAAGGGATGCTCGCCATAGGAGACAAAGGAAACGTAGGAGTGTCTTAGAATCGGAAAAAGAAACTTGTTTTTGTTGTGGATGATATGGAACTGGCAAATTAACTGTTTTTTTTCTTTTTTTTCTTTTGAGACAGAGTCTCTCGCTCTGTTGCCCAGGCCGGAGTGCAGTGGCGCGATCTCGGCTCACCACAGCCTCCACCTCCCGGGTTCAAGCGATTATCCTGCCTCAGCCTCCCGAGTAGGTAGGACTACAGACACGCGCCACCATGCCCGGCTAATTTTTGTATTTTTAATAGAGACGGGGTTTCACCATGTTGGCCAGGCTGGTCTCGAACTCCTGACCTCGTGATCCACCCCCCTTGGCCTCCCAAAGTGCTGGGGTTACAAGTGTGAGCCACTATGCCCGGCGCAAATTAACTTTTAACAGTACTAAAATTATCTTGCTCAGTGAAAACACCTTCAAGCCCCTTTCCTGTGAATTTGGGCAAGTTGGAGATCCTCAGTAGAGTGTGCAGGTCTAGGAAGAGTTCTCATTGCTCCAAAACACATTTCTCTTGACCTGTGGCCTCTTTGGTTCTTTGTACAGTCTTCTTGTATGTGGTCATAGAATATGCCTGCATGAGATGACTAAGAAGTCAAGCGACAATACTTTGTGCACTTTTTGTTTTGTTTTGTTTTGTTTTGTTTTTTTGAGATGGAGTCTTGCTCCGTTGCCAGGCTGGAGTACAGTGGTGCCATCTCGGCTCACTGCAACCTCTGACTCCCTGGTTCAAGCAATTTTCCTGCCTCAGCCTCCCGAGTAGCTGGGACTACAGGCACGTGCCACCACACCTGGCTAATTTTTGTATTTTTAGTAGAGACGGGGTTTCACTATGTTGGCCAGACTGGTCTCGAACTCCTGACCTCATGATCAACCCGCCTCCGCCTCCCAAATTGTTGGGATTACAGGCATGAGCCACCGCGCCAAGCCTACTTTTTTTTTTTTTTTCTGAGACGAAGTCTCGTTCTCTCACCCAGGCTGGAGTGCAATGGCACAATCTCAGCTGACTGCAACCTCTGCCTCCTGGGTTCAAGCAAGTCTCCTGCCCCAGCCTCCCAAGTAGCTGGGATTACAGGTGCGTGCCACCATGCCCGGCTAATTTCTGTATTTTTAGTAGAGACCTGGTTTCACCATGTTGTTCAGGCTGATCTCGAACTCCTGACCTCCTGATCCGCCTGCCTTGGCCTCCCAAAGTGCTGGGATTACAGGCGTGAGCCACTGTGCCTGGTCACGCGCCTAGCCTACTTTGTGCACTTCTATCAGGATCTTGTCACCTCTGAATGTATAATTTTGAAAGAGGCCAGGTGCGGTAGCTCATGTCTGTAATCCCAGCACTTTGGGAGGCTGAGGCGGGCGGATCACCTGAGGTCAGTAGTTAAGAGATTAGCCTATCCAAAATGGCAAAATCCCATGTCTACTAAAAATACAAAAATTAGCTGGGCGTGGTGGTGCATGGAGGCTGAGGCAGGAGAATCACCTGAACCCGGAAAGCGGAGGTTGCAGTGAGCTGAGATCGCGCCACTGCACTCCAGCCTGGGTGACAGAGTGAGACTCAGTCTCCAAAAATAAATAAATAAATAAATAATAAATAAAATAATAATTTTGAAAGAAACCAGCTCCTTGGTCAGGAGATCCTTTAGGAAAGCAGGTGCTGAACCCAGAGGACGCTGGCAGCTTGTTGCTGTTCGACTGAGTTTATACTGCACTTGTGAGGCAAGGGAGAAGTTGAGTAGTCTTTAGTTATTTATTTCATTGTCCTTCAGGGCCATTTTTTGAATCTTTAGTTCATTATAATCTTGGTAAGACCAGTTCCTTGGGCAGTTCTTGAAAGGAGGGGGATATTAAAATATTAGCTTTTCTTTCTTTCTTTTTTTTTTTTTTTGAGACGGAATCTCGCTCGGTTGCGCTGGCTGGAGTGCAGTGGCATGGTCTTGGCTTACTGCAAGCTCCACCTCCTGGGTTCACGCCATTCTCCTGCCTCAGCTTCCCAAATAGCTGGGACTATAGGCACCTGCCACCATGCCCGGCCAATTTTTTTGTATTTTTAGGAGAGACGGGGTTTCACCGTGTTAGCCAGGATGGTCTCGATCTCCTGACCTCATGATCCGTCTACCTCGGCCTCCCAAAGTGCTGGGATTACAGGCGAGAGCTACTGCACCCAGCAAAAATATTAGCTTTTCAAAATTGTCCCAAGCCCCTGCTTTTTTTTTTTTTCTGAGACAGGGTTTCACCATGTTGGCCAGGCTGGTCACTCCTGACAGGTGATCCACCTGCCTCAGCCTTGGCCTGGGATTACAGGGGTGAGACACCACACTGGCTGTCATTTGCATTTTTAAAAATTACTTATGTAGAGATGGGGTCTCAGTTGCCCAGACTGGGCTTGAACTCCTAGTCTCAAGTGATCCTCCTGTCTTGGCCTCCCAAAATGCTAGGATTACAGGCATGAGCCACCATGCCTGGCCTTTTTTTTTTTTTGAGACAGAGTCTCACTCTGTCGCCCAGGCTGGAATGCAGTGGCATGATCTTGTCTCACTGCAACTTCCGCCTCCTGGGTTCAAGTGATACTCCTGCCTCAGCCTCCCGAGTAGCTGGGACTACAGGAGTGCGCCAGCACGCCTGGCTAATTTTTTTTTTTTTTTTTTTTTTTAGTAGAGCCGGGGTTTTGCCATGTTGGCCAGGCTGGTCTCAAACTCCTGACCTCAAGTGATCCACCCACCTTGGCCTCCCAAAGTGCTGGGATTACAGGTGTGAGCCACCACACCTGGCCACGCCTGGCCTTTTTTAAGAGACAGTCTCTTAAAAACCTCCTAGGCTGGAGTGTAGTGACACAATTGTAGCTCACTGCAGCCTCCAACTCCTGGGCTCAAGTGATCTTCTTGCCTCAGCTTCCAAAGTAGCTAGGACTACACACATGCGCCACCATGCCTGGCTAATTTTCTTTGTCTTAATTTTTTTGTAGAGATGGGGGTCTCACTATGTTGCTCAGGCTAGTCTCAAACTCGTGGGTGCAAATGATCCTCCTGCCTCGGGTTCCTAAAGTGCAGGCATGAGCCACTGTGCCTGGCTTGTGATGGGCATTTTTAAGTGCAAATGTGTCAGACTGTTGTTATAATAGTAGACCCTCCAGGCCGGGCGCGGTGGCTCAAGCCTGTAATCCCAGCACTGTGGGAGGCCAAGGTGGGCGGGTCACGAGGTCAGGAGTTCCATACCAGCCTGACCAACATGGTGAAAAACCGTCTCTACTAAAAATACAAAGATTAGCCAGGTGTGGTGGCGTGCACCTGTAATCCCAGCTACTCAGGAGGCTGAGGCAGGAGAATCACTTGAACCTGGGAGGTGGAGGTTGCAGTGAGCCGAGATTGCGCCACTGCACTCCAGCCTGGGCGACAGAGCTAGACTCCGTCTCAAAAAAAAAAAGAAAAAGCAGACTTTCCATCCACTGTTCTTTATCTTTGCATAATTTATCTGTAAACTTTAGTATTTTTATTTACTTAATTTTTTTTTGAGACAGGTCTTACTCTGTTGCCCAGCTGGAGTGCAGTGGCATGATCATAGCTCACTGCAGCCTCGAATTCCTGGGCTCAGGTGATTCTCCTGCCTCAGCCTCCAGAGTAGCTGGAACTACAGGTGGGCACAACTGTGCTCAGCTAATTTTTAATTTTAATTTTTTTTTTTAATGGACATGATGTCTTGTTTGTTGCCCAGGCTGGTCTCTAACTCCTGGGTTTGAGTGATCCTCCCACCTCGGCCTCCCAAAGTGCTGGATTATGAATGTGAGTCACCTTGCCTGGCCAATTTCAGGAGTTTTTCACACTGTACAGACTACGGAGATCCTGCACTGAAATCAGGAACTGCTACAGGCTTATGGGATGAGATCTGATGTCCTAATGTGGCATTTAAGGTGATATAGTCCAGCTGGCTCCAGGCTACCTCCTCAGGGTTTATCCTAATCCCCACTAACCAAATGGTTTGCTAAACATTCCATACATACTCTTTCTCTGCACAAATCCTCTCATGGCTGAATCCAGTGACCTATGGCCTGTGGAGATGACCTTTTGCTTCAGCTTTTCCCTTGTCCATAGTCCAGCTCCATTTCTACCTACCTTCTTTATAAAACGTCCCCAAAACATTTCTGCTCCTGGGGATATATTTCATACCCTTTGAACTGCAGTTACATTATTGCTCTGAAACAAACATCAAAATAGTATTTGCTCTTTTAAGAATAATTTTTTAGGCCGGCACAGTGGGTCACGCCTGTAATCCCAGCACTTTGGGAGGCCACAGCGGGTGGATCACCTGAGGTCAGGAGTTCGAGACCAGCCTAGCCAACATGGTGAAACTCTGTCTCTACTAAAAATACAAAAAATTAGTCAGGCGTGGTGGCGGGTGCTTGTAATCCCAGCTACTTGGAAGATTGAAGCAGTAGAATCACTTGAACCTGGAAGGCAGAGGTTGCAGTGAGCTGAGATTGCGCCACTGCACTCTAGCCTGGGCAGCAAGAGTGAAACTCTGTCTCAAAAAAAAAAAAATCTTTTTTGTTTCCTCTGGTAGGGCCTAATAATCCTTTTCTGACAGGGACTGTATTTTACACTTTTTGTGTCTTTTTGCGCCTGTACGTAGTAGATGAGGACCAAATATTTATAAAGATGTACTAGATTTGTCTGAGTTGGAAACACCTTTTGTAATTAAACAGGGAAATAGAAGGGAGTGGGCAAGTAGAAGTGGGGATTTGGTGGCTATGAATTTCTGCCTCCACCCTGCCTTGCCTTGAAGTGCTTGCATATGTTAACTCTAGTGCTTTATAGAGGCAGGCCCATCCCTTAGTGCTGCAGAACAGAGACAGAACTTGCTCAAAGGGCAGAACTAAGGCCTGGAAAGAGCCCTTCCTGGTTAAAGTGCCACTTTTCTAGGAAAACATTTCTGTGAGCATGGCACTGGATGCAAACATTTTTAGGCCCTTTTCTTTGTTGTGGCTTGATCTCACTGCCTCCTTGGGCTGCTGTAAATGGCAGTATTTGCTGCCTGCCCTCCTCCCAGTGCAGCCCTGACGCTATAAGGAACAGTGATGGGCAGAGCTGGGGAAAGACGCACAGTACACTCTTGTTTCTGACTTGCAACAAGGAAGCAGTCAGGCATTTTGTGTCTTTGTGGCTCTGGATCTGTGCTTTTGCACTAATTTTTAAATATAGGTTTTCATTTCTCCTACTACAGCAGAATTTGAGCAATAGATTCTGGGTAGGAAAGCCTAAGACTGTGTGTGTGTGTGTGTGTGTGTGTGTGTGTGTATGAAAGATGATAAAGATTCTCGTGTGCTACTGTGGTTTGAAGTTACGTTTATTTAGAAGATGTAACAAATGAGCTTTGATGGGAACACATGTTCACTTCAGTGCTGGATCTCTGTTAGGGACTTTGTTTTGTTGAGTGCCTAGAAAATCTGCTGATCTCTTTTGTAAAATTTTATTTGTGGGTTTAGCTTATTTATTCCTGTCTCATTATATAAAAGGAGGGCAGGGTAGGGGAGCAGGTCTAGGACTGGACTCTTTTCAAGTCTAAAATTCAATGTTGATGAATAAGAGCATCTTATAAATACATAAAAATCTAGGTGTAGGCCAGGTGCCGTAGCTCATGCCCATAATTCCAGAACTTTTGGAGGTTGAAGCAGGCAAATTGCTTGGGCCCAGGAGTTTGAGACCAGCCTGGGCAACATAGTGAGACCCCATCTCTGCAAAAAAAAAGTAAAAGTTAAACGAGCATAGTGGCATTCACCTGTATTCTCGGCTACTTGGGAGGCAGGGGCGGGAGGATTGCTTGAGCCCAGGAGGTTGAGGCTGCAGTGAGCCTTGATTGTACCACTGCATTCCTGCCTGGATGACAGAGCAAGACCCTGTCTCTAAAAAGAAAAGAAAAATTTGGGTGTATTATGATTGAATGAACAATCATTAAACAACTTACTCTGTAGTAAAAAAAATCAGATGATGTCGTATGTTGATGGAAATATGGAGAAATTAGAGACCTCATACATTGTTGGTGGGAATGTCAAGTGGGCCACTTGGGAAAACAGTCTTTATGTGGTTAAACATAGAGTTACCATATGACCCAGCAATCTCCCTCCTGGCTATCTACCCAAGAGAAATGAAAACAAATGTTCACACAAAAACTTGTACATGAATGTTTATGGCAGCATTATTCATAATAGCCAAAAGGAGAAGCAACCCAAATGTCCATCAACTGACAGATAAAATGTGGTGTATACATACAAGGGAACATTACTCTGCAATAAAAAGGAACGAAGTGTGATACATGTTACAACATGGATGAACCTTGAAAACATGTTAAAGTGAAAGAAGTCAGATACAAAAGTTCACATTTACATGATTCCATTTATGTGAAATATCCAGAATAGGCAATTCTATAGAAACAGAAAGTACATTAGTGATTGCTTAGGGCTTGGAGGTGGTTGTAGGGGATAGGGAAAAAGATAGCTTAAGAGTATGGAATCTCTTTTTGAGATGATTAAAACATTCTAAAATTGTGATGGTTGCTCCTATTTCTGAATATTTTATACTTTTTTTAAATTTTATACTTAAAATCATTGAATTGTACACCTTAATGGGTGAACCGTATGATGTGTGAATAATATATCAATAAAGCTGTTAATTAAAAACGTATTGGCTGGACATGGTGGCTCATCCCCGTAATCCTAGCACTTTGGAGGCTGAGGCAGTAGGATCACTTGAGCCCAGGGGTTCGAGACCAGCTCTGGAAACATAGCGAGACCCCATCGATACAAAAAATAAAAAAATTAGCCAGGCGTGGTGGTGCGTGACTGTAACTCCAGCTACTGGGGAGTCTAAGATGGGAGGATCGCTTGTGTCTGGGATTTTGAGGCTGCAGTGAGCTGTGGTTGGGCCACTGCACTCCAGCCTGGGTGACAGAGTGGGACCCTATCTTTTTTTTTTCTTGAGATGAAGTCTCGCTTTGTCGCCCAGGCTGGATTGCAGAGGCACGATCTCGGCTCACTACAACCTCTGCCTCCCAGGTTCAACTGATTTTCCTGCCTCAGCCTCCTGAGTAGCTGGGATTACAGGCACCTACCACCATGCCCAGCTAATTTTTGTATTTTTAGTAGAGACGAAGTTTCACCGTGTTGGCCAGGCTAGTCTTGACCTCCTGACCTCAAGCCATCCACCTGCCTTGGCCTCCCAAAATGCCGGGATTACAGGCATGAGCCACCACACCTTGCCAAGACCCTGCCTTTTTTTTTTTTTTGAGACCGAGTCTCACTCTTGTTGCCCAGGCTGGAGTGCAGTGGCGCGATCTCAGTTCACTGCAACCTCCACCTCCAGGGTTCAAGTGATTCTCCTGCCTCAGCCTCCCAAGTAGCTGGGATTTACAGGCATGTGCCAGCACGCTCGGCTAATTTTTGTATTTTTAGTACAGACGGGGTTTCACCATGTTGGCCAGGATGGTCTCGATCTCCTGACCTTGTGATCCACTCGCCTTGGCCTCCCAAAGTGCTGGGATTACAGGTGTGAGCCACCACACCCAGCTGAGAGACCCCGTCTTAAAAAAAAAAAGTCATTTCACTGTTAAAGAAAATCCCCTGCACACCAGAAATGGCCAGCTGATCTCTGATCTTTGACCTTTATGCTTTATCATTGTTTTTTTTGTTTGTTTGTTTGCCACAGAGTCTCGCTCTGTCGCCCAGGCTGGAGTGCGTGGCGCGATCTCAGCTCACTGCAAGCTCCGCCTCCCGGGTTCACGCCATTCTCCTGCCTTCGCCTCCCGAGTAGCTGGGACTACAGGCGCCTGCCACCACGCCCGGCTAATTTTTTTGTATTTTTAGTAGAGACAAGGTTTCACCATGTTAGCCAGGATGGTCTCGATCTCCTGACCTTGTGATCCGCCCATCTCGGCTTCCCAAAGTGCTGGGATTACAGGCGTGAGCCACCACGCCTGGCCCTTTATCATTGTTTTTAAAGAAATTTCCAACTTTATTGTGGTATAATTTTTCTTTTTTTCTTTTTTTTTTGAGATAGAGTCTCGCTCTGTCTCACAGGCTGGAGTGCAGTGGCGCAATCTCCACTCACTGTAACCTCCACCTCCCAGGTTCAAGTGATTCTCCTGCCTCAGCCTCCCGAGTAGCTGGGAGTACAGGCATGTGCCACCACGCCCGGCTAATTTTTTGTATTTTTAGTAGAGATGGGGTTTCACTGTGTTAGCCAGGATGGTTTCGATCTCTTGACCTCAGGCAATCCATCCACCTCGGCCTCCCAAGGTGTTGGGATTACAGGCATGAACCACTGCACCTGGCCCAACAGATGTCTATTTCACTTCATTGAAAAGATTTCTGTTTTTGGAGACAGAGTCTTGCTCTGTCACCCTGATTGGGGTGCAGTGGTGCCATCTTGGCTCACTGCAACCTCCGCCTCCTAGGTTCAAGTGATTTTTGTGCCTCAGCCTCCAGAGTAGCAGGGATTACAGGCATGTGCCACCACAATGGACTGATTCTTGATTTTTTTAGTAGAGATGGGGTTTTGCCATGTTGACCAGGCTTGTCTCGAACTCCTGACCTCAAGTGATCCATCCACCTTGGCCTCCCCAAGTGCTGGGATTACAGGCATGCGCCACTGTGCCCGGCCCAGTGAAAAGATGTCAGTTAGTCATAGAAGGTACTCTTATTTCCCTTTCCAGTCAACCCCAGCCTGCTTTCTTGGACACAGACAGGTGCCAATCTTTCTATCACTGTAGATTAAATTTGCGTTTCTTAGAAGTTTCACATAAATGGAATCATATTAATATACAGTCGATCCTCATTATTCACAGAGTTTGTATTTTCAAGTTTGCAGACCTGCTAAAATTTACTTGTAACCCCAAAATCAGTACTTTTGGTGCTTTTGCTATCATTTATAGATGTGCACAGAGTGACAAAAATTTTGAGTTGTGTGTTCCTAGCTGAGGTTAAACAAGGCAACATGCTGCTGCCTTCTTTTCAATTATCATACTGTAAATAAGTGTCCTTTTCTTGGTCTATTTAGTACCATGGTTTTTTGCATTTATTTGCTTTTTTTTTTTACTGAGACTGAGTCTTGCCCTGTCACCCAGGCTAGAGTGCAGTGGTGCTATCTCGGCTCACTGCAACCTCCGCCTCCCAGGTTCAAGTAATTTTCCTGCCTCAGCCTCGCGAATAGTTGGGATTACAGACATGCACCACCATGCCTGGCTAATTTTTGTATTTTTAGTAGAGATGAGGTTTCACCATGTTGTCCAGGCTGGCCTCGAGCTCCTGGCTTCAAGTGATCTGCCCATCTCGGCCTCCCAAAGTGCTGGGATTACACGCGTGTGCCACTGCACCTGTCCTGATTTACTTTTTGTTGGTGATTTTTAATGTTTATTTTCATTTTTATTTATTTTACCAGAAAATAAACACTAACTTTATTAATGTAATAGCAACAGAAAGGGTTTCCAATTTCTCAGAAGGAAAATAACATGACAATAGCGCAAGTGTTAAAAGAGTAAATGGCTACATTTCTTGTTCTGATAGCTTCCCACCATACACCAAAGGTTCTTCAAGGACAGCTGCCACCAGAGCTGCTGCAAGATCATGTTTTTCACTGGGTGTAGCTTCACAGTCAACTCCTCAAGCAGAAGACTAAAATATTATTTCTTAGAAGATCTTGGTTGAGGGAGAACATATCAATATGGAGAACAGATCTTTGCTTCTCAAATTCAAGAAAAACCATTAACTAATCTATCAATTTTTCTCCAATACAGTGTGCCAGAGTGCTCTGTGAAGAATCCTTTTCCATCCCTACCACATGTCTGGGTGAAGGGAGGGGAGGGTTGGTAAGCTGCCAGGACACTAGCAGGCACTCCTGGTGATGCTCTGGGCTCTGCTCCCTTTCTGCCGGGAGTAGCAGGCATCTTTTCTAGCCGCTGCAGCAGCTTGATGTTGTGGGGAGGAAGGGGCCACCCACCAATCACCTCTTCTTGAAGCTGCATTTTTTTGTGTTCGTAGAAGAGGTCTGTCTTAGAGCTCCCCAAATTGACAATCTTTGGGCAGCCATCTCTATCCTTCTCCTAGATGGTGCACTCCTTACAGTAATAGGCACCAGAGACCCCAGGGCCTCCACAGATCACACGGCACCCCTGCTAAGATACGTAGTTACACTCATCACATAGCACACCAGAGTGCAGGGACGCACAAAGTCACAAATCACACACTTGCTGTCACATTTTTCACACAATCTTCCAATGACAACACCAGCTGGCTTGCAGCAAAAGATCAAATTAGGATGATGTTTAGCCATAGTTCCCAATGAAGCCGGCCGCTAGAAGCCTATTTTTTTATTTTTTCGAGACTGCTTACAGGTTGTTAGCCACTGCGCCTGGCCTTGTTGGTGATTTTGATGCTTAAAATGGCCCCCAAACGTATTGAAGTGCTGCCTGGTGTTTTTAAACACAAGAAGGCTTTGATTACCTTACAAGGAATGTGTAGGGAAGTTTTGTTCAGGCATGAGTTATAATGCTGTTAACTATAGTTCAGTGTTAATGAATCAGTTATTTATATTAAATAAGGTGTTTTTAAATAGAAACATACCTAAAAGGTTTTATATTGTATGTATGTAGATCTGGAAGGTTGTATATTAATTGGTTAATGAAAATATGACTAGATCATCTTCTACTGGCTGAGAGTTTATTAAACAAAAAAAAAAAGAAATTATGACCAGAGGCCTACAGGAACTTAACCATTTATTTTGTCTAGGTGCAGTGACTCAGTATTCAATAACTCAGTGTACACAATGACTTTATAAAACATAATTACCATCAATAATGAGAATTGACTGTATAGTTTCTTGTGTCAGAGCCCTAGCTAAGTGTTCTAGACTTTAATGTCTGGGAGCCACAGACAGTGCTTTTGTTGATAAGTATTCATCCCTTAAATTCCCTCTCCCATTAAAAGTCATTTCCACAGGTCACCTATTATGCATAGCTGAATTTGTAATATTTCATTGTTTTACCATTAACTTCTTGGGCCATACTGACTTTCAGTTCTCTGAAGGCAGGAATTATTTTTGTCTTGTTAGTAATAATATACTACATGGTCTTACTCTGTAGATACTCAATATGTATTTGATCATGTAAGTACTTAAATTTTTTTTTTCTTTTTTTTTTTTTTTTTTTTTTGAGATGGAGTCTAGCTCTTTCGCCCAGGCTGGACTGCAGTGGCACTATCTCAGCTCACTGCAAGCTCCACCTCCTGGGTTCACGCCATTCTCCTGCCTCAGCTTCTCGAGTAGCTGGGACTACAGGCACCCGCCACCGCACCCGGCTAATTTTTTTTGTATTTTTAGTAGAGATGGGGTTTCACCATGTTAGCCAGGATGTTCTCGATCCTCCTAACCTCATGATCCGCCTGCCTTGGCCTCCCAAAGTGCTGGGATTACAGGCATGAGCCACTGTGCCCGGCCTGCAAATTTAAATTTAATGGTCCCTGACTAATTTGGAGACTTTATAGTTGCAATTCGGACAAAAAATTGGTTTGGTGGTGAGTATTCTGGTTTTATGTGTGTGTTGTGTGTGTGTGTGTGTGTGTGTGTGTGTGTGTGTGTGTTTTAGAGAGAGTCTTGCTAATGTTACTCATGCTGGTCTCGAATTCCTGGGCTCAAGTGATCCTGCTGCCTCAGCCTCCCATGTATACCACCATGCCTAGCTAGTGAATATTCTGAAACTTATTTATAAAGACTTATGCTCAACTTGAAGATGTTGTATGGATCAGGGTCAAGCAGCATGCTAGGCAGGATATACATAGGCTATTTTGGTTTACTGTTTTTGGTACTTTACCTGGAGACAGTGCAGCAAAAATTAAAGTGAGTTCACTAGCATAGAAAATATAATGAATATTAAAAAGCTTCTTCTCTATTTGGGAAGATGTATTATAAAATATGTGGCTATCTTTTTTATTTATTAATTTTTGAGACGGAGTCTTGCTCTGTTGCCCAGGCTGGAGTGCAGTGGTGCGATCTCGGCTCACTGGCTCACTGCAGGCTCCGCCTCCCAGGGTCATGCCATTCTCCTGCCTCAGCCTCCTAAGTAGCTGGGACTACAGGCGCCCGCCACCACGCCCAGCTAATTTTTTGTATTTTTTAGTAGAGATGGGGTTTCACTGTGTTAGCCAGGATGGTCTCGATATCCTGACCTTGTGATCCACCCACCTCGGCCTCCCAAAGTGCTGGGATTACAGGCGTGAGCCACCGCGCCCGGCCAGTATGTGGCTATCTTACATATTTTGCAGGTGTCTCTAAAGTAAGTGCTGACCTTGGTGCCAGGGAGCCCATATTAAGTTTGAGTAATTTCATGAAGCAGAGTGTACCAGGCAGGACCACTTGGACCCTTAAGCATATTAACTTGACTGTTTACAGTATTACTTTTCATTGGTAGAATTGGGACTATATACAAAATTATTAATTGGCCAGGTGCAATGGCTCATGCCTGTAATTCCAGCACTTTGAGAGGCTGAGGCAGGAGGATCAGTTAAGCTTAGAAGTTCAAAACCAGCCTGGACAACCCAGCAAGGCCCGCTTATCTACCAAAAAATAAACAATTAGCTGGGCATGGTGGGACATGCCTAAAATTCCAGCAACTGGGGAGGCTGAGGTAGGAGGATCACTTGAGCATAGGAGTTGGAGGCTGCAGTGAGCAGTGATCATACCACTGCACTCCTGCCTGGGTGAGAGTGAGACTCTGTCTTTAAAAAAAAAAAAAAGCTCAAGAGTTCAAGACCAGCCTGGGCAACGTAGTGAGACCCTGTCTCTATGTAAAAAAAAAAAAGAATTATTAACTGTAACAGAGACTGGAGTAATGAGAAATTGGCTAGTCAGAAGTAGAGAGAGGCTGGGTGTGGTGGCTCATGCCTGTAATCCCAGCACTTTGGGAGGCTGAGATGGAAGGATCACTTGAGTCCAGGAGTTTGAGACCAGCCTGGGCAACATGGTGAAACCTTGTCTCTACAAAAAATAAAAAAATTAGCTGGGTGTGGCAGCATGTGCCTATAGTCCCAGCTACTAGAGAGGCTGAGATGGGAGGATTGCTTGAGACCAGGAGATGGAGGCTGCAGTGAATCATGATCGTGCCACTGCACTTTAGCCTGGGTAACAGAGTAAGACCCTGTCTCAAAAAAGAGAACGCTCTAGAATATAAGAAGACAATATATGTATATATAGCCTTCTATATATATATATTTTATATATTATATAGTCTTCCTATATATTATATATATAAAATATATTAAGTTAAAAAGGAAGACTATATAACATATATATTACATATATATGTGTTACACACACACACACATATATATATATATATATTTTTTTTTTTAAGGGAAAGGGTCTTGTTTTGTCACCCAGGCTGGAGTACAGTGGTGCAATTATAGCTCACTGCCACCTTGAACCCACCTTGGGCTCAAGGGATCTTCCCACCTCAGCTTCCCAAGTAGCTGGGACTACAGGTGTGCACTGCTGCACCCAGCTAATTAAAAAAATTTTCTGTAGAGGTCTTGCCATGTTGCCCAGGTTGGTCTCAAACTCTTGGGCTCAAGCGATCCTCCCTCTTTGGCCTCGCAAAGTGTTGGGATTACAGGTGTGAGCCACCACGCCTGGCCACTCTTGAGTAAGGTTTCTTTCACACAGTGTAGTGTTTTAATTTATACATGCTGTTGTCTGTATCAGTAGTTTATTTTTATTGCTATATAGTATTTCATTGCATTAACACTACAGTTTGTTTATTCTGTTGATAGATATTTGGGCTGTTTCCAGTGTTTGCCTTATGAGTAAAGCTTTTATGAACTTTTTTGCAAAGGTTTTTTGTGTGGACATACACATTCATTTCTCTTGAAGAGACTAGAATTGCTGGGTCATAGGATAGATGTATGTTTAGCTTTATAGGAAACTATAATACCTTTTCCAAAATGGTTGTACCATTTTTACACTCTCACCAGTAATGTATGAGAGTTGTGGTTGTTCCACATTTAGCAACATTAAGTGTGTTGTAGTGTGTTTTTAATTTTAGCCATTTGGGTGAAAGTATAGTGGTAACTCATTGTGGTTTTAATTTTCACTTACCTGAATGCTAATGATATTGAGCACCTTTTCCTGTACTTAATGGTCTTTGTGTATCTTCGTTTGTGAAGTATGTATTCAAATCTGTTGCCCATTTTTTTTTAAAATTGGCTTTTTTATTTTTTAAAGAAATGTATCTTTTAGAGATAGGGCCTCCCTATGTTGCCCAAGCTGGACTTGAACTTCTGGGCTCAAAGGATCCTTCTGCCTCATCCTCTCAAGTAGCTGGGACTATAGGTGTTCACCACTGTGCCTGGCAGGGTTTTTTTTTTTTTTTTTTTTTTTTGTTACTGAGTTTTAGGAAGTTTTTTTGTATTCTGGATACTATATTTTTTGTTTTTTGTTTTGTTTTTTTAGAGACAGGGTCTTGCTCTGTTGCCCAGGCTGGAGTGTAGTAGCGTGATCATAACTTAGTGTACCCTCTAACTCCTGGGCTTAAACGACCCTCCTGCCTCAGCCTCCCTAGTAGCTAGGACTACATGTGCATACTACCATGCCCAGCTTATTTTCTTTTTAAAAATTTTTTGTAGCAACGGAGGTCTCAGCATATTTGCCCAGGCTGATCCTGAACTCCTGACCTCAAGCATTCCTCTTGCCTGGGCCTCACAAGATGCTAGGAATACGGGTGTGATCAAGACTCCATCTCATAAATAAATAATCAGAGGTTTTCAATTTTGATGAAGTCCGATTTATCAATAATTTCTGTTATGGTTATTGCTTTCTGTGTTCTGTCTGAGTGTCTGAGGACACCTTGCCTACCTCTTAAGTGTTGGACATTTCTAGCAAGGCTTGAAGTCAGGTAGTGTAAATCATATAACTTTATTTTTTTTGAGACAGGGTCTGGTTCTGTCACCCAGGCTGGAGTGCAGTGGCATGATCTCCGCTCACTACACCCTCCACTTCCTGGGCTCAAGCCATTCTCCCACTTCAGCCTCCCGCGTAGCTAAGACTACAGGTGAGCTCTGCACACCTTGGCCTCCCAAAGTGCTGGTATTATAGGTATGAGCCACCATGCCCAGCCTAACTTTATTTTTTGTGTTTTCACCTACAAGCTTTCTAGTTTTAGCTTTTACATTTTGGTCTCTGAGTCATCCTAAGTTAATTTTTGTTATTGTGTGAGATTGGGGCTGGTGTTTCTTTTTCCCCCACATAGATAACTGATTGTTCCATTACTAGCAACATTTGTTGAAAAGACTTGTGTATTATCTATTGCTCTGTAACAAATTATTCCAAAACTTAGCAGTTTAAAACAGCAAACAGTTATTACCTCAGTTTCTGAGGGCTAGGAATTCAGAAGTGGCCCAGGCTAGAGTGAAGTGGTGATCACAGCTTACTGCAGCCCTGGCCTCCTGGGCTTGAGTGATCCTCCCAACTCAGCCTCTCAAGCTGGAACTACAGGCATGCACCACCATGCAGGGCTAGTTTTTTCTATGTTTTGTAGAGATGTTGCCCAGGCTGGTTTTGAACTCCTGGGCTCAAGTGATCTTTCCCTGTTGGCCTCCCAAAGTGTTGGGATTATAGGCCTGAGCCACCATGCTTGGCTTAGAGGATCTGTTTTCAAGATGACTTATTCATAAAGCTCTTTGCAGGAAGCCTCAGTTCCATATTGTTTATCTCTACCCAGGGCTTTTGTTTGTTTGTTTTTAAATTTTCCCTACTTTAAAGCTAACAAGTTATACACAGGGCTCTTTGAGTTTCCTCATGGCGTGCAGTTATCTCCTACAGAAATGATCTAAGACAAAGTAAGGAAGAAACCATGAAGCCTCTTATGACCTAGTCATACACTGTCACTTCTGCCATATTCTTTTCATTAGAATGAGTCCCTAAGTCTAGCCTGTACTCAAGGAGAGAGGAGGATTTCACTTTTTAGAGGGAAGAATGTAAAAAAATTTGACATAGTTTAAAACTACCAAAATTTTCTCTCCCCATTGGTTTGCTTTGGTACTTTTGTCGAAAAACAATTGACTGTTATATCCTGATTTGTCGCTGGCAAAAATCCCAAAAACAATTGACTCTGTAGATATGGGCCTGTTTGTGAAATCTGTGTTCTGTTCCATTGATCTATTTGTTTATCCATATGCCAGTACCCCACTACTGTAGCTTTATAGGAAGTCTTGACATGAGGCAGTGTAAATAACCCAACTTTATTGTTTATCAAGATTTATTTGAATATTACAGTTTCTTTTTATTACCATATAAATTTTAGAATTAGCTTGTCAATTTCTGTAAAAAAGTCTCCTGCCATTATGGTTGAGATTCCACTGAATTTATAGATTCATTTGGGGAGAATTGACATCTTAACTATATTGAGCCTTCTAATCCATGTGCTGTGTGAGGCATATTTCTTGATTTATGCCTTCTTTACTATCTTGCTACATTATTTCATTGTTTTTAATGTAGAATTCTTTCACGTTTTGTTAAATTTGACCCAAGACATTTGATTTTTTTGATGCTATTGTAAATGAAATTTTTAAATTGTAGTAAATATACATGAGAAAATGTAGAATTTTAACTATTTTGAAGGGTATGATGCAGTGGCATTAAATACATTCACAATGATGTTTTGAGAACTACTTTCATCATCCCAAATAGGAACTCTCCCCATTATATAGTAACACCCCATTCTCACCTCCCCCAGCCCCTTGTACGTTCTTAATAATCTTTTTGTCTCAATGAATTCGCCTATTTTATTTTATTTTATTTTTGAGACTCAGTCTCACTCTGTCACCGAGGCTGGAGTGCAGTGGCCCAGTCTTGGCTCACTGCAGCCTCCGCCTCCCAGGTTTAAGTGATTCTCCTGCCTCAGCCTCTCAAGTAGCTGGGATTACAGGTGCCCGCCACCACGGCCGGCTAATTTTTGTATTTTTGGTAAAGATGGGGTTTCACCATGTTGGCCAGGTTGATCTCGAACTCCTGACCTCAAGTGATCCACCTGCCTCAGCCTCCCAAAATGCTGGAATTACAGGCTTAAGCAACTGTGCCCAGCCCTGTTTTATTTTATGTAAGTGGAATTATAATTATATAATTTTTTCCCTTTTGTGCCTGGCTTATTTCACTTAGCAAAATGTTTTCAAGATTCATCCATGTTGTGACATGCATCAGAATTTCATTCCTTTTTAAGGCTGAATAATATTTCACTGTATGTATATACCGCATATCTTTATCCATTTATCTGTTGATGGACATGGGTCGTAGACACCATTTGGTTATTGTGAATAATGCTGTGAACATTGGTGTATAAATATCTGTTTTGGATTCCTCCTTTCAGTTCTTTTGGGTATAGACCTAAAAGTGGAATTGTTGAATCATATGGTAATTCTATGTTTAACTTTTTGAGGAATTGCCATACTGTCTTCTTTACATTCTCACCAGCAGTGCACAAGTGTTACAATTTCTTCATATCCTTG
The DNA here is from genome assembly GCF_000001405.40 of Homo sapiens. Taxonomy (NCBI): domain Eukaryota; kingdom Metazoa; phylum Chordata; class Mammalia; order Primates; family Hominidae; genus Homo; species Homo sapiens. The sequence continues at coordinate 49,768,067 of NC_000003.12, read as the reverse complement.
CCAACACTTATTTTCTATTTTTTTTTTTTTTTTATAACTTGGATGTGAAGTAGTTTCTCATTGTGGCTTTGATTTGCATTTCCCTAATGACTAATGAAGTTGAGCATCTTTTTGCATATTTTTTGGCCATTTGTAAATCTTCAGAGAAATGTCTAAGGCCTTTGCCCATTTATGAATTGGGTTATTTTTGTTGTTGTCGAGTTATACAAGTACTTTATATGTTCCATGTATTAATCCTTTATCAGATGTATGATCTGCAGATATTTTCTGCTATTCTGTGGGTGATGTTTTCACTCTTTTTAAATTAATTAATCGGTTTTTTAGAATAGAGATGGGATCTCACTATATTGCTCAGGGTGGTCTCAAACTCTTGGGCTTAAGTGATCCACCTGCATCAGCCTCCCAAAGTGTTGAGATTACAGGTATGAGCCACTGTACCCAGACTAATTTTATTTTTTTAAGTTGTTGTTATTATTATTATTATTTTTTGAGATGGAGTCTCACTCTGTCACCTAGCCTGGAGTGCAGTGGCGTGATCTCTGCTCACCACAGTTTCCGCCTCCCGGTTCAAGTGATTCTCCTGTTTTAGCCCCCCGAGTACCTGGGATTACAGGCACGTGCCACCACAACTGGCTACTTTTTTGTATTTTTAGTAGAGATGGGGTTTCACCATGTTAGCCAGGCTTGTCTTGAACCCCTGACCTCAGGTGATCTGCCCACCTCGGCCTCCCAAAGTGTTGGGATTACAGGCGTGAGCCACCGCGCCTGGCCAATTATTATTATTTTTTAAGAGATAGGGTCTCATCCTGTCACCCAGGCTGGAATGAGTGATATGAATGTAGCTCACTGCAGCCTCAAACTCCTGGGCTTGAGTGACTGCCTGCCTGCCTCAGCCTTCCAAGTAGCCGAGACTACTGGTATGAGCCAGTGCAACTCAGCTGATTTTTTAAAAATAAAAAAAAAAATTTTGTGGAGATGGGATCTTGTTAAGTTGCCCAGGCTGGTCTCAAACTGAGCTTAAGCAATCCTCCTGCCATGGCTTCCCAAAACTGTAGGATTTCAGGCCCTTGGATTTCTTTCTTTTTTTTTTTTTTTTTTTTTTTTTTTTTGAGACGGAGTCTTGCTCTTGTCACCCCGGCTGGAGTGCAGTGGCACGCTCGCTGCAACCTCTGCCTCCAGGGTTCAAGTGATTCTCCTGCCTTAGCCTTCCGAGTAGCTGGGATTACAGATGCCCACCACCATGCCCGCTAATTTTTGTATTTTTAGTAGAGACGGGGTTTTGCCATGTTGGTCAGGCTGGTCTCAAACTCCTGACCTAGTGATCTGCTCGCCTCAGCCTCCCAAAGTGCTGGGATTACAGGTGTGAGCCACTGTACCTGGCTGATTTCTTTCTTTTTTTTTTTTAAGATGAGGTCTCGTTCTGTCACCCAGGCTGGAGTGCAATGGCACGATCTTGGCTCACTGCAACCTCTGCGTCCCGGGTTCAAGTGATTCTCCTGCCTCAGCCTCCTGAGTAGCTGGGATTACAGGTGCCCACCACCACACCCAACTGATGTTTTAATTTTTAGTAGAGACAGAGTTTCACCAGGTTGGCCAGGCTGGTCTCGAACTCCTGACCTCAAGTGAGCCACCTGCCTTGGCCTCCCAAAGTGCTGGGATTACAGTTGTGAGCCACAGCGCCTGGCGTTTCTTTTTTTTTAGACAGAGTTTCGCTCTTGTCACCCAGGCTGGAGTGCAGTGGCGCGATCTTGGCTCACTGCAGACTTGATCTCTTGGGCTCAAGTGATTCTCCCACCTCAGCCAGACTCCCGAGATGCTGGGACTACAGGCATCTGCCACCACACCCAGCGAATTTTTGTGCTTTTTGTTTTTGTTTTTGTTTTTGTTTTTTTGAGATGGAGTCTTGCTCTGAAGCCCAAGCTGGAGTGCAGTGGTGCAATCTCGGCTCACGGCAAGCTCCGCCTCCCGGATTGACACCATTCTCCTGCCTCAGCCTTCCAAGTAGCTGGGACTACAGGCGCCCGCCACCACACCTGGCTAATTTTTTGTATTTTTAGTAGAGACGGGCTTTCACCATGTTAGCCAGGATGGTCTTGATCTCCTGACCTCGTCATCTGCCCGCTTCGGCCTCACAAAGTATTGGGATTACAGGCGTGAGCCACCGCGCCTGGCTTTGTGTGTTTTTTTTTTAGATATGGGGTTTCGCTGTGTTGCCCAGTCTGGTCTTGAACTCCTGGTCTCAAGTGACCCACCTGCCCTAGCCTTCCAAAGTGCTGGGATTACAGGTGTGAGCCACAGTGCCTGGGTAATGTAGATTTTTACATAGTTTATGTATCAGTTGACTATTAAGTGGTATATGAAAAAGAGATAAATGATAAACCAAAGGTACAGTGACAGCGGCCCTTTTTTTTTTTTTTTTTTTAAGACGAGTCTCGCTCTGTTGCCAGGCTGGAGTGCAGTGGCGATCTCAGCTCCCTGCAACCTCTGATTCCCATGTTCAAGTGATTCTTCTGCTTCAGCCTCCCAAGTAGCTGGGATTACAGGCACGTGCCACCATGCCCTGCTAATTTTTTTTTTTTTTTTTTTTTTAAGTAGAAACAGAGTTTGACCATGTTGGCCAGGATGGTCTCCATCTCCTGACCTCATGATCTGCCTGCCGCGGCCTCCCAAAGTGCTGGGATTACAGGCGTGAGCCACCACGCCCTGCCTACAGTGGCTTTTATGTTTACTTATGTAGTTACCCTTACCAGTGTTCTATATTTTTTCTTTTTCTTTTTAGCTACTGTCTGGTGTCCCTTCATTTTAGCCTGAAGGACTCCCTTTAGCATTTCTTGTAGATCTGGTCTAGTAGTTAGCAACTCCCTTAGTCTTTATCTGGAAATGTCTTAATTTCTCTTTCATTCTTGGATAGTATTTTCAGATGTAGAATTCTTGGTTGACAGTATTTTCCTTTAGGACTTATATATGTTATCCTACTGCCTTTTGGAGGTTTCTGAGGAGAAATCTGCTGTTAATCTCGTTTAGGATCTTTTGTACTTGAGGCATCAGTTTTCTCTTGCTGCTTTAAATATTCATTCTTGTCTTTTGGTTTCAATAGTTTCATAACACGTTTTTGTTTTATAATGTGTCTCATATGGGTCTCTTTGAGTTTATCCTATTTGGGTTCATTGGGATTCTTTTTTTTTTTTTTCAAGACAGAGTTTCACTCTGTCACCCAGGCTATAGTGCAGTGGTGCAGGTTGCTCACTGCAACCTCCGCCTCCCAGGCTCAAGTGATTCTCATGCCTCAGCCTTCCTAGTGGCTGGGATTACAGGTGTGCACTACCACGCCAGGCTAATTTTTGTATTTGTAGTAGACATGGGATTGTGCCATGTTGGCCAGGCTGGTCTTGAACTCCCGACCTCAAGTGATCTGCTTGCCTTGGCCTCCCAAAGTGCTGGGATTACAGGCATGAGCCACCACACCTGGACTTCATTGGGATTCTTGAATGTATATAGTTGACTCTTGTACAGTGTGGGGGTTGGGGTGTCAACTCCCCACACAGTCAAAAAACCTGCATATAACTTTTGACTCCCTCAGAGCTTAATTATTAGTAGCCTACTGTTGACTGGAAGCCTCACTGATAACATACACAATCAATATATAATTTGTTTGTTGTATATATTTTAAAATTTTTCTCGTTTTAGAGACAGGGTCTTGCTTCGTTGCCCAGGCTGCAGTGCAGTGGTACAATCATAACGCACTGCAGCATTGAACTCCTGAAATTAAGCAATCCTCCCACCTCAGCCTCCTGAGTAGCTGAGACTATAGGTGTGCATCACCATGTCTGGCTATTTTTTTTTTCTTTTGTAGAAATGGGGTCTCACTATGTTGCCCAGGCTGGTCTCAAACTCCTGGGCTCAAGTGATCCTCTCACGTTCACCTCCCAAAGTGTGCAATTACAGGCATGAGCCACCGCACCCAGTAGCTATAGGGTTTTCATAAATACCCTTTATTAAGTGAGGAAGAAGTTTCCTTCTATCTTTAGTTTGTTGAGAGGTTTTTTTGGAAACAGTCTTGCTCTGTTGCCCACACTGGAGTGCAGTGGCGTGATCTTGACTCACTGCAACCTTTGCCTCCCGGGTTCCAGCAATTCTCCTGCCTCAGCCTCCCGAGTAGCTGGGATTACAGGTGCCCGCCACCATGCGCAGCTAATTTATTTTTATTTATTTTTAGTAGAGACGGGGTTTCACCATGTTGGCCAGGCTGGTTTCGAACTCCTGACCCCAAGTGATCCTCCCGCCTCAGCCTCCCAAAGTGTTAGGATTACAGGCGTGAGCCACCACACCCAACCTGTTGAGAGTTTTTAATTATGAATGGGTACTGAATTTTGTCAGGTTTTTTTCCTGTATTTATTGAGATGATTACATCTTATGGCTTTTCTCCTTATTTCTGTTAATATGATGAGTAGTAATACTGATTGATTCTTTAGATGTTTAATCAACCTTGCATTTCCCACTTTGTCATGAGGGATTCTTTCTATATATCATTGGAATTGTTTTGCTAAAAATTTTTGAAGATTTTTGTATCTGTATTCATGAAGGACATTGTTCTAAAATCTTTTTTCTTATTTATTTTGTTAAGGTTCTTTTTTAGGTTTTGTTATTAGAAATAATTGACCTTGGCCGGGCGCGGTGGCTCATACCTGTAATCCCAGCACTTTGGGAGCCCGAGGCGGGTGGATCACGAGGTCAGGAGATCGAGACCATCCTGGCTAACACGGCGAAACCCCGTCTCTACTAAAAAATACAAAAAAAATTAGCCGGGTGTGTGGCGGGCGCCTGTAGTCCCAGCTGCTGGGGAGGCTTAGGCAGGAGAATGGTGTGAACCCGGGAGGCGGAGCTTGCAGTGAGCCGAGATTGCGCCACTACACTTCAGCCTGGGTGACAGAGCGAGACTCCGTCTCAAAAAAAAAAAAAAAAAGAAATAATTGACCTTGGCCAGGCATGGTGGCTCACGCCTATAATCCCAGCACTTTGAGAGGCTGAGGCAGGTGGATCACTTGAGGCAGGTGGATCACTTGAGGTCAGGAGTTTGAGACCAGCCTGGCCAACGTGGTGAAACCCCGTCTCTACTAAAAATACACAAATTAGCTGGGCGTGGTTGTGCGCTCCTATAATCCCAGCTACTCAGGAGGCTGAGGCAGGAGAATCACTTGAACCTGGGAGACAGAGGTTGCCATGAGCTGGGATTGTGCCATGCACTCCAGCCTGGGTCACAGAGTAAGATTATGTCTGAAAAAAAAAAAGCAATAATTGACCTCGTAAAACAAGTTGGGAACTACTCTCTTTCTCTCTCTTTCTGTTTTCTGAAAAAAAATTATGTAAGATTGATATTTCTTTCTTAAAAGTTTGATAGAATTCACTAGTGAAACCTAGTCTGGAGTTTTCTTCGTGGAAAGATTTTTGATCGCAGACTCAGTTTTCTTAATAGATATAGGAGTGTTCAGATTATTATTATTATTATTATTATTATTTTGAGACAGAGTCTCGCTCTGTTGCCCAGGTTTGAGTGCAGTGGCACGATCCTGGCTCACTGTAACCTCTGCCTCCCGGGTTCAAGTGATTCTTCTGCCTCAACCTCCCAAGTAGGGCAAGTAGCTATGATTACAGGCGCCCGCCACCTTGCCAGCTAATTTTTGTATTTTTAGTAGAGACGGGGTTTCACCATGTTGGCCAGGTTGGTCTCAGTCTCCTGACCTCATGGTCCGCCTGCCTCAGCCTCCCAAAGTACCGGGATTGCAGGTGTGAGCCACCACACCCGGCCTGTTCTTTCTTAAAGATGCTTGTGGCTCTTGCCTGTAATCCCAGCACTTTGGGAGGCTGAGGTGGGTGAATCACTTGAGTACAGGAGTTTGAGACCAGTCTGGGCCACATGATGAAATCCTGTCTTTACAAAAAATACAAAAATTATCTGGGCATGGTGGTGCATACCTGTAGTTTTAGTTACTCTCAGGGCTGAGCTGGGAGGATCGTTTGAGCCCAGTAAGCAGAGGTTACAGTGAGCCAAGATCGTGCCAGGCCACTTCAGCATGGGCAACAGTGAGACCCCATCTCACCAGAAAAAATAAATGAAAGAGAGAGAGACAGGGTTTCACTCTGTCACCCAGGCTGGAGTGCAATGGTGCAATCATGGCTTACTGTAACCTCAAACTCCTGGTCTTAAGTAATCTCGGTGCCTCAGCCTCCAAACTGGGACTGCATGTACCACCATGCCTGCCTAATTTTCATTTTTTCTGTAGAGACAGAGTCTTTCTCTGTTGACCAGGGTGCTCTTGAACTCCTGGCCTCAAGTCATCCTCCTGCCTTGGTCTCCTGAAATGTTGGGTTTACAGGTGCAAGCCATCACACCTGGCCTTTTTTCTAAGTTGTTAATGAGAACCTTAGGTTATTAATTTTTTTTTTTTTTTTTTTTGAGACGGAGTCTCGCGCTGTTGCCCAGGCTGGAGTGCAGTGGCACGATCTTGGCTCACTGCAAGCTCCGCCTCCCGGGTTCACGCCATTCTCCTGCCTCAGCCTCTCAAGTAGCTGGGACTACAGGTGCCTGCCATTGCGCCCGGCTAATTTTTTGTATTTTTAGTAGAGATGGGGTTTCACCATGGTCTTGATCTCCTGACCTCGTGATCCGCCCGCCTCGGCCTCCCAAAGTGCTGGGATTACAGGAGTGAGCCACCACGCCCGGCCAGGTCATTAACTTTATAGGTTTTTTCTTTTGGAGATGGAGTTTCACTCTGTCGCCAGGCTGGAGTGCAGTGGCACGATCTCCGCTCACTGCACCCTCCACCTCCCGGGTTCAAGTGATTCTCCTGCCTCGGCCTCCCGAGTAGCTGGGACTACAGGCGCCCACCACCATGCCCAGCTAATTTTTTGTATTTTTAGTAGAGACAGGGTTTCACCGTGTTGGCCAGGATGGTCTCGATCTCTTGACCTCGTGATCCATTCGCCTCGGCCTCCCAAAGTGCTGGGATTACAGGTGTGAGCCACCACGTCCGGCCAGTTTTACAGGTTTTTTGCAATACTTTTAGACTTTAAAACGTTAGCATTGCTTTAGCTGAATCAGTATAGCATATATTTGAAAAGTGTTTTTTCATATATTACCTCACTCTGAGAAGTAGATAAGTAATCTCAAATCTGTTGACAGGGAAAATAGGTGAATTGGCACATTGAAGGGTACATAATTTGTTAATTGTGGCATTGATTTTTTCACATGGTTTCTGACTCCCAGAATCCTGAGAGCTCTGCATGTTCAGGCTGTTTAATTCCTGATGTCACATGAGAGTCAGGAAAGGAAGTTGAGGGAGTGGAGAAATTTGGAGAAATTTGGAAACTGCTCTTAAGGAATGATGTATCTTTGGAACCACCTCTCCGCTTTTTGCTTTTCACTTTTTTTTTTTTTTTTTTTTTTGAGACGAAGTCTCACTCTGTTGCCCAGGCTGGAGTGCAGTGGCACTATCTCGGCTCACTGCAACCTCTGCCTCCCGGGTTCAAGTGATTCTCCTGCCTCAGCCTCACGAGTAGCTGGGATTACAGGTGCCTGCCACCATGCCCGACTAATTTTTGTATTTTTAGTAAAGACGGGGTTTCACCGTGTTGGCCAGACTGTTCTTGAACTCCTGACCTCAAGTGATCTGCCCACCTCGGCCTCCCAAAGTGTTGGAATTACAGGCTTGAGCCACTGCGTCCAGCCTCCACCTGTCTGCTTTTCTAAGTTGGGAAGTTGTTGATGGGTTTGCGTAGGTGAAGGTTAGTCCCCATCTCTCTGAAACTATGGGTTGTCTATGAGGTGGACAGAAGTGCTTTTCTAATATTTAAAGTACTTAACAGTAATAATTAGGCTGGGCATGGTGGTTCAGGCCTATAATTGCAGCACTTTGGGAGGCCAAGGCAGGAGGATCACTTGAAGCTGGGAGATGGAGACCAGCGTGGGCAATAAAGTGAGACCTCATCTCTACAAAAAAAAGGAAGGGAAAATAGCTGGGTGGCCTGTAGTCCCAGCCACTCAGGAAGCTGAGGTGGGAAGGATCGCCTGAGCCCAAGAATTCAAGTTGTAGTAACCCGTGATCGTGCCACTGCATTCCATCCTGGGTGACAGAGTGAGACCCTGTCTCGAAAGAAAGAAAAAACAATAATTCTGGTATTTCACTAGAGGGTTGGAAGACAGCTGGAATCTAATCTGCTTGAAGCAGTCAAACTTGATGGCATTTTGTGAGGCATTATGCTGGTTGTTCACCCCTTGTTATAGGTTTTCTTCACGTATTTACTTCACATAGTCTACTAATTTCCATGTTGCTGATCTGCTTCTGGGTAACCTTTAATAAAGTCGTTTTTTGTTGTTGTTGTTGTTGTTTTGTCCACCTAGTCTAAGACTCTAATAAAATCTTTATCTACATGATGGATGTTCAAATAGATGGTCATTATGTTGCCTCCAGGATGTGTGGTGTCTGAAAGAGGGAGTTTCTGTAGAGTTTGTGCCCTGAAATCTCCTTACACTGTTTTCTAAATGTCTAACTATATAAGAAATATGCTGTTTGGCCCTTGAGATGGAGGTCCAATAGGAACACAGGATGCTAGGAACTTGGTCCTTGGAGGAGAGAACTGGAGCTGGTCCCTGGCCATATGTGGGAGTAACAGCACATTATCTCAAAAGAATAAAACTCATTGGAGTTGTATTTTGTGGTGGACGTTTTGCCTTAGTCTCTAACTGCAGCTGAATACATCTGTGTCTGTGTCTGAAGAATTTGATCTTTGACTATATTTTCAGATAATCTTCAGAGTAGTATAAGCATCAAGGCATTTAAATGATTTCACCCCCAAAGGAAGAGTCCTCCAGATTTTAGCCATATCTGATTTTTAGTGCCTCTCAGAATTCAGTGATTTAAAACTGCTTTGGAGTCCTAACAGTTTTGTGGTGTCATTGAGATACCATAGAAAGATAGAAGGTATTTTTTTTTTAATTGTTTATTTATCAAGATAAACTATTTGCTAGCCCACATATTCATGTTTCATAGTTCAGGAACACAGGTTAGTGACAAAACTAATAGGAAATTCAACCCAAAGAAACTGTTGGGTATTTTTTTTTTTTGAGACAGAGTCTCGCTCTGTCATCCAGGCTGGATCTTGGCTCACTGTAACCTCCGCCTCCTGGGTTCAAGCGATTCTCCTGTCTCAGCCTCCCAGAGTAGCTGGGATTACAGACATGCGCCACCACACCTGCTATATTTGTATTTTTAGTAGAGATGAGGTTTCACCATGTTGGTCAGACTGATCTCAAACTCCTGACCTCAGGTGATCTGCCTGCCTCACCTCCCAAAGTGTTGGGATTACAGGCATGAGCCATTACGCCTGGCCAAAGAAACTCCTTATATTCCAAAATTACTTTGCACTCTGAAAGATACTAGCTTTTCTCATCTAAAATTCTTTCATGAAGTCATAATTTCTGTAGAAATCTGGGTATGCCTTCTTTCTTGGTTCAGCCACAGCAAATTTACAGAGAACTACGGCTCCCAGGGATACAACGAATGCTCCACCAATATGAAACTGCAGACGTGCTGTGGTAGTTACTGTCCTTGATAGGTATGTCAGCCTCATTACCAGTGTTCTTCCTGGCTGATGGAGAAGTGGATGGCCAGCAGCTATTTCATAGTTGTATAATTCCTTACTCTGGAGAGTTTTCTTGTTTAAAGCTAGTAACCTTTTTTTTTTTTTTTTTTTTTTGAGATGGAGTCTTGTTCTGTCACCCCAGGCTGGAGTGTAGTGGTGCGATCTCAGCTCACTGCAACCTCCGCCTCCCAGGCTCAAGCGATTCTCCTGCTTCAGCCTGTCGAGTAGCTGGGACTGACTACAGGCGCCCGCCACCATGCCTGGCTAATTTTTTTGTACTTTTAGTAGAGACGGGGTTTCACTGTATTAGCCAGGATGGTCTTGATCTCCTGACCTCGTGATCCACCTGCCTCGGCCTCCCAAAGTGCTGGGATTGCAGGCGTAAGCCACTGCGCCTGGCCACTAGTAACCATTTTTGATAGGGGGTCCTAAATAAAGCCCCCAGATAATCTAAAAAGGTCAATGCTGTGACCAGAGCTTTGGCTTCACCTTTCCTAGATGTATGAAATTTTATTGCCATGTTTTCCCTTTTTTAATAATAGGACACATGTGAATATTGCTAATATAAGGTAGTAGATTTGTACCTAAGATGAACTCCATGTATAAAACCAGTGTTATAGATAATTGAAATTAGCGTGAGTGACAAGAGCTTTTATTTGTGTTCTGAAATGGAGAGAGAGCAGTTTTTTTATTTTTTATTTTTATTTTTGAGACAGGGACTCACTTTGTTACCCAGGCTGGAGTGTAGTGGCGCAATCTTGGCTCACTGCAACCTCCGCCTTCCAGGCTCAAGCAATCCTCCTGTCTCAGCCCCTCAAGTAGCTGGGACTATAGGCATGAGCCACCAAGCCTGGCTAATTTTTTTTTTGTAGAGACAGTATTTTGCCATGTTGCCCAGGCTGGTCTCAAACTCCTGAGCTCAGGCGATCCACACATCTCAGCCTCCCAAAGTGCTAAGATTACAGGTGTGAGCCACCCTGCCTAGCAGAGATAGTAGAGGTTTTTCAAAAGATAACATGGTGAGGAGTAATTCCCCAGTAGGGAGGTGTGTACACCATTCTCCCAGTAACCTTAGAGCTTGTTTACCTCTGCCTTAGTCCTGTCAACTTGTCCCCACTGTGCTTAACGTTTTCAGTTAAGCTACAGTAGGATAGTGGTGAAGAAAAGGAGTCAGAGTTTACCATTCATGCCAGAAACCTAATGTGTGAGACCAGGCTTTTGCATCTATCTTTCAGTTGTATGGAAGCTTCTCTCTTCAGCTTTGGTCTTCAGTGGGATTGGTGATAGGAAATAAGTCCAGGAGGCTCATCATTTCACATGTGAGCAGTTTAGACAGTTTAATTTTAAGTGCTCTGTGGTTTTGTGTTCCTTTTAGAACCATTTCTCCCATCCTTCTACATGTGTGCTTTCTAGATTTGACCATATTTTCATTCAGTTGTAAATGTGCTAGGTGAGACTTAGCTGATTCAGGGATGGCTCGCATGTACTATTTTGTCACAGCACAGGTAATCCAGTGGCTTCTTATTAAAGCATAATCATGAGCAGAGAATGTTTCAGCACCTTTGTTTCTCCTTTCTTTCTTTTTTCTTTTTTTTTTTTTTTTTTTTTTTTGAGATGGAGTTTTGCCCTTGTTGCCCAGGCGCTGGAGTGCAATGGCGTGATCTCGGCTCACCTAAACCTCTGCCTTCTGGGTTCAAGTGATTCTCCTGCCTCAGCCTCCCAAGTAGCGGGATTATAGGCACCCACCACCATGCCTGGCTAATTTTTTGTATTAGTAGAGACAGGGTTTCTCCATGTTGGTCAGACTGGTCTCGAACTCCTGACCTCAGGTGATCCACCCGCCTTGGCCTCCCAAAGTGCTAGGATTACAGGCATGAGCCACTGCGCCCGGCCCTTCTCCTTTCTTTTTGTGCATTTCATTTTGATTTCCCCTGTATCACTTTGAACGTCAGTTCTGAAAATTCTTCACATATCTCCTTTCCCCCACTTCTTAGTACATTTGACACAGCTGATGTCAAAAGGGTCTTTACTAAAAAATGTATTTAGGGAAGCACATATTTCTAATCTTTAGGAATCCAGTAAAAACAGGAAAGAGGTTCAGTGGACTCTAGATTCTCTCCTTGACCTAAATTAATTCTGTTCTTGCTGTTCGTTGATGGGCTGGCACATCTCAGGTCCCCTGCTAAGTTTCCTTTTTTCCTTGTTCCCTGTTTGTTCTTAGCCAGGTGGCCTCAGGATGCCATGGTTTCCTAGCTCCTGTGATAGGACCCAGGAATCTAAACAATCTTTCATCTCTTCTTTAGAGACAAATGGCAACATAGATTCCCTCTCTTTCTTCTCCCAGATTACTCTAGACATCTATACACATTTCTGGTTTCTGAGGGATGTGCCAGTCCCTAGTAGCTTGGAAGGGTAGGTTCCAAGTAGGGTTGACAGCCCTACTTACATGAAGAACACTCCCTATGTTTCCCTTCTCCTCACGGTACAGGAGGATTGTTCTCTCTCACCCTCATAACTATGCCTAATCTATATCAGTGTCTACAGTCTCATATACAAAGGGAAGAATGGGCTTGAATTTAAGAAATCATTGGATTCCCTTGGTTGTAAGATTTAGAGGACAAACGTGTTTTCATGTTGGTTTTCTGCTATAGTGTTTTTGTCTGTGATTCTTGAAGGTGTTTTGGTATCTTTTCCTGTCAAAGTCCATGTCAATGCTTTTTTATTTCTGAAATTAATTAGAAATTAGTTTTCATAAAATCCAGAGCTGTATAGCCCAAGTTTTATGTGTTGTTCTTTTCTGTTAGAGTGACTTATCAGTTTATTTTCTCTTCAGCTCTTTTCAGTTCAATTAGTTTTATTATTTTTCCTTTGGATTGTATCATACAGTAAAAAACAAATTAAAGACACATTTGCCAAAACCAAAAATACTGTTGCCAGAATTTTACTTAGCATTCCTGACTTACCAAGTTTAACTTTAATTACACAAATTTTATGAATTTTAAAAAGGGTATGATACTTTGTCATGGTACCTATAGTGCTTAAGTGGATATATTTAATTTTAGAAGAGGTAATAGAAATACTGGATTTATAAACTAATTTTTAATGAAATGTTGAGGAAATCTGCAAATATACCTGTGAAATGTGAAGGCACTAAAGGTGCTTCACTTTATTCTATAAAAACATTGCAAATGTGGCTGGGCATGGTGGCTCATGCTTGTAATCCCAGCACTTTGGGAGGCCGAGACAAGTGGATATCTTGAGCTCGGGAGTTCGAGACCAGCCTGGGCAACATGGTGAAACCCTGTCTCTACAAAAAAAAAAAAAAAAAAAAAGCCAGGCTTGGTGGCACACACCTGTGTTTTCAACTACTTGGAAGGCTGATGATATGGGAGGATCACTTGAGCCCAGGAGGTCGAGGCTGTAGTGATGTAGTGAACTGTGTTGTGCCACTGCAATCTAGTCTGGACAACAGTGTGAGACCCTGTCTCAAAAAAAAAAAAAAGATTGCATATCAAACCCAAGTGGTTAATCTGAGGTTGTAAAAATATGTTGGCCAAATAATTTGGAATTCTAACTGAACTTCTTAGAGTATATACCTGCTGATCTGCATTTTTAGTGTGTGTCTGTGCCTGCCCAACTAAAGAATCTGGTGACCAGGTATTGTCTTGCAATTGCTGTAGAGACAGTGCCTTCCTAGCTCTTAAAGTAGTCCTGACCTTGTTCGCCACTATATCTGATTGCAGTCTCTTTTTCCCTGCCAAGGTTTTTTATTCATTGTCACTTTCTAGGCTTGATGTGTTGTTGCATTAAAATAAACACACACAAAAAAAAACTCATATGATTTCTCCTAAATTTGGTTCAACAAGTTCTTTAGTCTGGTTCTTCTCCTTACTATCATTATTATTGTCATTGAGACAGCATCTTGCTATGTTGCCCAGACTGGTCTTGAACTCCTGGCCTCAAGCAGTCCTTCCACCTTGGCCTTCCAAAGTGTTAGGATGACAGGTGTGAGCCACCATACATGGCCTGATTCATCTTTTTTTTTTTTCCCCTGAGACAAGATCTGAATCTGTCACCCAGGCTGGAGTGCTGTGGCATGATTTCAGCTGATTGCAACCTCCACCTCCTGGGCTCAAGCCATCCTCCCACCTCAGTCTCCTGAGTAGCTGGGACTATAGGTGTACACCACCACGCCTGGCTAATTTTTGTAATTTTTTTTTTTTTGGTAAAAGTGAAGTTTTGCCATGTTGCCTATGCTGGTCTCAAACTCCTGGGCTCAAGTGATCCTCCAGCCTTGGCCACCCAAAGTGTTAGGATTACAGGCATGACTACCACAGCTGGCCTGATTAATCTTTTATAGTTGAGATTATTTATGTGTTTGCCTGATTTTTTTCCCCCTTTTTAATCTCTTTTGTATCATTGATAAAAACAGTCTAATTCTCCTCCTCATAGGCTGTCTTTTTCCTTCTGTATTTTGCTTTGATTTTGTCCTTGTTATTGTGGCTATTCTCATTTGGGTGCATTTAAACCTATTTTTCCTTCATATATCAAATCTTAAAAGAGTTAAAACACAATTTTATGTTCTTTTTATTTGCTGACTTCGAATTCTGTCATGTGGCCAACATATTTTGTTTTTCATAAAGCCACATGACCCGTTTGTTCTGGTTTTTGCTAGGTCTAGGTTAGAAATGTAAACTTTTTTGGTTTATAACCCTAATATTTTAAAACAAAAAGAACTTGTCCCTTTATAAACACTTTTTCATATGTTATATATTTACCCTACTATATACATCTGTTATGTATATCATAAACATACATATATTTATTCAGCCAGATTTATTGTGTAGTTACTATATGCCAGGTACTACTCAGGGCACTTAGGATACTCATATAACTGACATCATCATCATAAATAATAAACAGTAGACATTATCAGTAAGTAAAGTATGTAATATGCCAGAAGGGGATAAATGCCTTAATGAAGAAAAGAAAAAGAAGAGCCAATTAAAGGGGGTGGAGGGTGCAGGTGGTGGTGTATTTTAAACTAGGGAGGGTAGGATAGACCTTTCATTGAGAAAGAGACATTTTGATCAAAGACTTTTGAAGGAGGTGAGGGAGTTGGCCATGTGGTTATCTGGGGGAAGAATGTTTAGGCAGAGGGAATGACTAGTGCAAAGAAGCTAGGGAATATATATATGCCTGATGTGTTTGAGGAACATCATGAAGGCCAGTATGGCTGGAGTGGGATAATAAGCAGTGGGGAGACAAGGGTAGGAAGTGAAGGCAGAGAGAAAATGGGGGTGGGAAGGAATGCAGAGCTTGTGGACTTTTTATTTTTTGACAGTCTCATGGCAAAAAGTGAAATGGCGGCCAGGCATAGTGGCTCATGCCTGTAATCCCAGCACTTTGGGAGGCTGAGGCAGGCAGGTCATCTTGAGGTCAGAAGTTTCAGACCAGCCTGGCCAACATGACAAAACCCCGTCTCTAGTAAAAATACAAAAATAAAATTAGCTGGGCATGGTGGGGTGCGCTTGTAGTCCCCACCTACTTGGGAGGCTGAGGCATGGGAATTGCTTGAACCCAGGAGGTGGAGGTTGCAGTAAGCCAAGATCGCACCACTGCACTCCAGCCTGGGTGACGAAGTGAGACTCTGTCTCAAAAAAAAAAAAAAAGGCTAGGCGCAGTGGCTCACGCCTGTAATCCCCAGCACTTTGGGAGGTCTAGGCGGGCAGATCACCTGAGGTCGGGAGTTAAAGACCAGTCTGGCCAACATGAGAAACCCCGTCTCTACGGTAGGAGAATCACTTGAACCTGGGAAGTGGAGATTGAGGTGAGCCGAGATTGCACCATTGCCACTCCAGCCTGAGCAACAAGAGCGAAACTCACACACACACACACACACATGCAAAAGTGAAATGGTTCCTTGGGTTTTTTTTTTTTGAGATGGAGTCTTGCTCTGTTGCCCAGGCTGGAGTGCAGTGGCGCGATCTCGGCTCACTGCAAGCTCTGCCTCCCAGGTTCCACGCCATTCTCCTGCCTCAGCCTCCCGAGTAGCTGGGACTACAGGCGCCCGCCACCACACCCGTCTAATTTTTTTGTATTTTTAGTAGAGACGGGGTTTCACTGTGTTAGCCAGGATGGTCTCAATCTCCTGACCTTGTGATCCACCCGCTTTGGCTTCCCAAAGTGCTGGGATTACAGGCGTGAGGCACTGCACCCGGCCAACCCTGTCTTTAAAAAAAAAAAATTTTTTTAAGTTAGCCGGGCATGGTGAATATACTTGTAGTCCCAGCTATTTTGGAGGCTGAGGTGAAAGGATCCCTTGATCCCAGGAGTTAGAGGCTGCAGTGAGCCATGACCATATCATTGTACTCCAGCCTGGACGACAGACCCCCAACTCTAAAAAGGAAAACAACAACAAAAAATTACATTTCATTAACATGAGAAACTTCTTTTTACTTGAATGGAGACATAATTCCTTTTGGAATTCAATGGTATGTTCAAGGAGTTTGTTATTATAACCAGAAAGTCAACCTAACTATTGTAACTAATATTTTTGCAGTAAAAATTTCTTTCCATTTGTTGCAATTCACCAGTGAGAAAAAAATCAGAATCTCAGCAAGTTCTTTTCATACATAGCGTTCTTTGCATTTTACGCAATAATTATCTTAAAATATGTAACTAAAGTATTACAAAGCAAACAAAGGACAGAGTCTCTATTGTAGCTGAGAGGTGCATAAACTCATAGCAGAGCAATGGAACCCCATAACCTCTTGGGGAGCAGATACTTTGCAGTTGGCTACCTGAATAAGATTGGGGCTCTATTAGCAATGAAGTAGCAGAGAAAGACGTTATGCAGGCAACCAACATCATCATCATCTACGGCCTTCTCAGACAGTAGTTTTCACAGTAGCCTCTGTGGACACCAGACTTCAGGAGTAACCTCTGGTTGATAAAAAAAAAAGTCAGGGTTGGGCATGGTGGCTCATGCCTGTAATCCCAGCACTGTGGGAGGCTGAGGTGGGTGGATCATGAGGTCAAGAGATTGAGACCATCTTGGCCAACATGGTGAAACCCCGTCTCCACTAAAAATACAAAAATTAGCTGGGTGTGGTGGCATACACCTGTAATCCCAGTTACTCAGGAGGCTGAGGCTGAGGCACGAGAATCGCTTGAACCCTGGAGGCAGAGGTTGCAGTGAGCCGAGATCGCGCCACTGCACTCCAGCCTAGCGACAGTGAGACTCCATCTCAACAACAACAACAACAACAAAAAAAAAAGGAGTCAGAGCCGTTGCTATTTCCAGGGATGGGCACTAGGCGAGGCAAGCCCAAGCCCTTTACCTGCATCTGCAAATCCTGCAGGGTTAGGAGTGTGAGGAGACTTGGAGAAGTTAAGTGACTTATGAGGCTCCATCCACACCTTGTAAAGCAAGGCTTCACAGAGCTTGAGAGGGTTCTGGGGTACTTCCACTATTTCAGATTTCAGGGTTATTAAGAAAGTACCATCAAAACAGAGTTACAGATATGTGGTATATTTACTCTTAGGAGACTATTTCAAACACAAAAACAATGCCATGACTTCATGTTGACATCATATGGAAACAAATACCAAATGTCTAGATAGACTGAAGAGTGGACTCTGCCCTCAGTCCTGTGGAAGCTGCAGAAGTTGCCACAGATCTCTCAGAGTCAGGGGAAGGGCTATTTCAATTTTTTTTTTTTTCTTTTTTGAGGAGTCCCGCTCTGTCGCCCAGGCTGGAGTGCAGTGGCGCAATCTCGGCTCACTGAAACCTCTGCCTTCTGGGTTCAAGTGATTCTTGTGCCTCAGCTTCCCAAGTAGCTGAGATTACAGGCATGTGCCACCATGCCCAGCTACCTTTTTTTTTGTATTTTTAGAAGAGACGGGGTTTCGCCATGTTGGCCAGGCTGGTCTTGAACTCCTGACCTCAGGTGATCCGTCCGCCTCGGCCTCCCAAAGTGCTGGGATTATAGGCGTGAACCACTGCACCCGGCCTATTTCCTTGACTCTCCTCCTGCACCATTCTTCTGGGTCACCTGGCACTGTGACCCCTATCTTTTCCCAGCCACCCAATGACTCAGGCTAGAAAATTTAGCACTCTCCTTGTGTCCATAGTCAGAAGCATTCCCAGGGAGAAGCACAGCCAGAGATAGGCCTCCTTCAGCCTGACCGGGGCCAGGGCAGAAGCCAATCTACAGTACTGAACAGGATCCACAGCTGCAATGACCACCTCCAGAGACCCTGACCTGCCCTCCACAATCCAGCAACTCTATTTTTAAGTATTTACTACGTGGTGGAAACTGCCTTGGACTTTTGCTGTGGAAATAAGAGACAATGGTTTGGTGGTGATGACAGTGAGTTAATAGATGACAGCACAGTGGTATATTGATATGGTAGAGCTGGCATAGGGTACCTTAGGAGTCATAGATGTGTGCACTATACTCAGGTTTGGAGAGAATGGAGTCTAGGAATACTACCTGGGGCAGAGTTGCCTTGACCTGAAGGCAGTATTGCCTTGTCCCAGGTAGTATTCCTAGACTTCATTCAGGATAACTAGGCAAAAAAAAAAAAAAAAAAGAAGTGTATGTGCATTAAAATAGTGCAATCTGGGGACTGGGAGTACAGAATAATTGATTTTGGTGATAGCAGTGAAATAAAACATAGCTAGCTGCCTGGGCAGCTTTGGGTTAAGATTTTGCAGTTTTGCAGTAGTTTTTTCTTTCTTTTTGTCTTTTTTGAGACAGGGTCTTGCTCTGTCACCCAGGCTGGAGTGCAGTAGTGCCATCACAGCTCAGCAGTGGTATTTTGTACCCCATTTTGTCCATAATTACAAGATCCAGGAAAAACAACAACAACAAAAAACCCGATGGTTTGTCTCTTACATATGGGACCATATTCCTGCTCTACTAATACTTTTTCTTTTTTGGTCTTAATCTTTCTGATGTATTCTTGCTGACTACATTCCTAATTTAAAAATACACTCAGTGTTAAGAAATTTGCCAACTACTTTAAATATTTTGAGAGAAAATTGACATTATAAAGAGGGAGTTTGAGTACAAGGAGCTTTTCCTTGTCCCACTGGTTGGTATAGAGTCAGACAGAAAGGGAATGGTCATAAATTGACAACCATAGATTTAAAGTAGAAGAAATCTGAAGCCTGAATTCCTTTGGGAAAAGCAAAACCTTAATGATCCTATAGCAGGGGTCCCTGGGTACTGGTCCATGACCTGTTAGGAACTGGGCCTCACAGCAGGAGGTGAGTGGTAGGCGAGCAAGCAAGCAAAGCTTCATCTGTATTTACAGCTGCTCCCCTTGCTTGCATTACCGCCGGAGCTCTGCCTCCTGTCAGACCAGCGGTGGCATTAGATTCTCATAGGAGCATGAACCCTATTGTGAACTGCACATGTGAGGGATCTAGGTTGAGTGCTCCTTATGAGAAACTAATGCCTGATGATCTGTCACTGTCTTCCATCACCCCAAGATGGGACCGTCTAGTTGCAGGAAAACAATCTTAGAGCTCCCAAGGATTCTACATTATGGTGAGTTGTATAATTATTTTATTGTATATTACAATGTAGTAATAGAAATACAATGTACAATAAATGTACAGCCTCAATCATGCTGAAACCATCGCCCCCACACCCGTTCTGTGGAAAAGTTGTCTTCCATGAAACTGGTTCCTGCTGCCAAAAAATTTGGGGACCACTGTCCTACAGCTCAGCAATGAATGGCCTGCCTGGTCCTTGGCACCTTCAGTGGAGAATTTGGGAATCTCATGTGACCTAATTCCTCAGACAGAAACCCTTCCTCTGAGTGAAGGAGAGACCCTTACCAGTACTGGATATCCTAAGGAGTCTGAACAGAACAAATTCCCATTGCCTTCTGTTTTTTTCTGATCTCATCTTTGGGTGTGAAGTAAACCGGGATAGGTGCTTTCCTGATGGTTGTAATGTGCTGTAGCTCTAAAATAAAATCCTTTAGATAACTCAGAAGGGAGGTGGGAACTAGGAAAGGCAGAGAATGTGGGCTTCTGTGCACAAGATAGATGGAAGAGGCCAAGGTTGCATCATTCAGCAAAAATTTAACCAACTGCCTTTCATGTGCCACGTAGTATTGTACGTGCTAGGGATACACATAGTAGGGAACAAAACAAGAGTCCCTGCTCTCACTCATGGAGCTCCAGGGAAATTGTGACTCACCCAGTGTTTTGATTCCTTCTTCCTCTCTTCTTTTCTGTAGGACAGAATAATAAGCTGAATAGAATCTGACCATTGGCTTTCACCTGGCCAGGACCTTCTATGTAGCTCTCCTTTTGTGGCCCATGTGCTGCATCCTCTGCCCTCAGTGTGCAACTGGCCCCCAACGCAATGTGTGTTTGTCAAACCATGGAAGTGGGGCAGTATGGCAAGAATGCAAGTCGGGCTGGAGACCGGGGAGTCCTCCTGGAGCCCTTCATCCACCAAGTAGGCGGACACAGCAGCATGATGCGTTACGACGATCACACTGTGTGCAAGCCCCTCATCTCCCGGGAACAGCGCTTTTACGAGTCCCTCCCTCCCGAAATGAAGGAGTTCACCCCTGAATACAAAGGTCAGTCACTGGCCAGTTTAATGAAAGCAGCAGCCTTGGGCTTATAGACCCCTTGCCACAGTTTTTTCTTGGTTTGTTTGCCATGATATATCATTGTAGGTCTTTTTTCTCAAAGCACGAAGTCACTTTGTTAGATAAAATTAGAGGCTGAAAGCATCAGCAAGGTCTTTAGATCTTGAAAATTGAATTTATTAATAGGTAAAGCTGAGAAAAAGTCATAGCATTAAGTTCCATTGGTGGAAAAGAGCATGCTGTTGTCAGTGAATTTTCCCATTTGCTGTGACACTAGTCTGGGAGAGAAGAGGGAACATTTCTCTCGTCCCGGAGGCGGAATGGATACTTCCAGGTTAAAGCGGTTAGATAGCTGGCAGTGGTGCTGTGTGTATCCTGTGTCTATATGTGCTGGGGCAAAGAATTGTTGGTAAGAAATGCAGGGACTTTCTGGGGCCTGGAAGTCCTGATATTTGAAGGAAAAATAATTTATTTTAAAATATAAGTCAACTTTATAGAAAAGAACCTCATGAATATTAATTATACCAGAATTAACTAACTTTATTTTAAAATCTGATCTTTGTCAGTGTTTATAAATTTTTATGATTGCTCATTGTGTCTAAGTTTTTTTTTTACATTCTGCTTTATAACTTTAAGTTGTATGATTTCAGTCAGGTTAACACTGTCCTTTACTTAGGAGAGTTTCAATTTAGAAAAACCAGTGCTATAGAATTGACTTTTTGTTTCCTTAACTTTTTAAAAAAAATTTTGGTAAAATGTACATAACATAACATTCACCATTTTAAAGTGTATAATTTAGTGGCATTAACACATTCACAATGTTGTATAGCCACTGTCCATTTCCTGAATTTTTCATCATCTGAAACAAACTCGGTACCTATTAAATAATAACTCCCCATTCTTCCATCATCTGATCCCCTGGTAACCTCTTGTTTACTTTCTGTCTCTACAGATTTGCCTATTGTAGATATTTCATAAAAGTGAAATCATTACAATTTTTGACCTTTTGTGTCTGGCTTGGTTCATTTAGCTTAATGTTTACAAGGTTCGTTCATGTCATAGTGTGTATTAAAACTCCATTCTTGGCCGGGCACAGTGGCTCACATCTGTAATCCTAGCACTTTTTTTTTTTTTTTGAGAGTTTCTCTCTGTTGCCAGGCTAGAGTGCAGTGGCGCGATCTTGGTTTACTGCAACCTCCAACTCCCGGGTTCAAGCGAAGCGATTCTCCTGCCTCAGCCTCCCAAGTAGCTGGGATTACAGACATGTGCCACCACGCCCAGCTATTTTTTGTATTTTTAGTAGAGACAGGGTTTCACCATGTTGGCCAGGATGGCCTTGATCTCCTGACCTTGTGATCCGCCTGCCTCGGCCTCCCAAAGTGCTAGGATTACAAGCGTGAGCCACCGTGCCTGGCCCACTTCATTCTTTTTTATGGCTGAATAATATTTAATTGTAAGTGTATACCACATTTTGTTTATTCATTCATCTGTTGATGGACACCTGGGTTGTTTCCACCTTTTGGCTATTGCGAATAATGCTGCTGTGAACATTGTCTTACAAATGTCCATATGAGTCACTGCTTTTAATTCTTTTGGGTATATGCCTAGGGGTGGAATTGTCAGATCATGTGGAAGTTCTTTGTTTACCTTTCGGAGGAACTGCCAAACTGTTTCCCACAGTGGCTGCACCACTTTGCCTTCTTACCAGCAATGTACAAGGGTCCCTATTTCTCCACATCCTTACCAACACTCCTTTTCTTTTCTTTTTGTAGCCATCCTAGTGGATGTGTGTGGTATCTGTGGCTTTGACTTGCTTTTTCCTAATGTCTAACGAATGATGCAGAGGATTTTTTTGTTATTGTCTGTTGGTATACCTTCTTAAAGAAATGTCTATTCAAGTCCTTTGACCATTTTGAATTGGGTTGTTTCTGTCTTTTTTTTTTTTTTTTTTTGAGACAGAGTCTTGCTCTGTCGCCCAGGCTGGAGTGCAGTGGCACGATCTCGGCTCACTGCAATCTCCACCTCCGTGTTCAAGCGATTCTTCTGCCTCAGCCTCCCAAGTAGCTGGGATTACAGGCATGTGCCACCACGCCTAACTAAATTTTGTATTTTTAGTAGAGATGGGGTTTCACCATGTTGGGCAAGCTGCTTTCGAACTCCTGACTTTAGGTGATTTGCCTGCCTTGGCCTCCCAAAATGCTGGGATTACAGTCATGTGCCACCATGCCTGGCTAATTTTTGTATTTTTAGTAGAGACGGGGTTTTGCCATATTGGCCAGGCTGGTCTCAAACTCAACTCAGGTGACCTACCTGCCTTGGCCTCCCAAAGTGTTGGGATTATAGGTGTGAGCCACCATGACTGGCCTGGGTTGTTTCTTAATTGGCAGAAAGAGGTGAACCAGTTTTTAGGACATCTCAAGCTTTTTAAATTTCATTTTTATTTTAATTAACCTCAGGGATTTTACTTATGCTTGGAATGTTCTTTCCAGTACCCTTATCCACACCTGCTCCTCCAACCTTTAGTTTATTAGGTCTCCCCAGACACTTCTTCCCTGATCATCCTATATTATATTCTGCTCTGGAAACCATATTTTCAGTGATAGAACCTTACTTAGTTTCTTCATAGCACTTATCACAATCTGTATTTTTGTCTATGTGTTTGTTTTTCACATTAGTATGGAAGCTCCTTGAAGGTATGGACTTTTTTTTTTGTCTTTTACACTTATGAGTTCAGGGCCTGGCATCTAGTAGATGGTCAGTAAATACTTGATAAATGAATGAGGCAAAGCTTATTTGCATAAATGTACAGAAGCCTTGAACTTCACATTTAGTACTGCAAGCACTAACAGTTGATGATTGTAGCTGGTCATACTAAATAAATGAAAATTTGTTTTTAAACCTGCCAAGATATGAAATATTATTGACACTTTTTCTTAGCTTAATTGAGCTTAAACACCTGTGCTGATAGCAGCAATTAGATGTGTGTATGTGTGTGGGCTAGTAATCATACATGTATTTCTTAGCTCCATGTGCTGAAAGGGCCTAAAAGCAGTGATACTTCAGTAGCAATCAGTATATCTAGTAACCAAATCCTGAGTTTTCTAAATACCATTCTTACAATAAAAAGAAACAGAGCTCCTTGGTGAAATGGTTGGTTCCTGAGTTCGGGCAGGAAAATTATAAGACAAGCCTAGAACATCTTATGGTGACAGATAGTAAAGAAGTGGTCAAAAATCATGTCAGAAGTACGAAGAGCTAACTTTAAAGGAATTGAAGGGCCCAATCTAGAAGAATTTAAATGACAAAATATCCACAAGTCTATACTGATAAATACATGGATATGAAGGGACAACTCTTCCTTATAGAATTCTAATTTCTTTTTTTTTTTTTTTTTTTTTTTTTTTGAGACGGAGTCTCGCTCTGTTGTCCAGGTTGGAGTGCAGTGGCGCAGTCTCGCCTCACTGCAAGCTCTGCCCCCCGGGTTCACGCCATTCTTCTGCCTCAGCCTCCCGAGTAGCTGGGACTACAGGCTCCCGCCACCAAGCCTGGCTAATCTTTTGTATTTTTAGTAGAGACAGGGTTTCACCATGTTAGCCAGGATGGTCTCAATCTCCTGACCTTGTGATCCACCTGCCTCGGCCTCCCAAAGTGCTGGGATTACAGGAGTGAGCCACCGTGCCCGGCCAGAATTCTGATTTATTTTGATTAATAAATATAGAAGGAATGATGGGAATAGAAGTCACCATTAGGCAGACAACACAGTAATACCATTCAGCACACACCATTAGGCATTACACACACCATTAGACATTACAACACAGTAATAATTGTGGCGCATTGTGCAGTGGTGCAATCATACCTCACTGCAGCCTCGAAACCATGGCTCCGCCGGGCATGGTGGCTCATGCCTATAATCCTAGCACTTTGGGAGGCCGAGGCAGGCGGATCACCTGAGGTCAGGAGTTCGAGACCAGCCTCGCCAACATGGTGAAACCCTGTCTCTACTAAAAATACAAAACTTAGTTGGGTGTGCTGGCAGGTGCCTATAATCCCAGTTACTTGGGAGGCTGAGGCAGAAGAATCACTTGAACCCGGGAGGCAGAGGTTGCAGTGAGCAGAGACCACGCCATTGCATTCCAGCCTGGGCAACAAGAGTGAAACTCTTGTCTCAAAAAAAAAAAAAAAACAAAAAAAAAAAACTATGGCTCAAGTGATCCTCCCACCTCAGCCCCCCGAGTAGCTGGGACTATAGGCACGCCACTACAACTAGGTAATTTTTAAAGTTTTTTGTAGAGACAGGGTCTTGCTCTGTTACCCAGGCTAGTTTTGAACTCCTAGCCTCAAGGAATCCTCCCACCTTGGCCTCTCATAGTGCTGAGATTTAAGAGATCGGACCTCACTATGTTGCCTGGGCTAGTCTTGAACTCCTGGTCTCAAGTGATCCTCCTCCATGAGGCATGATACCTCAGCCTCCCAAGTAGCTGGGATCACAGGTGTGAGCCACTGCTCCCAGCTGAAAGGTAAGTGTGTGTGTGTGTGTGTGTGTGTGTGTGTGTGTGTGTGTATTTTGTTTTTGTTTTTGTTTTGAGATAGGGTCTTGCTTCATTGCCTAGGCTAGAGTGCAGTGGTATGAACTTGGCTCACTGCAACCTCTACCTCCTGGGTTCAAGGACCTCAGCCTCCTGAGTAGCTGGGACTTACAGGTGCCTGCCACCATTCCTGGCTAATTTTTGTATTTTTAGTAGAGATGGGGTTTCACCATGTTGGTCAGGTTGGTCTCGAACTCCTGACCTTAAGTGACCCACTTGCCTTGGCCTCCCAAAGTGCCTGGATACAGGTATGAGCCACCGTGGCTGGACTGTGTGTTTTTTTAATATAAAATTTTAGTCCAATTTATTTATTTATATACTATTTTGAGACAGGGTCTCACTCTGTTGCCCAGACTGGAATGCAGTGGCACGATCTCAACTCACCACAGCCTTGACCTCCTGGGCTCAAGTGATTCTCCCACCTCAGCCTCTGGAGTAGCTGGGACCACAGGTGTGCACCGGCTCTTTTTTTTTGTATTTTGTAGAGACAGGGTCTCACCATGTTGCCCAGGCGGGTCTCAAACTTCTAAGCTTAAGTGATCTGCCTGCCTTGGCCTCCCAATGTGCTGGGATTACAGATGTGAGCCACCATGCCTGGCCCTGAAATAGATTAATTTGACTAATAATATCTTCCACTATGCTTCTATTTTTTTTTCTTTTTCTTTTTTGAGATGGAGTCTCACTCTGTTGCCCAGGCTGGAGTGCAGTGGCGCGATCTTGGCTCACTGCAAGCTCTGCCTCCCGGGCTCACGCCATTCTCCTGCCTCAGCCTCCCGAGTAGTTGGGACTACAGGCGTGTACCACCACGCCCGGCTAATTTTTTGTATTTTTAGTAGAGACAGGGTTTCACCGTGTTAGCCAGGATGGTCTCAATCTCCTGACCTCGTGATCCGCCCCCCTCAGCCTCCCAAAGTGCTGGGATTACAGGCGTAAGCCACCGTGCCCAGCCTATGCTTCTATTTTCTTTGACTAAATTGGGCTTCATTTGACTTAGAAAGAAGGGATTAATTTTAGTTTAATTGAATTGTACTTTTGAGCTAGCATATTTATTCTTTCCTAGTGAAAATGTAGCCTAAGCAAAGAAAATAAAGTAGATCCTAAGAATTTACTGTGGCTTTTATTTTTTTATTTTTATTTTGAGACAGGGTCTTGCTGTGTCGCCCAGGCTGGAGTGCAGTGGTACAGTCATGGCTCACTGCAGACTCAAACTCCTGACCTCAAGCAATCCTCTCATATTATGGCCTTTAAAGATACCTGTTACTCAGTTTGAGAGGAGGAAGGTGTGAGGAAATACTGAACCAGTGCTAGAGACTGCCAACCCTTCCCTGGGAGGCACCTTGAAGTTCTAAATTGTCTTGTCCCAGTTCTGATGGTTGTAATTTAGAGAACACCTATCTGGAAGCAGGGCTCATTTACCTTTTAAGGGATTTTTTCCTTAGCATCAGAAGGACTCCATGAGCTGACAGGGCCTATAGTTTTATTTCTGGCTTTGGCATATTTATGGCAGAATGTTTGGCCTTCAGTGTTTTGAATGTGGATGGATAGGTGGCTGAAGCTACATTTATAAAGTGTTTGGGACTGTTAAAGTTTCCTAGCCACTTGGAGAAAGCAGTGTGTTTATTTCTGGCTTTGTTCTTATTTAGCAGCCTTAGAATATTTATTTTTCCAAATTTAGTATTCTTCTGATTATGTTTTGAAAGCAATAAAAATCACCCAGTTTCAAAACTGCACAAAGGGCTTGAATAGAGATTTTTCCAGAGAGGACATACAGATGGCCAGTAGCACATCAACATGATTAGTCATTAAGAAATGCAAATCAAAACCAAAATAAGATACCACTTCATACCAGGTATCTTATTTTACCTAGTATGGCTATAATAGTTTAAAGAAAAAAGGGAAATAACTGTTGGCAAGGATGTGGAGAAATGGGAACATTGCTGATGAAAATGTAAAGTGGTGTAGCCACTGTGGAAAAGAGTTTGGCAGTTCCTCCCAAAGGTGAACACAGAAACCATATGATCCAGCAATTCCACTCCTACATATATATCCAAAACAATTGAAAACAGGGACTGTGGCCAGGTGCAGTGGCTCATGCCTGTAATCCTAGTACTTTGGGAGGCGGGCAGATCACCTGAGGTCAGTAGTTCAAGACCAGCCTGGCTAACATGGCAAAACCCTGTCTCTGCTAAAAAATACAAAAAGTAGCCGAGCGTGGTGGCAGGCACCTGTAATCCCCGCTCCTCAGGAGGCTGAGGCAGGAGAATCACCTCGGGAGGCGGAGATTGCAGTGAGCTGAGGTTGCACCACTGCACTCCAGCCTGGGCGACAGAGCAAGATTCCATCTCAAAAAAAAAAAAAAAGAAAAAAGAAAAAACAGGGATTCAAATGGATTGTTGTAAGCCAGTGTTCACAACAGCATCATTCATAATAGCTAAAAGGTGGAAACAACCCAAGTGTCCATCAATATAGATAATACATAACAGATGTGATATATACTTACAATGGAATACTATTGAGCCATAAAAAAGAATGAAGTTCTGATATATGCTGTGACACAGATGAACCTTGCAAACACTATGCTAAGTGAACTAAGCCAGACACAAAAGAACAAACATTGTATGATTTCACTTATATGAAATATGCATAATAGGCAAATCTGTAGAGATAGAAAGTAGATTTGGTTACTGGGGCTAGGAGGAAGGGAAAATGGGGAGTTACTGCTTAATGGGTACAGCATTTTTGTTTCAGGTGATGAAAAACATTTTGGAAATAGATAATGGTGGTGGTTATTCAGTATTGTCAATGTACTTAATGCCCACTGAATTGTACCTTTAAAAATGATTAAATGGCTGGGCATGGTGGCTCACACCAGTAATCCTAGCACTTTGGGAAGCGAAGGCAAGAGGATTGTTTGAGGCCCGGAGTTCCAGACCAGACTGGGCAACATAGCAAGCCTTGTCGCTACCAAAAAAAAAAAAAAAAAAAAAAGAATTGCAAATTTTATGTTTCTATCGATCGATCTATTGACTGAACACCACAACTTATTTTTATTTTTATATTTTATAGAGACAGGGTCTTGCTGTGTTGCTCAGGCTGGTCTTGAACTCCTGTGTTCAAGCAGTCCTGCCTTGGCCTCCCAAAGAGCTGGAATTACAGTGTGAGCCACTGAACCTGGCCCAAACACCACAATTTTATTTTATTTTTATTTTATTTTTTTGAGATGGAGTGTTGCTCTGTTGCCCAGGCTGATCTTGGCTCACTGCAACCTCCGTCTCCCGGCTTCAAGTGATTCTCCTGCCTCAGCCTCCTGAGTAGCTGGGATTATAGGCACGCACCACCATGTCTGGATAACTGTTGTATTTTTAGTAGAGATGGGGTTTCGACATGTTGGCCAGGCTGGTGTGGAACTCCTGATCTCAGGTGAGGTCCCAGCTACTTGAGAGGCTGAGGCAGGAGGATCACTTGAGTCCAGGAGTTCGAGGTTGTAGTGAGCTATGATGGCACCACTGCACTCCAATGGGACCCTGTCTCTTAAGAAGAAGAAGAATATTATAAAGAACTTTAGGCCGGGCCTGGTGGCTCACGCCTGTAATCCCAGCACTTTGGGAGGCCGAGACGGGTGGATCACGAGGTCAGGAGATGAGACCATCCTGGCTAACATGGTGAAACCCCGTCTCTACTAAAAATACAAAAAAATTAGCCAGGCATGGTGGCGGGTGCCTGTAGTCCCAGCTACTCAGGAGGCTGAGGCAAGAGAATCGCTTGAACCTGGGAGGCGGAGCTTGCAGTGAGCCGAGATCACGCCACTGCACTCCAGCCTGGGCGACAGAGCGAGACTCTGTCTCAAAAAAAAAAAAAAAAGAACTTTAAGCCAATAATTATTCTACAACATAAAAGAAATTGACAAAACATAGGGAGATCCTGTCTCTACAAAAAATAAACCATAAATGCTTCTCACTGATTTTCAGATTATAGAGCCAACTGTGTACATCTGAGAGTATAAAAGCAGAAATGTAGCTGACAGACAAAAGGTGGGATGTGGAAGTGAGACCAAGTTACTTTTTTTTCCCTTCAAAACCTCCTCCTCAAGTTTCTGGATATATGTATTTTTAAATTGTATTAAGAACACTTGAGAGGGGTCTTATTTGTGTTTTAACTCACTAAGATCCAGAAGACACTACAAACAACCCATTTGATTAAAATGGGCACAAAAAACTATTACGGATACAGCACGGCAAACAGAAGGATGTTTTATCTTCGAGATGCCAGGGGTGGAAGTTCTGTGTAGTGAGGCTGGGATAGCCTGATGCTCAGTGTGGGCAGAACACAGATTTTTTTGGACCGTCTTGGAGGGAGAAGTGTTGATGTCCCTTTGGCTGACACTGTCAGGCAGAAGGAAACTAGATCTAAAGGAGGACACACACAGGAAATGGCAGCATAAAGCACTTAAGTAACTAGAGGGTTAAGTGATGCCAGGTGTGGGTGTCACCTAGCGAACACAGTTCTTTTGAATGGTACAAAAAATCAGTAATTGAAAGTGAGAGGGCCAGATAAGAGAAGGGGAAATATAGACTTATCCAGGAACAAAGGTAAGCATCAGATTTAGCTTGGGGATGGACGGTCATCCATTTTCTGGAAGTTACTGTCTGCTGGCTGTTGTTCTGATATTGATCTGTAGTTGGTTCAGGGCAGGTGATGTCTTCATGCTGTGTGGGAAAGTGAGTGCCAACAGTCTGTGCTGCATAGACTCGGCCTGTGTTGACATTTGTTTACCAACTGCCCTTTTTTTAACAGGCGTGGTATCTGTCTGTTTTGAGGGGGACAGTGATGGTTACATCAACTTAGTGGCCTATCCTTATGTGGAAAGTGAGACTGTGGAACAGGATGACACAACAGAACGGGAGCAACCTCGGCGCAAACACTCCCGCCGGAGCCTGCACCGGTCAGGCAGTGGCAGTGACCACAAGGAGGAGAAAGCCAGCCTGTCCCTTGAGACCTCTGAGAGGTAAGAGGTACATGTTTCGTCCTGCTGGTACAAGCACTCAAGACGTCTCCATAGTCCTGACACATCATGGGGAAGCAGGGCTCACAGTCAAGGTTGGATAAGATGACTGGTGTTCTTGGGATACCCACACAGGTGTAGCCTCTTCTCTGTGTCACATCACCCCAGTGGTGCCTCTTTCTGGGTATAGCTGTAGCTGGTTGAGAGAGGAAGTGAAGCTCTCTCAGCCGTTTGGAAGCAGGGACACCCTGTGCTGGTGACAAAAGGTTCTCTGGCTTTTCATTATGTCTTGCCACCCACAGGACAGAAGGTTGAAATACATTAGTTCGTAGCGAGGCTCCAAATGCTTTCTGACCTGCAGGATGTCCAAGCCCAAGGGCTATGAGTCCAACCAGGAGTTCCCTAATGGTTTTTGTGTCAGACCTCTGAGAATCATATCAGTCATTAACGCTTTCCCTGCAACTAAAATTTAGTTTCCGTTGTGTTGGAAATTGATTTTTCTTGTAAGTTCAAATTATGTTTTTTTGTTTGTTTTGAGATGGAGTCTTGCTGTTAGGCTGGAATGCAGTGGTGCCATCTTGCGTCACTGCAACCTCTCCCTCCTGGGTTCAAGCAATTCTCCTGCCTCTGCCTCCCAAGTAGCTGGGATTACAGGCGTGCACCACCACACCCAGCTAATTTTTGTATTTTTAGTGGAGATGTTGTGTCACCATGTTGGCTAGGCTGGTCTCGAACTCCTGACCTCAGGCGATTCGCCTGCCTTGGCTTCCCAAAGTGCTGGGATTATAGGCATGAGCCACTGTACCAGCCTCAAATTATGTGTCTTGATAATTTCATGCAAGAATTAATATGAACTCCCACTAGGATGGGTATAATCAAAAGGACAGACAATAAAAGTGTTGACAAGATGTGAAGAAATGGAACCCTCCTACACTGCTGGTAGGAAGGTAAAGTGGTGCAGCCACTTGGGAAACAATTTAGCAGTTCTTCAAAAAGTTAAACCAGGCTGAGTGCTGTGGCTCACGCTTGTAATCCTAATGCTTCAGGAGGCTGAGGTGGGAGGATCCTTTGAGGCCAGGAGTTTCAGACCAGCTTGGGCAACATAGTGAGACCCCATCTCTAAAAAAAAAAAAAAAAAAAAAAGGCCAGGCTTGGTGGCTCATGCCTGTAATCCCAGCACTTTGGGAGGCCAAGGCAGGCAGATCACGAGGTCAGGAGATCGAGACCATCCTGGCTAACACGGTGAAACCCTGTCTCTACTAAAAATACAAAAAAATTAGCCGGGCATGGTGGTGGGCACCTGTAGTCCCAGCTACTCGGGAGGCTAAGGCAGGAGAATGGCGTGAACCCAGGAGGCGGAGCTTGTAGTGAGCCGAGATCATGCCACTGCACTTCAGCCTGGGCAACAGAGCAAGACTCCATCTCAAAAAAAAAAAAAAAAAAATTAAATCCAAAAGTTAAACCAGTAATTCCACTCCTAGGTATATACCCAAAAGAATTGAATACATATATTCCCACAAAATTTGTACAAAAATGTTCTTAAAATTATTTCTATTAGGGTTGTTTCCAGTTTCTGGCTAACCCAAGTGTCCATCAACTGGTGAATGGATAAACAAAATATGGTATATCCATGTAATGGAATGTTAGCCCTAAAAAGGAATGGAGTGCTGGTACATGCTACAACATGGATGAATCATGAAAACATTATGTTAAATGAAAGAAACCAGACACAAAAGACCACATATGTACAATGCCATTTATGTAAAGTGTTCACATCAGGCAAATCTATAGAGAGAAAAGGTAGGTTAGTGGTTGCTTTCTGTTAGTAGTTAGGAGCTGGAAGTAGTGGGAAATAGGGAGTGACTGCTAATGATGATGGTTTTGATTTTGGGGTCATGAAATGTTCTGAAAATTAGGTAGTGGTGATGTTTTACAATCTTGTGAATTCACTAAAAAACCACAGAATTGTAAAAAATAAAAAAATAATAATAGAATTATGAGCCAGGCATGGTGTCTCACGCCTGTAATCCCAGCACTTTGGGAGGCCGAGGCGGGTGGATCACCTGAGGTCAGGAGTTCGAGACCAGCCTGACCAACATGGTGAAACTCCATCTCTAGTAAATACAAAAAATTAGCCAGGTGTGGTGGTGCGGGCCTGTAATCCCAGCTACTTGGGAGGCTGAGGCAGGAGAATCACTTGAACCCAGGAGGTGGAGGTTGCAGTGAGCTGAGATTACACCATTGCACTCCAGCCTGGGCAACAAGAGTGAAAACTCTGTCTCAAGAAAAAAAGGTTTCAGTAAGATGCTTTTGTGACTTGACTTAGAAGCTGAAATTGGGAATTTCCTTAGATGAGACAGTACATAGTTCATCTGTGATATCAGATCAGTTCACCAATACATGCTACATACCTGTGCCCCTGAAGCTTTGTAAAGGCCTAGGACATTCCAGTTCTCCTCACTCAGTTTGGTGAACAAGGACATGCCCATGTCAAGTACAGTACCCCATGAGACACTGGCTGAGTGGGGTTATGTGTCATTTCCCATGTCCTCAGTCAGCAGATCCTCTTTGGCCAGTCTGCATCTTTCATGCAAGGAGAGAGCTTCATACCCACTTCTTGGTAAGCAGGGTCTTCAAATGTCAAACGTTCTTTGGACAGATGGCTTCCAGTCCACAGAAGCACTTCTTCTAGTGCTTCCCCTTCACTCCCCAAGAGGCTGCTTCTTGACTAATGACTGTGGGACCTAACTTGGTCGTTCAGGTGACAAAGAATGTTCCCCAAGTCTGTAGCTGACAATTGATGGTTCTCTCTGAACAGCGCTTTAGGGTGGGCTTTTCCCCCCACTCTTTTTAGAGACAAGGTCTTGCTCTGTCACCCAGGCTAGAGTGCAGTGGCACCATCAGTGACTCACTGCAGCCTTGAATACTGGGCTCAAGCCTTCCTATCCCCTCTCACCTCAGCCTCCCAAGTAGCTGGGACTACAGGTGCACACCACTGCATTCAGCTAATTTTTAAATTTTTTGTAGAGATAGGGTCTCACTTTGTTGCCCGGGGTGGTCTGAAACTCCTGGCTTCAAGCAGTCCTCCCACCTTGGCCTCCCAAAGCGTAAGGATTATAGGCATGAGCCACTGCGCCCAGTCTAGAGTGGGCTTTTTTTATTGTCCTCCAAAGGTACAGAGGTTGCTTCATGAGTCATCTGGTGAAAAGGTATAGAATAACATCACCTAGAATAACATCACTGTCCGCCTGTGTCCAGGTTCAAGGTCCTGCCCTGAAGGTGACAGCTCTACCTGTACTGACCAAACCTCTGTCTGACCTGTTAGCAGAGAGACCGTCATTCCAGGGGTGGGGCTTGTTTCTTCACAGAGCCAGGGCTGCAACACAAAAGGTGTGATACCAAGTACCGTGGGGGCTTCATCCAGACGCAGAGAACTTCTTTGGGTTTACATGGCAAATAAGTCAACCTTTCTGTTTCCTAAAGGGTTTCACAAAAAAAGGCATCTTTGAATGGCCTCAGCAGTGCTCTCACAGAAGAAAGTAAGGGTTTTATCATTCCGAGAGGCACTGGTGGGCTCCTCTACTTTCAGTTAGGTGGAAATGGGGTCTCTGCCACTACCTCTTCACCAGTGTTGCACAGCTGACCCTTGGAGAGGGTTAGCATTTCCAGCACACACCAGCCCTGGTGTTAGCTTGAATCTGTGCGACTTATGCCACACAGTTAGAGGAGAGGCCTGCAGTTCTGGAGAGGAGAGTGGCATTTGAAGTTGCTGGGCGACAGAGCGAGACTCTGTCTCAAAAAAAAAAAAAAAAAAAAAAAAGAAATTACGGTAATGTTCCACCTCTGCTCTGAGCTGCAGGCTTGCTCTGTAATTTGCAGGGCACATGGCTTCACCAGTAGTTTGGTTTTCTTGGCCTTTCAGTATGATAGACAGTATTGTTGGTTACTTCAAGCAAAGATTTTTATGTTGGGGCATAATGAAATTGTTGGCAAAGTTCCAGTATTTTCAGTTGAAGTTGCTTTCTCACAAAAACTCCTTTGTGGTTTTATTTATTTTATTTTATTATTTATTTATTTTTAAGACATGGTCTATCTGTTTCCCAGGCTGGAGTGTAGTGGCATGATCATGGCTCAGTGCATCCTCAGCCCCCTGGGCTCAGGTGATCCTCCCACCTTAGCCTCCCAAGTAGCTAGCTGGCTGGAACTACAGGCACATGCCACCATGCCCAGCTAATTTTTAAATTTTTTGTACAGATGGAGTTTTGACATGTTGCCCAGGCTGGTCTTGAACACCTGGGCTCAAGTGATCCTCCTACCTTGGCCTCCCAAAGTGTTGGGATTATAGTTGTGACCCACAGTGCCTGGCCTTGACTTATTTTAGAAATAAAATTTCCTTCCTTGGCTGGGCGTGGTTTGGTAGCATTAAGTACATTCACATTGTTGTGCAACTGACTCCCCATTCCTCCTTCCCCCAGCCCATGGCAACCACTTTTCTAGTTTCTGTCTTAATGGATTTGCAGTTACCTCACATGAGTAGAATCATGCAATATTTATCCTTTTGTGTCTGGCTTATTTCACTTAGCAAAATGTTTTCAAGTTCATATATGTTGTAGCATGTATAGGAATTTCATTCCTTTTTATTGCTGAATAATATTCCATTGTATGTATATCCCACATTCTGCTTATCCATTCATCTGTTGATGGATGCTTGTTTCTTCCTTTTGTTTATTGTGAGTAGTGCTGCTGTGAATGTTGACGTAAAGTGTCTGTTTGGATCCTTGTCATTTCTTTTGGGTGTATACCTAGGAATGGAATTGCTGAGTTATATATAAATCTATGTTTAACTTTTTGAGAAACCACCAAACTGTTTGGTGGCTGCATCATTTTACATTCCCACCAGCAGTGTACGAGAGTTCTAATTTCTTCACATACTGGACACTTGCTCCACTTTCTTCTTTGATTGTAGCCATCCTAATGGATGTGAAGTGGTATTTTCATCACATAATTTGACAAAAATGTTATTTTTCAGATAGTTTTAAGAGACATAAGATAGTTTTAAGAGACACAGGAAGAACACTACTCATAACATTTACTCATTTTTATTGGCTCATGGGACCTTAATGCAACCCATTAGCAGGGTCTGTGGGTCTGTCATTGTGGACAGATCTGTGCCCTGTGCAGCGGGACCCCAGAGGATGACTTGCCTGAGTTTCTTAGTGATGTGTATGTTCTTCCTTCTTAGCTCACAGGAGGCAAAGAGTCCGAAGGTGGAGCTGCACAGCCACTCAGAGGTCCCTTTCCAGATGCTAGATGGCAACAGTGGCTTGAGTTCTGAGAAGATCAGCCACAACCCCTGGAGCCTGCGTTGTCACAAGCAGCAGCTGAGCCGCATGCGCTCCGAGTCCAAGGACCGAAAGCTCTACAGTATCCTCGTTGCCCCTCCTTCAGGAGTGTCTACTGGGTCCATAGGTCGTGTGTTGGGGCACCATTCTGCCTATGGCTGAGGTCTTTGTCTAGGGTCCCTCTTCGGTTTAATCTCCCTTTTTCATGGACTCCTCTTCCTTCGTTTACTTTCATCAACATGTTTTTTTCCTGCCTTTTGGATTTGGTAAGGCCGAAGCTTAAAACTTGGCAGTCTAGAACAGTGTTGTCTGATAGAACTGTCTGTAATTCTGTGTGCTTTTCAGTATGGTAGCCACTGGCCACACTGAGTGGCTAAAATGTGGCTACTGTGACTAAGGCAGTTAATTTAAATTTTATTTTATTAATTAAAATTTAAATCATCACATGTGGCTAGTGTGGCTAGTGGTACTATATTGATCATGTCCACAATCACAGATCTGCGTATGTGCCCATATGCGCTTGTGTGCATGTGTGTAGTTTTCCCCTCCCAAGGGATTAATAGTTTAAAGGTGATATATTTGACTTTGGTGAGATTTTTATCTGATGATAAACACCATAAAATAGATTTAAAATGTTAAAGATAGCTGGGCGTGGTGGGTCACACCTGTAATCCCAGCACTTTGGGAGGCTGAGGCAGGAGGATCACTTGAGACCAGGTGTTTGAAACCAGCCTGAGCAACATAGTGAGACTTCATCTCTACAAAAAATAAAAAAATTAGTTGGATGTGGTGGTGTGTGCTTGTAGTAGTCCCAGCTCTGAGGTGGGAGGATTGCTTGAGCCCAGGAAGTCGAGACTGCAGTGGGCCATGATTGCACCACTACATTCTAGCTTCTAGCCTGGGCAACACAGCAAGACCCTGTCTCATCTCCAGAAAAGATAAAAAAGTATTATGGCATAGGAATTCCTTTTTTTTTTTTTTTTTTGAGACAGAGTCTCACTCTGTTACCCAGGCCAAAGTGCAGCGGTGCGATCTCGGCTCACTGCAACCTCCGCCTCCCGGGTTCAAGAGATTTTCATGCCTTAGCCACCCCAGTAGCTGGGATTACAGGCGTGCGCCACCACGCCCAGCCTAGAATGGGAATTCTTACAATTGTTAGTGTTTTGAAGTAGTAGACAAATAACAACTGGATTATTCTAAGAAACTGAGGGAAAGTGTGCTGAACCTTTTGTACGTAGTTAATTTTCACAGCAATCTTTTGAGGAAGGAACTCTCATCATTCCCATGTTATAGATGAGGAAGTGGAAGCACAGGGGGATTAAGTGTTGTGCCTAGAGGTAGTGAGTGGTCAAGGCAGGATTCCAGAGCCCATGCTTCCAGGGTGTTGAGATATTTCTGCAGCCTCCTCCATATTTTACCATCACATGTTTATAGGTAATAGCAGGCAACAGAATTGATTCAGGCCAAATTTAAAAGTTACTTTCAAAAGAATGAAATGTTCATCATCACAGTGATGCTGAGTGTCTATCTGCTAAGATGCGATTGCTCTGTAGCACCCAGAGATGGATTTGAGGGCTGGGCTGTGAAACCCAGTGACTTTGGCAGACATATGATAAGTCTGTACCTTTACACAAAAGTTCAAAGATAAGATTGTTGCAAATAGGATATATTGGAATGAAGACATGTATGTAAATGCCAGGGAGTTAGGACCATAGATCGTTTTGAGCAGAAGGTTATAGAACTATTAAGGGATAAATTTATATTTTATATATAAATATATTTATATATATAAATTTGAAACCAGTGAACGAGATCTCTCTCTCTCATTCACTGGTTTCAAATTGAGTGACAAATGGCAAGACAGAAATATAAATCCAGGCTCATTCCTGTAATCCCAGCACTTTGGGAGGCCGAGGCCGGCAGATCACCTGAGGTTGGGAGTTTGAGACCAGCCTGACCAACATGGAGAAACCCCGTCTGTACACAAAATTAGCCAGGTGTAGTGGTGCATGCCTGTAATCCTAGCTGCTCGGGAGGCTGAGACAGGAGAATCATTTGAACTCAAGAGGCGGAGGTTGCGATGAGCCAAGATTGCGCCATTGCACTCCAGCCTAGGCAACAAGAGTGAAACTCCATCTCAAAAAAAAAAATACAAAAAATTAGTCGGGCATGGTGGCATGCGCCTATAGTTCCAGCTACTTGGGAGGCTAAGGCAGGAGGATCACTTGAACCTGGGAGGCAGAGGTTGCAGTGAGCTGAAATTGTGCTACTGCACTCCAGCCTGGGCAAAGGAGCAAGACTGCATCCTAAAAAAAAAGAAAAGAAATGTAAATCCAGCTTTTTCTAAAGATTCCTATTTGGGAATGTTAGAATCTGGTTTCCTTGTTTTTGTAGTAGTGCTACCAAGATGTCTTCCTTATTTCTTAGGCCTGGGCAAGGTGCTGGCTTGAGTAGGGCCTTGGTTCACTGATGGTGAGGGATGTATCCAAATCTTTAGTTTGCATATTGCCTGCAAGATAGGTCTAAAGATAACATAGGCTGGGTGTGGTGGCCCACATCTGTTATCTCAGCACTTTTGGAGGCCAAGGTGGGAAGATCACTTGAGGCTAGGAGTTCAAGACCAGCCTGGACAACATAGTGAGACCCTGTCTCTAAAAAAAACATTAAAAATTAGGTAGGCGGCTGGGCGCGGTGGCTCATGCCTGTAATCCTAGCACTTTGGGAGGCCGAGGTGGGCAGATCACCTGGAGTCAAGAGTTCCAGACCAGTCTGGCCAACATGGTAAAACCCTGCTCTACTCAAAATACAAAAAATTAGCTGGGGGTGGTGGCAGACACCTGTAGTCTCAGCTGCTTGGGAGGCTGAGGCAGGAGAATGGCTTGAACCCAGGAGGCAGAGGTTGCAATGAGCTGAGATTGCACCACTGCACTACAGTCTGGGTGACAGAGCAAGACTCTGTCTCAAAAAAAATAATAATTAAAAGAAAAATTAGGCATGCCTGTAGTCCTAGCTGTTCCAGAGGCTGAGGGTGGGAGGATCTTTTGAGCCCAGGTGGTCAGTGCTGCAGCGAGCTCTGGATCCAGCCACTGCACTCCAGCCTGGGCAACAGAGTGAGACTCTGTCTCAAAAAAAATAATAAAAAATAAAAATAAATAATAATAATAAGGCTGGGCACAGTAACTCTCGCCTGTAATCCCAGCACTTTGGGAGGCCAAGGCAGGCAGATCACTTGAGGTCGGGGGAGTTCAAGACCAACCTGACCAACATGGAGAAACCCCGTCTCTACTAAAAATACAAAATTAGCCAGGCATGGTGGCACATGCCTGTAATCCCAGCTACCGGGAGGCTGAGGCAGGAGAATCACTTGATACCAGGAGGCGGAGGTTGCGGTGAGCTGAGATAGTGCCATTGCACTCCAGCCTGGGCAACGAGCGAAACTCCGTCTCAAAAAAAAAATAAAATAAAAAATAACAAAAATAAATCAACATAAAAATACCCTAGAGCTTAGGTTAAAAAACCAAAAAACAACAACAAAAAAGTTTGTGATATATACATACAATGGAAAATTATTTAGCCAGAAAAAGGAATGAAATTTTGATACATGCTTACAACATAAATGAATCTTGAATACATTCTGCTAAGTGAAATAAGCCAGACATTTAAAATGACAAATACTGTATAATTCCACTTATGAGATACCCAGGAAAGGTAAATGTATAGAGACAGAAAGTAGACTAGAGGTTCCCAGGGGCTGGGAGGAGGGAAAATGAGGAGTCACTGTTCAGTGCTATTTAATGGGTACAAGCAGGAAAATGGCTTGAACCCCCTGAGACAGAGGTTGCAGTGAGCCGAGATGGCGCCATTGCATTCCAGCCTGGGTGACAGAACGAGACTCCATCTAAAAAAAAAAAAAAAATTAGGCATGCCTGTAGTCCTAGTTGTTCCAGAGGCTGAGGGTGAGAGGATCTCTTTTCATTTTGGGAAGATGAAAAAGTTCTAGCTGGGCGTGGTGGCTCACACCTGTAATCCCAGCACTTTGGGAGGCTGAGGCAGGCGAATCACAAGGTCAGGAGTTCGAGACCAGCCTGGCCAACATGGTGAATCCCTGTCTCTACTAAAAATACAAAAAATGAGCCGGGTGTAGTGGCGGGCACCTGTAATCTCAGCTACTCAGGCAGCCGAGGCAGGAGAATAGCTTGAACCTGGGATGCAGAGGTTGCAGTTAGCCGAGATCACTCCAGGGCACTCCAGCCTGGGTAACAGAGCGAGACTCCGTTTCAAAAAAAAAGAAAAGTTCTAGAGATAGATGGTTGTGAGTAGAGATAGATGGTTGTGATGGTTATACAACAAAGTAAATGTACTTCATGCCACTGAATTGTACACTTAAAAATGGCTGAAGTAAATTTTATGTATATTTTACCACAGTTTTTATTGGTTAAGTAATAAGCCAGTGGTGTGAAACCCATATTTGAGAGTTTGAGACAAGTACATACTGCATTAGGTAAAAGCCCCCTTTTATAGAAAAACTGGGTTGTGCTTTCCTGGCTGGGGCTGATGGTGAGTGTGGTTGTCATTCTCCTTGACCGTGGCCCAGAGTTCCTCCTGCTTGAGAACGTGGTGCACCACTTCAAGTACCCCTGCGTGTTGGACCTGAAGATGGGCACGCGGCAGCATGGCGATGACGCGTCAGCTGAGAAGGCAGCCCGGCAGATGCGGAAATGCGAGCAGAGCACATCAGCCACGCTGGGCGTCAGGGTCTGCGGCATGCAGGTGAGTTACCTCTGCTCAGAGCCTAGGTGCTGCCACTTGCATGATTTGGGTTGTGCTCATACCTGCCTGCCATCTATGCCAAGTGTGTCCTCCTGAGCCCCTCTGTCCTTACCTGTTGACTTTGATATGGGCCTCAGGTGCAGGACCACTGTGAGAGTCTGCTGCCTCGACATTGGGACAAATAAGACTCTTGCCTGTCAACAAGATGTTCCGATGTTGGAGGAGGGCTCCAAAGCTGGGGGCAGGGAACCCATAGGCCTGGTATTGCTTTCTCTTGGTTCTGCAATGGGAAAACCCAGGGTGAATGTGGCCTGCCTGGTTCCACTTAGATAGGTGAGCAGAAAAGCTCAGGTTGGTCAAAGTCCCTTCCAGACAGTGTTTGCCCAGGGCACTGTGAGCTCTTCAGACTTCCCTGGCACTCACCCTGTCTGCCTCCTGGGGTTTCAGGTGTACCAGCTGGACACAGGGCATTACCTCTGCAGGAACAAGTACTATGGCCGTGGGCTCTCCATTGAAGGCTTCCGCAATGCCCTCTATCAATATCTGCACAATGGCCTGGACCTGCGACGTGACCTGTTTGAGCCTATCCTGAGCAAACTGCGGGGCCTGAAAGCTGTGCTGGAGCGGCAGGCCTCTTACCGCTTCTACTCCAGTTCCCTGCTTGTCATCTATGATGGCAAGGAGTGCCGGGCTGAGTCCTGCCTGGACCGCCGGTCTGAGATGCGTCTCAAGCACCTGGACATGGTGCTCCCTGAGGTGGCGTCATCCTGTGGCCCCAGCACCAGCCCCAGCAACACCAGCCCCGAGGCGGGTCCCTCCTCTCAGCCCAAGGTGGATGTCCGCATGATTGACTTTGCACACAGCACATTCAAGGGCTTCCGGGATGACCCCACCGTGCATGATGGGCCAGACAGAGGCTACGTGTTTGGCCTGGAGAACCTCATCAGCATCATGGAACAGATGCGGGACGAGAACCAGTAGGCCCTGTTCTGGGCCCCCAGAACCCCTTCCTCTCCACTGCAGGCAGGGACCATTGTTCTGAACTTGCCGTGAGGACACACAGACTTGCTTTTAAAGGGTTATATTTCTCTTTGGTGTAAACTAAAAGAAATGTTTTTAGCTGTAGCCTGGAATCCATATATATAAAGTGAAGGAGGGCAGACCACACGCCCTCTCAGCCAGGCTCCTCAGCTTTGTGGCTCTGACTGGTGTGTCCAGGCTGCCTTAGGAAGGAAGAGGTGCCCCTGGTGGGCTTGGCAGCAGGGACAGGGTGCCCTTGGACATTGGTTTCTCTTGTCTAGATCTTTGAGATCTGTGGCTGCAGGGCCCTGCTGATTGTAAGGTAAAGCCCTGGGCTGGTGCAGGGCCCCTCCACGCCCACTCTTCCCTTGTTCCCCAGAAGTAGAGGGCTCTGGGTGCCCATTTCTTGGGGGCTTTCCAGTCTTATGCTGTGGGTGTCAGCTAGCTCTTTAATAGGTGCCCTCAGGGCACCACAGGGCTGACTGCACAAAGCTGGACCCATCCTTCGGTCTGACCTTAGCATGGGGCTAGATTAATGAAGCTGGGCTGAGGCCAACTTATGGCAGAGGGCGGCGCCTGGGTTCCCCAGGCACCTGTTGGCACGTGACAGGTTGGCACCTGTCCTATTCCTGAAACAGCCTCTCTCACCAAGTTCCCTTGCCTAAGAAGGCCACTCCCTCCCACCCCACTGAAGTGGGGGATAGTCGGTGTCCTAGCAGGCCTCAGGGCCTCTGGTGGCTCTGGCCCAGACAGTATTTGCAGTTCTTGTGCTATGGGTGGGAGTCTTCTTCCTCAAGTTTCGGCAGCTGTGCTGCTGCTGGATGGGCTGCTCCTCCCAGGGCTCAAGGGCTGTGGTCCGCTCAGGGTCTCATTTCCCCAGGCCAAGTTCAAGGCAGCAGCCCTTTGTGAGGCGCTCTTGGCCCTGGGCCTGGAGGGAGAACTTTAAGCTTTTTTGCTCACAGGGACGTGGTATGGGCCCTGGGTGCAGGTGCCCACATTCTGCTAATGAGAGCTTTGTCTGATCAGTCCTGGGTCCATCAGTTTGTCCATGTGTCCGGCTGCCAGCCCGTCCCTTGGGATCCTTCCCCTGGGGTGTAGCCTTGTTCATTAGTATATACTCATTCCTTCATGCTTTCCTCAGCAGAACACTTCCACTTCTGAGGTGAGCTTTTGCCCCATGCCCTTCCTCCACAGGTGTTGCCTTTTTATAAAGACCTGATAGCAGAATAAATTGGTGTTTCCCTGTTGACCCAGCACCATTTCTGTGGGCCTAGAATATGGCCCTCAACCCTTAGAGTGGGGCAGTGAGGGCTTGAGGAGTGACCCTTCCTTTCTCATGGTTTTAGTCATTTTGGCTGCCAGCCCTTAATGGCACAGATCTGCTGCTTCTAACAGATGGCCAGGAGGTGACACCGATTTCAGCCATTGCCAAGGTTAGCACCCTCTCCTTTGAGCCTAGGGCCACACTGTTCATTGTCACTTTAGGCAAGTGCCTGTTTGGCTTTAAAGGTAAGCCTGCCAGCTGTGAGAAGCCTTGGTAACTGATGGACTCATTTCCTGGTCCTTAAAGATGCAGCCTCTTAAGGGCTCCTTGATGGATGCCAT
Organism: Homo sapiens; assembly: GCF_000001405.40. NCBI lineage: Eukaryota > Metazoa > Chordata > Mammalia > Primates > Hominidae > Homo > Homo sapiens. The sequence goes on along the minus strand of NC_000003.12, from coordinate 49,725,477 downwards.
CTCTCCTAGCCCCCAGCCCTGGTGCCACTGGTGGGCAGGTTCCCATTCTTTGGGGCTGGGAGGGACAGCTTGCCTGTTTCTGGTCACAAATTACAGTCTTCTCTCCTGTACCATTCTGTGGCTTCAGCCATGGGGGCAGTAGCCCTTCATTAGTGTAGATAGTCATTCCCTGGTAGGGTGGAGGGTAAGACATAGGGTCTGGAACTGTTTGGGACCTTTTGGGGATGTCCTGTGCCTCCCAGATTCCTCGATTCTGGGAGGAGAGGCTGCCGCATTCTGCTGCTCCTCACAGCGAGCAAAGCTGCACCCACTTACATTCAGTATTTTCCTGGCACTACAAAGAGTGGGAAGGCCTGGGATTTGCTGCTGCTCCCTTAGAGCAGGGCCCCTCTTTTCAGCACTTTGGACACCTGGAGACCCAGCCCTGTTATTTAATGGTAGTGGGCAAGTGTGTGTGCATACTGTCTGCCACTGCTTTCTCCCTGCCCCATGCCAGAGAGCCCTGTCCCTGCCAGGCCCAGCCTTCTTAGCCCCAACTTGGGAACAAAGTGCAACATGGGATCATGGGTTGGGGTGCTCAGGTGAGCCCTCTCTATAGTGCTTCCCTGGGCCAAGCTGACACCAGCCCCTGAGGGTGGGGTGGGACGGGTGGTGCTTAAAAGAGGAAGGGGACCAGTGTAGCAACTTGCCAGGGACCCCACCCCTCCCTCTCTGGGCCTGTGCAGTGAGCATGGGGATTCCCATCAAGGGGCCTGGCACCTGTGCTAGTTACGTAGCCGCTGCTCACGCGCTCACTCCTGACCACATGCACGTTCCCTAGATGCAGACTGCTTTGAACTTTAAAGCTGTACAATTTGGTTATGTTTGTGCTGACTTAAAATATATTTTAATGAGGAAAAAATAATGGAGAACCCTGGGAAGGACCTGGTTCTTTTGCTTCTCGGGGAACTGTAAGCCCTCGCGTTCTGGGAATCGCTCTCTGCTGCTCTTTCCTGGAAGCTAAGCCTGTCTCCACCGCCCGAGGCCTGCGCCGGTGGCTCCCGCCGCAGTTGCGTTTGCTTTGGACCTTGCGTGCGGGGGAGGGGGTGCTCGGTCCGAGCCCGCTCCTTTCTGTACACCTAGCGCTGCCCGCCCCGCTTGTGTCTGAGGTCGTGTATGTCAAAAATAAAGCCGCTAGAAACGGAGGCGAGTCTGTCTTTGTGAAAATCCCGTGGCCCGGGAGCCTTCCCTGGTCACCCTCGGGGCGAGGCCGGGGCCGTGGGGCGGGGCCGGCGGCTGCTGGACCGCGGCGAAGCAGGGAACAAGGCCTCGCCCTTGGCGCCAGTTCCGCCTTTGGATCCGCCAATGGCCAGCTGACCCGCGGGTCCCGGCCCGGGTCTCCATGGCAGCCCGGCGTACTCGGGCGCTCATTGGCTACGTCTGTCGCAGCGCTGCGCTCCAACGTTCCGACGCCGGCGGCCGTGCCACGTACGCGGCAGCCGATTGGCCCGCGGTGGTCGCGTCACTGCCCGCGCCGGGTCCGGCCTGAGTTCGGGGCCAGCAGCCGTCTACCCGGTGTCGCGTTCTGTGTTGTGGCGGCCCTGGATCCGGCGTCAGGGCGACCGGGCGGACGAGGTGGAGCCAGAGTCTGTCAGGCGGGTTGGTGAAGGGCGCGGGGCCGGGCACGGCGTTGGGAGTGCGCGGCAGGGACCGGCCAGGCGGGCTGCAGGCACCTCAGAGCCCGGGACACCCCCTCAACGTCCGCAGGCGCGATGAAGGCACTGATCTTAGTGGGGGGCTATGGGACGCGGCTACGGCCGCTGACGCTGAGCACCCCGAAGCCACTGGTGGACTTCTGCAATAAGCCCATCTTGCTGCACCAAGTGGAGGCGCTAGCCGCGGTAAGACCCTGGGTCGGGATCAGAGTCGCGTTCGGATCTGGCGGGACTAGGGATGGCCAGCGACTAGGGGTCAGGGGCTCCCGTACCTTCTGACTGAGCCCGCCCGTCGGCCTGCGTTCTGACAGGCAGGCGTGGACCACGTGATCCTGGCCGTGAGCTACATGTCGCAGGTGCTGGAGAAGGAAATGAAGGCACAGGAGCAGAGGGTGAGGCACAGACTCTTGGCCCTTATTCTCGGTCCCCGCCCAACTTCCCATCCTGGTAGAACCTGACTGGGGGGGCCTCTTCCTTCCAGCTGGGAATCCGAATCTCCATGTCCCATGAAGAGGAGCCTTTGGGGACAGGTCAGTAGAGGCAGAAAGGTCCCTTGGGGGAGGGTTTAAGGCCAGGAAAAGGGTAAGACCCAGCCTGGAGTGGGCCTGCTGAGCCTGAATCCAGGGACTCAGACCTCCAGCAAGGTGGTGACCTGTCCCCTTCCCCCAGCTGGGCCCCTGGCGCTGGCCCGTGACCTACTCTCTGAGACTGCAGACCCTTTCTTCGTCCTCAACAGTGACGTGATCTGCGATTTCCCCTTCCAAGCCATGGTGCAGTTCCACCGGCACCATGGCCAGGAGGGCTCCATCCTGGTAAGGCGCCAGGTCTTCTCTCTCTTGACACTTTCACCCTCCATGCCCAGCCTCCCATGCCCCCTAGCCTTCATCTGCCTTCGGATGTTATGGATACAGAGCTGTGCAGTATGTATCTTTAAGCACTTGGGGCAGAGTCTCTTGAGATCTGGAACGGCATGTGTATCAAGGCTTAGGAACACTGGACTAGGTCCGAGGTCCCCTTCCTTGCATTCAGGTGACCAAGGTGGAGGAACCCTCCAAGTACGGTGTGGTGGTGTGTGAGGCTGACACAGGCCGCATTCACCGGTTCGTGGAGAAGCCACAGGTGTTTGTGTCCAATAAGATCAACGCAGGCATGTACATCCTGAGCCCTGCAGTGCTGCAGCGCATCCAGGTGTGTAGGAGACAGCTGTTGGTGGGCTGGGGTGGGGCAGGCCATCACCGCCATGACCCTGCTCACAAGCTGCCCACTCCCACAGCTGCAGCCTACGTCCATTGAGAAGGAGGTCTTCCCCATTATGGCCAAGGAGGGGCAGCTATATGCCATGGAGTTACAGGGTGAGGCAGGGAGGCCACAGGGTGGGGGTGGTCTGTGGCTGGGCTGAGGCCCCTGATGCATCCCTCCCTACAGGCTTCTGGATGGACATTGGGCAGCCCAAGGACTTCCTCACTGGCATGTGCCTCTTCCTGCAGTCACTGAGGCAGAAGCAGCCTGAGCGGCTGTGCTCAGGCCCTGGCATTGTGGGCAACGTGCTGGTGGTGAGGCCCTTGCCCAGCCCATCATTAACCCCCTCAGTCTTGGGAGACAAGTGGCCCACTTGTATTTTTCCCACCGCTCTCAGGACCCAAGTGCCCGCATCGGCCAGAACTGCAGCATTGGCCCCAATGTGAGCCTGGGACCTGGCGTGGTGGTCGAAGATGGTGTGTGTATCCGGCGGTGCACGGTGCTGCGGGATGCCCGGATCCGTTCCCATTCCTGGCTTGAGTCCTGCATTGTGGGCTGGCGCTGCCGCGTGGGTCAGTGGGTAAGCCTGTGGGCTGGGCTGGGTGGGGAGAGGGGCGGGGAGTGTGCCTGCCTCCCTGACAAGGCCTATCCTCTCCTGGAGGTACGCATGGAGAACGTGACAGTGCTGGGTGAGGACGTCATAGTTAATGATGAGCTCTACCTCAACGGAGCCAGCGTGCTGCCCCACAAGTCTATTGGCGAGTCAGTGCCAGAGCCTCGTATCATCATGTGAGGGGATGCAGTGGGGCTGGCCGAGCCCCGGTTTTCCCATCAGCAAGGGGAGTGCTGGCCTGACACATCAGAAGACCCTGGACTTGTCATTATTTGTCTGGGGGGCACTGGGTGAAGCTGAAGCTGTTGGACACCTGCCTTCTCATGTGGACATCATCTGGCAGGATCCCTGCTGGGCACACCCCACAAACCCCACTCCCTCAAGAAGGGCCAGGGCCAGGGCTGTATGGAATAATAATTTAATGCTCACTGTGGCCCTGACTGAAAGTCAAGCTCAGGCACAATTAGGGCCATGGCTGGGCTCCCACCAATGAGGATACAGGCAGGCAAGGAGGTTGGATGTGGTGGTGTGGGATACAGGAGAAGGGCAAAGGGAGCTCATAAATAGGGCCCAGCCTGGCTCTGGGTTCAAAGGTGGAGGTTCCAGGATGGCACAGGCTGTGAGGGCTAGGCAGCTGAGGAGGTAGTACTCGTATTGGCTCCCTTCTCCCAGTCCTCTACAGACACGATGGTGGTTTTGCAGAAGAAGCAGTCCTTGTTGTTCATCAGGTGCTGGTTGATACAGGCTCTACAACAGGGGAGGGGATGAGGACTGCCCTGCATGTACCTACTGCTCTCCCCACCACCAAGCTGTGGGGCCCACTTACTTGCAGGACTTGTGGCCACAGGGCTGGAACACAGCAGAGATGGGGTGGGCATAGCAGATGGGGCAGAGGTCCTCCTCACTGGTGGGCTGCAGGGAGGAGAGTGAAGGGTGGGCTGGAGTTGGATGCCTGGCTATGTGGATGTCCGTTGTGCCTGTGTAGGAGTGCACACATATTCAAGTGGCATGGACCTGTGCACCGTGTTCCCACTCACCAGGGAGGCAGCTGCTGCCTGGGCAGATGCAGAGGTCAGGTGCGCCAGCATCTGTTCCACTTGGGCCAGCTCATCGGCACTGATATAATCCGCATCTGGGGAGTGGTAGGTAGTGTCAAGTCAGAGGTAGCTGAGGATGTGATGCCTCTTGAATATTCCCAGCCTAGGACTTTGCTGTTCTTAAGGCTCCTGACCCGACCCAGCCCCAGATTTCCCTGACCTGCCCCACCAGCCCACTCACAGCTCTGCAGGGAGAAGCGCTTCCGGTCAGGGGCTGGCAGAGCAGTGCCAGGTGCTGGGGGCTCTGGCTGTCCCAGGAGATAGCATATTGAGCGTAGCTGGAAGCAGGGATCTGCCAGGAGCACTGATGTGGCTTGCTCTCTCCTAGGTAGGGGAGGGTGCAAGGGCAGTCAGAAGGCTTGGGGCCTGGCTAAAAGTCTCTCTTGGGATTGCCAATGAGGAGTGCCATGGCTCGTACATGATCACCCCCCCTGCATCCTTTCCGTCTCCCTGCTTCCCAAACCCCAAGTCCTGTATTCTAGTAAGGTGCCACACAGCCTGTTTTTTTTTTTTTTTTCTTGAGACGAGTCTCGCTCTGTTGCCCAGGCTGGAGTGCGATGGCACGATCTCGGCTCACTGCAACCTCCACCTCCCGGGTTCAAGTGATTCTCCTGCTTTAGCCTCCCGAGTAGCTGGAATTGCAGACGCCCACCACCACGCCCGGCTAATTGTTGTATTTTTAGTAGAGACAGGGTTTCACCAGGTTGGCCAGGCTGGTCTCGAATTCCTGACCTCAGGTGATCCACCTGCCTTGGCTTCCCAAAGTGCTGGGATTACAGGCGTGAGCCACCGCGCCCGGCCTGGGGTACCACTTTAAGAAGGCTCAGGCGAACCACCTTAAGATAGTGAGAGTCTGCCTGCCCCATAATATTATCAGTCCTTCAAAGTCACTTCAAATAAACACTAACAGCAGCTTGGAGACATTCTTCCAGACTCCCCCTTTTACTCCCCGAGGAAAAACGAGCGGCGGAGAGCTGCCAGCCAAAGGCTGACGGGGACTTTGGGGTTGGCCTTGCTCCCCATCTGGCGGTCATGCGGGGCCATTGGGCACAAAGGGATGTAGCCGCCCCGCCTCCTCAAACGGGAACCAATAGGAGCCCGGGCCCCGCCCCTGGGGGGAGTATTTAGGAGCCGATCAGGAACTCGCTTGGAGAGGGCTAGCGAAGCCGAAGGGAGCGCGGCTAAGAGTGCCGCACCGCCTCACAACCTGGGAACCGGAGAGTAGGGGCCGTCGGCTGGCAAGAACCCGCCGTGCCTCCTCGGCAAGGGCCATCCGGTGCCACCCATGTCGCACTAGAGCAGAAGAGGGTGAGTCCTGGAACTGCAACCTGCACAGAGCTGCTCTGTACTGTCCCTGGTGGTCGCCGCCATGACCTGGTTGGTGCTGCTGGGGACACTGCTCTGCATGCTGCGCGTTGGGTTAGGCACCCCGGACTCCGAGGGTTTCCCGCCCCGTGCGCTCCACAACTGCCCCTACAAATGTATCTGCGCTGCCGACCTGCTAAGCTGCACTGGCCTAGGGCTGCAGGACGTGCCAGCCGAGTTACCTGCCGCTACTGCGGACCTCGACCTGAGCCACAACGCGCTCCAGCGCCTGCGCCCCGGCTGGTTGGCGCCCCTCTTCCAGCTGCGCGCCCTGCACCTAGACCACAACGAACTAGATGCGCTGGGTCGCGGCGTCTTCGTCAACGCCAGCGGCCTGAGGCTGCTCGATCTATCATCTAACACGTTGCGGGCGCTTGGCCGCCACGACCTCGACGGGCTGGGGGCGCTGGAGAAGCTGCTTCTGTTCAATAACCGCTTGGTGCACTTGGACGAGCATGCCTTCCACGGCCTGCGCGCGCTCAGCCATCTCTACCTGGGCTGCAACGAACTCGCCTCGTTCTCCTTCGACCACCTGCACGGTCTGAGCGCCACCCACCTGCTTACTCTGGACCTCTCCTCCAACCGGCTGGGACACATCTCCGTACCTGAGCTGGCCGCGCTGCCGGCCTTCCTCAAGAACGGCCTCTACTTGCACAACAACCCTTTGCCTTGCGACTGCCGCCTCTACCACCTGCTACAGCGCTGGCACCAGCGGGGCCTGAGCGCCGTGCGCGACTTTGCGCGCGAGTACGTATGCTTGGCCTTCAAGGTACCCGCGTCCCGCGTGCGCTTCTTCCAGCACAGCCGCGTCTTTGAGAACTGCTCGTCGGCCCCAGCTCTTGGCCTAGAGCGGCCGGAAGAGCACCTGTACGCGCTGGTGGGTCGGTCCCTGAGGCTTTACTGCAACACCAGCGTCCCGGCCATGCGCATTGCCTGGGTTTCGCCGCAGCAGGAGCTTCTCAGGGCGCCAGGATCCCGCGATGGCAGCATCGCGGTGCTGGCCGACGGCAGCTTGGCCATAGGCAACGTACAGGAGCAGCATGCGGGACTCTTCGTGTGCCTGGCCACTGGGCCCCGCCTGCACCACAACCAGACGCACGAGTACAACGTGAGCGTGCACTTTCCGCGCCCAGAGCCCGAGGCTTTCAACACAGGCTTCACCACACTGCTGGGCTGTGCCGTGGGCCTTGTGCTCGTGCTGCTCTACCTGTTCGCCCCACCCTGCCGCTGCTGCCGCCGTGCCTGCCGCTGCCGCCGCTGGCCCCAAACACCCAGCCCGCTCCAAGAGCTGAGCGCACAGTCCTCAGTACTCAGCACCACACCGCCAGACGCACCCAGCCGCAAGGCCAGCGTCCACAAGCACGTAGTCTTTCTGGAGCCAGGCCGGAGGGGCCTCAATGGCCGCGTGCAGCTGGCAGTAGCTGAGGAATTCGATCTCTACAACCCTGGAGGCCTGCAGCTGAAGGCTGGCTCTGAGTCCGCCAGCTCCATAGGCTCCGAGGGTCCCATGACAACCTAGACTGCCCAGGGCTCCCCCACCCAGGCCCCCACCCTCTTGCTGCTCGCCCTGCTCCCTGCTTCGGTCCAGAGAACTGGCAGATACTGGTGGGAAGCACTGTGCCTGGCCCCCCAGCTTCCTGTATGGGCCTCGAAACACAATGGGCCTTCTCGCTCACTGGTAGAGACAGGGGTTGTGGTCCCCAACCTGCCTTCTGCTCTGCCCCTGCACAGGACCCAAAGGCCCCAGGCCCTGCAAGGTGTGCTAGTTCCTGCTTTCCCGCGGACTTCCTAGTGCCCAAATGCCCTGTGAGGCTGAGAGACCCAGGCCCCTGTGGCTTTCAACACAGCACAGCTGTGGAAGTGGCTGTGTTCTTCTACAGCCTGTGGAAGAACCCCTGTAGCAGAGCCTCCCGTCCACCCTCAGGGGCTGAGACAGCTCTCGAGGAGTGGTGCTCAAGAGCTGACGCAGGGCCACCTCCCCTTCCCAAGGGGGTGGGAGGGAGTGGGCCCACAGGGAAAAGAAGGCGGCTCTGAAGGAAGATCTCGCCCACACCCCAGGACAGAAAGAGGAAACAAGCCCGCCCTCTGGTGAAATGGGACTCCCTCCATCCACCAACACCCAACCTCCTGAAAGCTTCACAACTTCACGCAGAGTCCGGTGGGCAGGCACCAGGCAGGAAAGGCTCCTCAAGAGGTTCCTGGTGGTCTGGCCTAAGCCCCAGCCAGAGGCCCTGCTCTCTCTGGCCTGGGGCATCCACCCGTTGTTCTGAAGGCAGAGCCCATTCTGTGGGCTCACAAGACACAGTGAAGGGGATCATGGCCTGCACCCCTGCTTTTCAGCAGTAAAAAGCCCGAAAAGCCTGGCGAGCATGGCCGAGCTGGGAGGGCCGAGCCGGAACTCCACGTCCCTCGAGAGCAGGAGCCTCTTAAGGGCTGGCACTGGTCTCAGCCTAATGGCTGAGGCGGTACCCTGGCTTCATATGCATCTCACTGCTCCCACTGCAGGGGGGCAGGGAAGGGGGGTCTGGGAGCCCTTCATGTGTGGGGGCCGAGCTGGGGGCCCCCATGGCCATCCTGGACCTCGCTGCTCCAGAGTTTAATAAAGGTAGCACATGCTTATTGCTAGAGCCTTTGCAGACAATGGCGGTCCTCCGTGTGTTCAGCTCTCCTGGCGGCCTGGCCCTGTCCACCACAGGACGGCACACCCTCCGGAGTCCTGCCTCCCATGCCTGGCCTGAGGCATGGCCACAAGCCAGTGGCTCTGTGGGCCAGGGCCACCTGTCCTGCTGGGGTCCCAGATTCTCCTACTTAGAGCAGCTCCGTCTGCCCCCTATTTAGGCCGTTCACACCTCACCACCTTCCCTCTGCCTCAAAACCTGATGCTGAGGTCCATTTTCCAGATGAGGAAACTGAAGTACCAGGAGGCCCTGTCCAGCCCCTCCTCACCAGACACACCCAACTCCCACAGGGGCCCACGGTCCCCAACACTCACTCTGAGGCTGGGCCACGCACCAGGAGCTGCACCAGGATGCCCGTCACTGCCACCAGAATGGGATAGTGGTCCACGCTCTCTAGGCCTGAGGGGAAGGGGAGGAAAGAGATGAGCCACCCACATGCTCCTGCTTCAAGGGCTCCAGGCCTGCCCACTGCCCTCTCTACAGAAGGGTGAGCCGAGACTGCAGAGCACCAAGTCTGGCTGTCCGGGGGCAGAATGTGGAATCAGGCCTCACTGTTCCTAGCAGAGGAACCGAGGCCTGTAGTGTGTTGGGGTGCAGGGCATCTAGGTCCTCACCAGGCAGCCGTAGGGTGACCACACGATCAAACAGGTTCCTCTCAGCTGTCACCCGGTTCAGCACCTGGTTTAGCAGCTGTGAGGGGAGCAGGAGTCCATTGGTGGATGGGGAGCGTCATCAATGGGGCATCCCCAGGGTCCCACCCTTGTTGCCCAGATGGCCACACCTGTGCAAGACGCCGCAGCAGCATCTCAGAGGTAGGCCGGGTCCAGTCAAGGAATATCTCAGGCACCAGTGTGATAGTCATCTCCAAGACACGCAGCAGGCTGACCGAGAGGTCAAAGCAGGTGGCACATACCTTGAGCTGCCGGCTGTCCACAAAGTTCCGCTCCAGGCGCTCAGCAGCCTGCTGGATCTGAGCCACCAACACGTGGGCATGCAGTGGTCAGCACCTGGCTCTAGCCCAGGACCAGGCCTCATCCCTTGCACCACCCTAACCCACGAGGCCCCACCACAGCCCACCTCTTGGATCATGCCAATGAATTCAGAGAAGGCCCAGTTGAGCTGATTGAGGACGCTGTTGAGGAAGCTGGGTGCCACATCAGGACCCTGCTGTAGGAGGTCCGCCATGTGCTGCTGCAGCAGGGTGGAAGGGCAGGGCTCTGCAGGGGGACAGGAGGCGGCATCATCAGGGACTCCACTGCAGTGGCCTCTGCCTGTTTGCCTCTGTCCTCGCCCATTGAGGCTTTGGTATAAGGACAGAAAGATGGCTCCCTAGGAATGCTCAGGTCATGAAAGCAGGGGACAGAGGACAGCTGCCTTGGAGTTAGTTGGGACAGAATCTGTCCCCTCCTTCTACTAGGCAAGCCCCAGGCTGCAGCTGTGTCCAGCCCTGACACCACACCATCCACTCCAGGTCCAGAGCAGCCACACAGCCACAGCCTGACCCTCAGCAAGTTCTGGGTCGCACACCCTTCAGATAGGGTCAGACCTAAACAGGGCGGCTTAGATGCTTCCCCACCGGCACCAAGGCCAGCTCCTCCAAGAGCCTACTCTAAGCCCTGCTGCAAACCTGCTGTCCTCTACTGTCCTCTGCTGCCCTTGGCCTGGCCTTGGCATATGGCCGAGGTGGTGGGCACCAAGTCTGGGCTGGCAGGCAGCAGTAACCGGAGCCCTCAGCTGCAACGGGCCTGGCGCACCTCCCCACCAGCTTGATACAAATCAATAGTTCCCGCAGCAGCAGGACAGGCCTGGCCCCACTGCCGCTCTCCACTTGCAGCTCAGTTCCGCCCTGGACGCAGGACCACGGCAATTGGCAAGGACTTGCTGTGTGACTTAGCAGAAGACACTCAGCCTCTCTGGGGACACCCTTTGGACCAAAACACTGCCCACAAGGGCAGAAACAGACTACATGAGCCAAGAAGAGCCACCATGAAGGGTGAGGACAGTGTGTGGCACACCTGGCACTCTGCAAGGGCCAGGCCTAGGGGAAAGTCCTTGCTGGACCCTGGAGAGAGGGCACAGCCTCTGCTCCCAACTAAATGTCCCTTCCTCCAGGAACTCTCGTGAATACCCTCTGGGGACCTGGCCAACCTCCAATCTGTGCTCCCAGTGGACTCAGGTGTCCAAGGCCTAAGCCAAGGCCAGGGTCTGCCACCAGCAGATAGCAAAAAAGAAGCAGAAGGACATGGTGCTGGGACAAGGCTGGAGGTCAGGGAGCTAGCTTAAAGGGCAAGGGACAGAGTATTCAGTCTGCATGAGCTGTAGCAGGCCAGGAACATGGTGCCGCCTCTCACCATGACCCACATAGAGCATCCAGGCCCAAAGGGCACATGTAGGTAAGACTGTGGGCAAGGCTGGGGAGGGGGAGTCCCATCCCGAGTATCCTTGGGCTGGAAGGAAGCAGGGAAAGTGGAAACCCCAGGGGACACGTAGGGAGTCTGGGACCCAATGGGGGAACCAGAGAGGGGCTGGAAGAAGTGGAGAGTCTGAAAGAACCCATGGGTAGGAGGTAAGCGCCCCCGCCTGCCTTGCCCAGGACTCGCCCAACCCAGATACTCACTCTGGAGGCTGGGCAAATTGGCGTCCTCAAGTTTGGTTTTCAGCAGATGTGGCAGCCGTGTATAGCGGTACCCGAAGCCACAGCCCTGTGGAGGTGGGGGTCAGTGCCCAGGTCAATGGGACAGCGCACCCTCTCCCTCCAGCCAGCCTCAGCCACTTCCCCTCGAGTCAGGCTTACCCTCCAGAGCCGCACCAGGATCCAGTTGGTCTGGGCCCAGGGCCGCTGCTCATAGGGCGCCAGGAGGTTCCTCACCATGGCGATACGCCTGTGAGGGCAAGGAGGGGAGAGACGGGGTGAGGCTGGGCATGGTGCTTGTGGCCAGGGTGTGTGCCCCCCAGGCCCCACTCACTGCTCCTCGGGGATTCGCTCCACAGCCCGCAGGGAGTGTGGGTAGCACACGTAGCTGGCCAGGGCCTGCATCAGTGAGTCTCGGATGTCTGCGGGGACACACCGTGCCTCAGCAGGGGCTTGGCATGAGCCCTGGACCCATACTTCATGCCCACCTGGCCACATTTTTCATAGAAGAAAGCCGACCAGAGGTGCCATCCCATCCCCCTCCCCCTGTACCCTCTGTAGGGGCCCCTCACCAGTGCCCACAATGCGTGCGTCGGCAAAGTGTTTGGCGAGAATGGCAGCCAGGCGGGTCAGGGTCTCTTCATAGCCTGCAAGGGTGGGAAGTGAGACGTGTCGGCTGGGAGTGGGGGCTCCAGAGGCAGGCATGTCAGCAGGGTGGGTGGACTTGGGTAGCAGGCTCTAGAGCTGGCTCCCAAGGCCAGCCTGGACCCAGGGTGGCATCTGGGGACATCGGGCAAAGCATTCATTGGTGGCTGTGCAAGGGCTAAGGCACAGGCTCACTGTGAAGGGATGACAGGCCCTGGCAGGAGCCCTGACCTGGGCTCAAACCCATCTCAGCACACACACCTGATGAGCAGTCAAAGCTCCTTGGGCACTCACAGCTCTGTCTTTGAAGACAAAGCCTGCACTGAGGCCTGTGGCTGGGCAGGGGGCAGGCTAGGGGCCTGACAGCTCACTGCCTGATCCAGACATACACTGCCACGCCCAGCCTGGAATCAGCAGGCTGAGAGGCCCAGGTTCGGATGTGGACCCTAGCAGGGTCCACCCCCTGCTGTGATTTACCAAGACAAACCATTCTGCCCCTGACCAACTGCTACGCTTTGTGACCAGTGCCAGGGAGTCAAGGTGCAAGGCCAGCTGGCTCCTGGACCATGGCAGTTGCTCATAGCACTAGGAAGGAAGTGAAAGCCAAGAGGTCTACACCCACCGTGTTCCATCTTGTCTGTTTTCCTTTGCTAGGGAGCTGTTGGCTCTGTGGCTGCAGGTCCCAGGGCAGGGTGCAGACGTTTGTTTGCTGCAGGGTGAACCACAGAGGAAGCTCCTCCCCTCCCCGCCCCCCACAGAAGTGTGTTGCTGGGCCACAGAGGTCTCAGACCAGGGCTCCTAGGGCTCACACTAGAGACCCCTTTTCTGCTTCTGCCTCAGCCTGAATGGTTCCATCACCTGGGAGCTCCTCCATGCTGTGCACGGGACCAAAGTAATTCTTGAGAGCACTGTAGCTGTTGATGGCCACGCTCAGGTAGAACTCGGGCATGAAGGCAAAGAGAGACCCTGTGCGATCACCGTGCTCAATGGTCCGCAGGCAGACGCGCAGCAGCCAGTAGATGTCCAGCATCTTCTCCTGCAGGAGGCACACGGGGTGCTGCTGGGTTGCGCACCAGTGGGGTCTTGGGGGCATGTCCTGGCCTGGGGATCAGGAAAGGCCTCCCCAGGCCTACGACAGCACAACTGAGACCTGGATTTCAGGAAGCATGAGCAGTAGCTCAAGCAGGGCAATCAAGTCCTCAGCAGGCAAGAGGGACGCACTCAGCCTGGAGGGCGCATTACTGTGACCCAGGCCAGAACTCTGGTCAGCATATTTGTAAGCAAGTTTTTTTTTTTTTTGAGATGGAGTCACCCAGGCTGGAGTGCAGTGACGCCCTCTTGGCTCACTGGAAACCTCCGCCTCCCAAGTTCAAGGGATTGTCTTGCCTCAGCCTCCCGAGTAGCTGGGACTACAGGTATGTGATACCGCGCTCGGCTAATTTTTGTATTTTTAGTAGAGATGGGGTTTCGCCATGTTGGCCAGGCTGGTCTTGAACTCCTGACCTCAGGTGATCTGCCTGCCTCAGCCTGTAAGCAAGTTTTAGGCAAGAGGGTGCTGTGACTGGAAGTCTGTGTGGAAAAGTGGAGTACAAGGTGTGTGAAGGGCCCAAGAGAGCTGGCGATGGTAAGCAGACAGGCAGAAATTTGATCTGGAGTGCAAAGGAGAAGGTGGTGGGAAAGCAGGGGGCAGTGTGACTGGTGGAACAGAGGTCACAGGAAACAGACAAAACCTGCTGAGGGCCCTGCTCCCCACAATGTGGTTTCCACAAAGTCTATGTCAGGGTCTCACAAAGGAGCCCAGGCAAGAATGAGGCCTCAGGCCCCAGCCCAGACCCACAGCACCCGTGTGTCTTGGAGTGCGGTCACAGCACCTGGGCTTCACACCAGCTCTCTGATGTGCCCTAAAGCCCAAGGAACTGAGGAGAAGATGTAAGCAAGAGGTTAGGGGAGGGCCTAGGCGCAAACCTAGGCAGCGATGATCCTGCTGCTACAGAAGGCCAGCGAAGACTGTGTCTGGTGAGGGGCTGGCAATGGCCCCATCAGAGCTAAGGTATCAATGCAAAGGAGATGGAAATGTGCCGGCCGGATTGAGATGGGGGCAGACAGAGACCCTGGTGAGACTATTTCAGAGATGGGGAAGAGCCTGTGCTGGAGGGAGATGAAGGGGAAGATGTAGCAGCTAAGACAGAGAAAGAAGGAGAGAGCATAACTTTTGGGCACATATAGCGTCAAGGCTGGAATGCAGTGGCACAATCACAGCTCACTGTAACCTGGAACTCCTGGGCTCATGTGATCCTCCTACAGGTATGTGATACCACGCCCTGCTAATTTTTGTATTTTTAGGAGAGATGGGGTTTCGCCATGTTGGCCAGGCTGGTCTTGAACTCCTGACCTCAGAGTAGCTGGGACTACAGGTATGTGTCACCATGCCCCGCTAATTAAATTTTGTTTTTTTTGTAGAGATGGGTTGCCCAGGCTGGTCATGAACTCTTGGCTTCAAGTGATCCTCCCGCTTCAGCCTCCCAAAGTGCTGGTTTACAGGAGTGAATCTCTCCATTAATAATGGGATTAGAAAGACACAGGTGAGTTAGTGCTGAAGATGCAGAGAATGAAGGCAGTTCAACATAATAAAGACCATATATGAAAAGCCTCCATCTAACATCACACTCAGTGGTAACAGACTATAATCCCTCCCTCCCTCAGACCAAGAACAAGACAAGTGTGCCACTTTCTCTACTTCTGCTCAGCACAGTCCTGGAAATCCCAGCCAGAGCAACTAAGCATGAAAAAGAAAGGAAACCACACTGGAAAGGATAAAGTAAAATTATCTCTGTTCACAGACATGATTTTATAAGTAGAAAATCCTAAAGATACACACACACACACAAAACCCCAACTAGGATTAATAAATAAATTCAGCAAAATTATAGGATATGGCCAGGCGCGGTTGCTGAAGCCTGTAATCCCAGCACTTTGGGAGGCCGAGGCAGGCGGATCACCTAAGGTCAGGAGTTTGAGACCAGCCTGACCAACAAGGTGAAACCCCATCTCTACTAAAAATACAAAAATTAGCCGGGCGTGGTGGCGTATGCCTATAGTCCCAGCTACTCAGGAGGCCGAGGTGGAAGAATCGCTTGAACCTGGGAGGCAGAGGTTGCAGTGAGCCAAAATCTTGCCACTGCACTCCAGCCTGTGCCACAGAGCGAGACTCCCTCTCAAAACAAAACAAACAAACCAACAAACAAAAGATATGCAAATGGCCAATAAGTGCTTGTAAAGGTACTATTTGTCATAATGTCACTAATCATTAGCAAAATGCAGAACCACAATAAGGTACCATATCCTACCCATTAGGATTTACTATTAAAAAAGTAGAAATTGCCGGGTGTGGTGGCTCATGCCTATAATCCCCGCACTTTGGGAGGCCGAGGCAGGAGGATTCCTTGAACCCAGGAGTTTGACAACTGGGCAACATAGTGAGACCCTGCGTCTACCAAGAAAAAAAAAGGGCAGAAAATAAGAAGTGTCGGTAAGGATATGTATGGAGAAATTGGAACCCTCATGCACTACTGGTGAGAATGTAACAGGCACAGCCACTGTAGAAATGATATGGTAGTTTCCAAAAAATTAAACAACAGAATTGGCCGGGCGCGGTGGCTCATGCCTGCAATCCCAGCACTTTGGGAAGCCGAGGCAGGCGGATCACCTGAGGTCAGCAGTTCAAGACCAGCCTGACCAACACGGTGAAACCCCATCTGTACAAAAAATACAAAAATTGCAGGGCGCGATGGCTCACGCCTGTAACCCCAGCACTTTGGGAGGCCGAGGCGGGCGAATCACCTGAGGTCGGGAGTTCAAGACCAGCCTGATCAATATGAAGAAACCCCATCTCTACTAAAAAAAAATACAAAATTAGGCCAGGCGCGGTGGCTCACGCCTGTAATCCCAGCACTTTGGGAGGCCGAGGCGGGTGGATCACGAGGTCAGGAGATCGAGACCATCCTGGCTAACACGGTGAAACCCTGTCTCTACTAAAAATACAAAAAATTAGCCGGGCGTGGTGGCAGGCGCCTGTAGTCCCAGCTACTCGGGAGGCTGAGGCAGGAGAATGGTGTGAACCCGGGAGGCGGAGCTTGCAGTGAGCTGAGATAGCGCCATTGCACTCCGGCCTGGGTGAAAGAGTGAGACTCTGTCTCAAAAAAAAAAAAATACAAAATTAGCTGGGCGTGGTGGCACATGCCTGTAATCCCAGCTACTCAGGAGGCTGAGGCAGGAGAATTGCTTGAACCTGGGAGGCAGAGGCTGCCGTGAGCCGAGATCGCGCCATTGCACTCCAGCCTGGGCAAGAAGAGCAAAACTCCACCTCAAAAAAAGAAAAAAAAAATCACAAAAATTAGCCGAGCATGGTGGTGCGCACCTGTAGTCCCAGCTACTCGGGAGGCTGAGGCAGGAGAACACTTGAACCCAGGATGTGAGCCGAGATCGCACCATTGCACTCCAGCCTGGGTGACAGAGTGAGACTCCATCTCAAAAAAAATAAAAAATTAAAATTAAAAATAAAATAAAAAACAGAATTACCATATGATACAGTAATTCCACTTCTGGGTATATAACCAAAAGAATTGAAATTAGGGTCTCAAAGAGATCTTTGCAAACCCATGTTCATTACAGCATTATTCACAGTAGCCCAAAGTAGAAGCAACCCGAGTGTCCATCAGCAAAGGACTGGATATATGAAATGTGGTGTCCGTACAACAGAATATTATTCAGCCTGGAAAATGAAGAAATTCTGACACATGCTATAACACGAATGAACCTTGAGGACATTATGCTAAAGCCATACACAAAAGAACAAATAGTGTATGATTCTTCCTAGATGAGGTGCTTAGTATAGTCAAATTCAGAGACAGAAAGTAGGATGGTGGTTGCCAGGGGCAACCTGAGCTAGCCTCAGAACAGGGCCATGGTGGTCCCCTCATGACATGGAAGTAAGGCCCAGCTGGGGGTCTGTGAGCCGCTGGCCAGAGCACTCAGGGACCTGATGCCAGAACCACTGCTCCCCCAGCTGCCAGACCCAGGGATCTGCTGACAGGTGGGGATGGGTGGGAGCTGTCAGGGAAGCTGGGGAAGGGAGGACAGGAGGTTTTGTTCAACAGGCACGGAGTATCAGTTTTGCAAGATGAAATGAGTGTGGAGATTGGCTGCACGACAATGTGAATAGACTTAACACTTAAAAATGGCTATGATGGGTGACCGGGCACAGTGGCGCACGCCTGTAACCCCAGCACTTTGGGAGGCCGAGGTGGCAGGATCACATGAGGCCAGGAGTTTGAGACCAGCCACGCCAACAAAGTGAAACCCTGTCTCTACCAAAAAATACAAAAAGTAGCTGGGCGCGGTAGCACATCTATAATCCAGGAGAACTGCTTGAACCCGGGAGACAGAGGTTGCAGTGAGCCAAGATCATGCCATTGCAGTCCAGCCTGGGCAACAGAGTGAGACTCTGTCTCAAAAAAAACACAAAACAAAACAAAACAAAAAAAACACAGCTAGGATGGTACATTTTATGTCACACATATTTTAGCATAACTAAAAAAAGGCAGAGAGATGAGAGGGCAAGGGTCTTGAGAAGACAGTGTGGGAGAGGGCAGCCAAACTTCTGAGGGAGGTGGGCAGGCAGGAAATCTCAGGGCAGAAGGGAGAGGAAGTTCCCGTCATGGGGCAGTAAGCACGGTCATCCAGGGTAGCAGGAGAGTCACGAATGGGAAAAAGGTGGAGGTGGTTTGGGTTTTGCAAAAGAGCCATGAGAAGAAACAGCAAGCAGAGATGATAGAAATGGGGATACCAAAGGCCTCGATCACCCAGTCATGCAGGGGTATGCCCAAGAAGACAGCAGATACCCTGACCTGGGCACCTGAAGAGACCCTCAGGGCACTCACTGGTTAGGGAAGAGATGCCAAGAGGGGCAGGGAGAGGAAACAAGTCCAGAGAGTCTGAGGCCTGGGGGTGAAACTTCAGTCACAGCAGGAGTGCCCCATCCATCTGTCTGTCCATCCATGTATCTGACCAGGCTGAGTGCCTTCAGAAGGCAGAGGCTCATCTTTCTGACTTATTAATGTGTGTGTGTCCCTAGTTCCAGGACAGCACCTGGCACACACCAGGTTTTGAGTGCATGTTATTGAATGAATGAGCAAGTGAATGAGTGAGTGGGGAACAAGCCAGTGGCCTCGGGTGGTAATGAGTCAGACAGAGGCAGGCACAGATGGTGGAGTGTGCCTCCGGGAAAGACTGCAGAGCCCCTGATGCACTGGGAGAGAAGGACGGGGGCCAAGAAACTGGGAGGGGGTGGGAGCAGGGGAGGCAGACAGACAGAGTTTGTTCCTCGAAGGACAGGTCTATGAGGCGAACTGGAGGTCCAGAAACTGCGCTTCCTCAGTCCACAGAGCATGAGGGGTACAGGGGACATGGCATGGGGTGATGGAGTCTGAAGTGTGGGAAGGGACATGTGTGTGCCAGAGGCCTGAGAGGGTGGGGGCATCAAGGGC